>NC_000002.12:60190352-60493382 GCF_000001405.40 Homo sapiens
AAATGAGCAAAGCCTCCAAGAAATATGGGACTATGTGAAAAGACCAAATCTACATCTGATTGGTGTACCTGAAAGTGACGGGGAGAATGGAAACAAGTTGGAAAACACTCTGCAGGATATTATCCAGGAGAAATTCCCCAATCTAGCAAGGCAGGCCAACATTCAGATTCAGGAAATACAGAGACCGCCACAAAGATACTCCTCGAGAAGAGCAACTCCAAGACACATAATTGTCAGATTCACCAAAGTTGAAATGAAGGAAAAAATGTTAAGGGCAGCCAGAGAGAAAGGTCGGGTTACCCTCAAAGGGAGGCCCATCGGACTAACAGCAGATCTCTTGACAGAAACTCTACAAGCCAGAAGAGAGTAGGGGCCAATATTCAACATTCTTAAAGAAAAGAATTTTCAACCCAGGATTTCATATCCAGCCAAACGAAGCTTCATAAGTGAAGGAGAAATAAAATACTTTACAGACAAGCAAATGCTGAGAGATTTTGTCACCACCAGGCCTGCCCTAAAAGAGCTGCTGAAGGAAGTGCTAACCATGGAAAGGAACAACCGGTACCAGCCGCTGCAAAATCATGCCAAAATGTAAAGACCATCGAGCCTAGGAAGAAACTGCATCAACTAACGAGCAAAATAACCAGCTAACATCATAATGACAGGATCAAATTCACATATAACAATATTAACTTTAAATGTAAATGGACTAAATTCTCCAATTAAAAGACACAGACTGGCAAATTGGATAAACAGTCAAGACCCATCAGTGTGCTGTATTCAGGAAACCCATCTCATGTGCAGAGACACACATAGGCTCAAAATAAAAGGATGGAGGAAGATCTACCAAGCAAATGGAAAACAAAAAAAGACAGGGGTTGCAATCCTAGTCTCTGATAAAACAGACTTTAAACCAACAAAGATAAAAAGAGACAAAGAAGGCCATTACATAATGGTAAAGGGATCAATTCAACAAGAAGAGCTAACTATCCTAAATATATATGCACCCAATACAGGAGCACCCAGATTCATGAAGCAAGTCCTGAGTGACCTACAAAGAGACTTAGACTCCCACACATTAATAATGGGAGACTTTAACACCCCACTGTCAACATTAGACAGATCAACGAGACAGAAAGTCAACAGGGATACCTAGGAATTGAACTCAACTCTGCACCAAGCAGACCGAATAGACATCCACACAACTCTCCACCCCAAATCAACAGAATATACATTTTTTTCAGCACCACACCACACCTATTCCAAAATTGACCACATAGTTGGAAGTAAAGCTCTCCTCAGCAAATGTAAAAGAACAGAAATTATAACAAACTCTCAGACCACAGTGCAATCAAACTAGAACTCAGGATTAAGAATCTCACTCAAAACCACTCAACTACATGGAAACTGAACAACCTGCTCCTGAATGACTACTGGGTACATAACGAAATGAAGGCAGAAATAAAGATGTTCTTTGAAACCAACGAGAACAAAGACAAAACATACCAGAATCTCTGGGATGCATTCAAAGCAGTGTGTAGAGGGAAATTTATAGCACTAAATGCCCACAAGAGAAAACAGGAAAGATCCAAAATTGACACCCTAACATCACAATTAAAAGAACTAGAAAAGCAAGAGCAAACACGTTCAGAAGCTAGCAGAAGGCAAGAAATAACTAAAATCAGAGCAGAACTGAAGGAAATAGAGACACAAAAAACCCTTCAAAAAATTAATGAATCCAGGGGCTGGTTTTTTGAAAGGACCAACAAAATTGATAAACCACTAGCAAGACTAATAAAGAAAAAAAGAGAGAAGAATCAAATAGACGCAATAAAAAATGATAAAGGGGATATCACCACCAATGCCACAGAAATACAAACTACGATCAGAGAATACTAGAAACACCTCTACGCAAATAAACTAGAAAATCTAGAAGAAATGGATAAATTCCTCGACACATACACTCTCCCAAGACTAAAACAGGAAGAAGTTGAATCTCTGAATAGACCAATAACAGGATCTGAAATTGTGGCAATAATCAATAGCTTACCAACCAAAAAGAGTCCAGGACCAGATGGATTCACAGCCGAATTCTACCAGAGGTTCAAGGAGGAACTGGTACCATTCCTTCTGAAACTATTCCAATCAATCGAAAAAGACGGAATCCTCCCTAACTCATTTTATGAGGCCAGCATCATTCTGATACCAAAGCTGGGCAGAGACACAACCAAAAAAGAGAATTTTAGACCAATTTCCTTGATGAACATTGATGCAAAAATCCTCAATAAAATACTGGCAAACCGAATCCAGCAGCACATCAAAAAGCTTATCCACCATGATCAAGTGGACTTCATCCCTGGGATGCAAGGCTGGTTCAATATACGCAAGTCAATAAATGTAATCCAGCATGTAAACAGAACCAATGACAAAAACCACATGATTATCTCAATAGATGCAGAGAAGACCTTTGACAAAATTCAACAACACTTTATGCTAAAAACTCTCAATAAATTAGGTATTGATGGTATGTATTTCAAAATAATAAGAGCTATCTATGACAAACCCACAGCCAATATCATACTGAATGGGCAAAAACTGGAAGCGTTCCCTTTGAAAACTGGCACAAGACAGGGATGCCCTCTCTCACCACTCCTATTCAACATAGTGTTGGAAGTTCTGGCCAGGGCAATTAGGCAGGGGAAGAAAATAAAGGGTATTCAATTAGGAAAAGAGGAAGTCAAATTGTCCCTGTTTGCAGACGACATGATTGTATATCTAGAAAACCCCACTGTCTCAGCCCAAAATCTCCTTAAGCTGATAAGCAACTTCAGCAAAGTCTCAGGATACAAAGTCAATGTACAAAAATCACAAGCATTCTTATACATCAACAACAGACAAACAGAGAGCCAAATCATGAGTGAACTCCCATTCACAATTGCTTCAAAGAGAATAAAATACCTAGGAATCCAATTTACAAGGGATGTGAAGGACCTCTTCAAGGAGAACTACAAACCACTGCTCAAGGAAATAAAAGAGGATACAAACAAATGGAAGAACATTCCGTGCTCATGGGTAGGAAGAATCAATATCGTGAAAATGGCCATACTGCCCAAGGTAATTTACAGATTCAATGCCATCCCCATCAAGCTACCAATGAATTTCTTCACAGAATTGGAAAAAACTACTTTAAAGTTCATATGGAACCAAAAAAGAGCCTGCATCACCAAGTCAATCCTAAGCCAAAAGAACAAAGCTGGAGGCATCACACTACCTGACTTCAAACTATACTACAAGGCTACAGTAACCAAAACAGCATGGTACTGGTACCAAAACAGAGATATAGATCAATGGAACAGAACAGAGCCCTCAGAAATAATGCCACATATCTACAACTATCTGATCTTTGACAAACCTGAGAAAAACAAGCAATGGGGAAAGGATTCCCTATTTAATAAATGGTGCTGGGAAAACTGGCTAGCCATATGCAGAAAGCTGAAACTGGATCCCTTCCTTACACCTTATACAAAAATCAATTCAAGATGGATTAAAGACTTAAACGTTAGACCTAAAACCATAAAAACCCTAGAAGAAAACCTAGGCATTACCATTCAGGACATAGGCATGGGCAAGGACTTCATGTCTAAAACACCAAAAGCAATGGCAACAAAAGCCAAAATTGGCAAATGGGATCTAATTAAACTAAAGAGCTTCTGCACAGCAAAAGAAACTACCATCAGAGTGAACAGGCAACCTACAAAATGGGAGAAACTTTTTGCAACATACTCATCTGACAAAGGGCTAATATCCAAAATCTACAATGAACTCCAACAAATTTACAAGAAAAAAACAAACAACCCCATCAAAAAGTGGGCAAAGGACATGAACAGACACTTCTCAAAAGAAGACATTTATGCAGCCAAAAGACACATGAAAAAATGCTCACCATCACTGGCCATCAGAGAAATGCAAATCAAAACCACTATGAGATACCATCTCACACCAGTTAGAATGGCAATCATTAAAAAGTCAGGAAACAACAGGTGCTGGAGAGGATGTGGAGAAATAGGAACACTTTTACACTGTTGGTGGGACTGTAAACTAGTTCAACCATTGTGGAAGTCAATGTGGCGATTCCTCAGGGATCTAGAACTAGAAACACCATTTGACCCGGCCATCCCATTACTGGGTACATACCCAAAAGACTATTAATCATGCTACTATAAAGACACATGCACATGTATGTTTATTGCGGCATTATTCACAATAGCAAAGACTTGGAATCAACCCAAATGTCCAACAATGATAGACTGGATTAAGAAAATGTGGCACATATACACCATGGAATACTATGCAGCCATTAAAAAATGATGAGTTCATGTCCTCTGTAGGGACATGGATGAAATTGGAAATCATCATTCTCAGTAAACTATCGCAAGAACAGAAAACCAAACACCGCATATTCTCACTCATAGATGGGAATTGAACAATGAGAACACACGGACACAGGAAGGGGAACATCACACTCTGGGGACTGTTGTGGGGTGGGGGGAGGGGGGAGGGATAGCATTGGGAGATATACCTAATGCTAGATGACGAGTTAGTGGGTGCAGCGCACCAGCATGGTACATGTATACATATGTAACTAACCTGCACATTGTGCACATGTACGCTAAAACTTAAAGTATAATAATAATAAATAAAAAAAGAACAATGAAAAAAAAATTCTGCCCTTCAAAAGATACTATTATGTGGTAATAAAAGAGAAGATGTATACTGAAAAAATAAAAAAAAGAAATTTATAAAAATAGACAATATTATTAAAATAACATCAAAAATATAAAATACTTAGGTATAAATCTAACAAAATATGACAAGTTTTACATGAGGAAAACTATTAAACTTTGCTAAAAGAAATCAAATGAGAGCTAAGTAAATAGAGAGATATTCTGTATTCATGGATTATGATGCCAATTCTTCCCAACCTGTTTTATAGATTCAGCACAATCCACTCAAAACCCCAGTAAGCTATTTGTAAATATTGGTAAACTGCACCCAAAAATTATATGGAAGGCAAAAGATTTATAAGAGCCAATACAATACTGAAGAATAACAACAAAGTTGGAGGATTCACTATAAAGCTACAATAATCAAGAACACTGGTGAAAGAATAGATACATAGATCAATCAAACACAACAGAGAGCCCAGAAATTGACCCAAACAAATATAGTTGACTGGTCTTTGAGAAAGGAGCAAAGGAAATTCAATAGAGAAAAGCTAGTGTATTCAACAAATGATGCTGGAACAATTTTTTAATTATTATTTTACTTTAAGTTCCAGGATACATGTGCAGAATGTGCAGGTTTGTTACATAGGTATACATGTGCCATGGTGGTTTGCTGCACCGATCAAACCATCATCTAGGTTTTAAGCCTCGCGTGCATTAGGTATTTGTCCTAATGCTCACCCTCCCCTTACCCCCTACCTCCTGACAGGCCCTGGCGTGTGTTGTTCCTCTCCTACTGTCCATGTGTTCTCATTGTTCAACTCCCACTTATGAGTGAGAACATGTGGTGTTTGGTTTTCTGTTCCTGTGTTAGTTTGCTGAGGATGATGTCTTCCAGCTTCATCCATGTCCCTGCAAAGGACATGAACTCATTCTTTTTTGTGGCTGCATAGTGTTCCATAGTATATATGTGCCACATTTTCTCTATCCACTCTATCATTGATGGGCATTGGAGTTGGTTCCACATCTTTGCTATTGTAAATAGTACTGCAATAAACATACGTGTGCATGTATATTTATAGAATAATTATTTATATTCCTTTGGGTATATACCCAGTAATGGGATTGCTGGGTCAAATGGTATTTCTGCTTCTGTGTCCTTGAGGAATCGCCACACTGTATTCTACAATGGTTGAACTAATTTGCATTCCCACCAACAGTGTAAAAGGGTTCCTGTTTCTCCACAGCTTCGCCATTCTAACTGGTGTGAAATGGTATCTCGTTGTGGTTTTGATTTGAATTTCTCTAATGATCAGTGATGATGAGCTTTTTTTCGTATGTTTGTTGGTTGCATAAATGTCTTCTTTTGAAAACTGTCTGTTCATATCCTTTGCCCATTTTTTGATGGGGGTTGTTTGTTTTTTTCATATAAAGGTGTTGAAGTTCCTTGTAGATTCTGGATATTAGATCTTTGTCAGATGGGCAGATTGCAAAAATTTTCTCCCATTCTCTAGGTTGCCTTTTCACTCTGATGATAGTTTCTTTTGCTGTGAAGAAGCTCCTTAGTTTAATTGGAAACCATTTGTCAATTTTGGCTTTTATTACAATTGCTTTTGGTCTTTTCATCATGAAAAGACTTTCATCCTTGCCCATGCCTATGACCTGAATGGTATTGCTTAGATTTTCTTTTAGAGTTTTTATGGTTTTGGGTTTTACATTTAAGTTTTAATCCATCTTGAGTTAATTTTTGTATAAAGTGTAAGGAAGGGATCCAGTTTCTGTTTTCTGCATATGGCTATCAAGTTTTCCCAGCACCATTTATTAAATAGGGAATCCTTTCCCCATTGCTTATTTTTGTCAGGTTTGTCAAAGATCAGATGGTTGTAGATGCATGGTGTTATTTCTGACACCTCTGTTCTGTTCCATTGGTCGATATATCTGTTTTGGTACCAGTAGCATGCTGTTTTGGTTACTGTAGCCTTGTAGTATAGTTTGAAGACAGACAGCATGATGCCTCCAGCTTTCTTCTTTTTGTTTAGGATTCTCTTGGCTATATGGGCTCTGTTTTGGTTTCACATGAAATTTAAAGTAGTTTTTTATAAATCTGTGAAAAATTTCAAGGATCGTTTGATGGGAATAGCATTGAATCTATAAATTACTTTGGGTAGTATGGCCATTTTCATGACATTGATTCTTCCTATCCATGAGCATGGAATGTTCTTCCATTTGTGTCCTCTCTTATTTCCTTGAGCAGTGGTTTGTAGTTCTCCTTGAAGAGGTCCTTCACATCCCTTGTAAGCTGTATTCCTAGGTATTTTATTCTCTTTGTAGCAATTGTGAATGGGAGTTCACTCATGATTTGGCTCTCGGCTTGTCTATTATTGGTGTATAGGAATGCCTGTGATTTTTGCTCATTGATTTTGTATCCTGAGACTTTGCTGAAGTTGCTCATTAGCTTAAGGACATTTTGGGCTTAGCCCAAATCATGTCATCTGCATGACATGTCATACAATCATGTCATCTGCAAACAAAGATAATTTGACTTCCTCTCTTCCTATTTGAATACTGTTTATTTCTTTCTCTTGCCTGATTGCCTTGGCCTGAACTTCCAATACTATGTTGAATAGGACGGGTGAGAGAGGGCATCCTTGTCTTGTGCTGGCTTTCAAAGGGAATGCTTCCAGCTTTTGCTCACTCAGTATGATATTGGCTATAGGTTTGTCATAAATGATGCTAGAATAATTACATGTTTATATGTGAAAAAAATGGAACAGGATATAGTTCTCACACCTTTCACAAAAATTAATTAAAATGGGTCATAGAACTAACTATGAAATTCAAAACTATAAAGCTTCTAGGAGAAAATATAAGTGAGTTTTAGTTTAGCAATGAGTTTTTATACAGACAATGTAAATAGAAAAGCATAAGACATGAAAGAGAAAATTTGGTAAACTGGACTTTATTAAAATTTAAGACTTCTCCTCTGTAAAAGACACCGTTAAGTGAATAAATGTGTGAGCCACAGACTGGGAGAAAATATTTGCAAAACATGTGTCTATAAGGGTCTTCTATCCAAAATGTACCACAACCCTTAAAACTTAAACAATAAGAAAACAAACAATCCAACTTAAAAAAGCACAAAAGATCTGAACACACACCTCATCAAAAAAGATATAACGATTGCAAATAAGCTTATGAAAATATAGTTAATGTCTTATACCATAAGGGAATTACATATTAAAACAACAATGAAATACCACTACCCTCCTATTAGAATGGAAAAAAAAACCTGACAACACCAATGCCAAAAATATAAAGTGACACGAACTCCCATTCATTGCTGATGGGAATGCAAAATGGTACAGCCTCTTTGGAAGACAGTTTTATAGTTTCCCACAAACCTAACCATAGTCGTAACATAACAGCAATCATGCTCCTAGATTGATTTTTCCAACTTATTGGAAAATTTAGGCCTACACCAAAACTTGCACCCAAAAGTGTATAGCAGCTTTATTTGAAAAATAGAAGCAACCAATATGTTCTTGATAGGTGAATGGATAAATTGTGGTACACTCATAAAATGGAATATTATTCATCAATAAAAAGAAATGAGCTATTGAGCCACAAAAAGACATGGATGAACCTTGGATGCATACCGCTAAGTGTAAGAAGCCATGCTAAAAAAGATACATACTGTATAATTCCAATTATATGATATTCTGGAAAAGGCAAATCCATAAGAACAGTAAAAAGATTACTGGTTGCCAGGGGTTCAGAAGGAAAGAAGGCTAAATAAGTGAAGCACAGGGAATCTTTTATGGCCATGAATCTTCACAATACATTCTGTATAATGCAGTAATGATGGATACATGACATTACACATTTGTCAAAATGTACAGAGTTTTACAGAACAAAGAGCAGAATGTAATGTATGTAATTTTTTTTTAAGTCATTTAGTAAATCGGGTGATCTCCTGATTGGTAAATTGGAATCCAGGAATCACTTGATCACCTGGATTCCTAAGTGGAATCAGGTGATCAGGTGATTCTTAAATGGAATAAAGTGATTAGGAATAAGGTGGTCTCCTAAATGGAATACAGACCATGACAAAAAATCTTACTGTATTGCAAATGCATAAAACATTATCATTGAAGGAAAGGGTAGTGACCCAAGTAACTTTAGAAATGAGTGGAGTTTTTAAGGCTGAAGGCAAAAAGAACTATATATAAGCACAGTATTCTTGTTGCTAAAGTTGTTTCCCACAGGGGTTCAACTTAACAATTCTTGCTACGCGTGATTGAACAATTAAGGATGGTGGATGGTGGGAGCTGGATTTCTCACTGTTGGAGTGGGAATGTACAGATAAGCCTAGAATGATCCAAGCAGTAATTGATTAGAGTTGAAATCATCAGTATGAATTCACGTTTAGTTTAATATAGATATAATTATATATAGAAATTGTTATAAATATGTGCACACATATGGATGAGTATACACACATACAGTTCTTTGCTCTGTCATCTGATAGAGGCTAGAATCAACAATATCACAGTTGCAATGAGCACACCTATGACTCAGATCTTGGTTTCCAATACCATTCTCCAATAAAAGGAAACAGAGCTCCTTGGAGAACAGCCTGAATCTAGAAATGGAGCAGGAAATACCCAAGATGATTCTGGAGCATCATGTACTAACAAAAAAGTAAGGAAATACTAAAAAAAAAAAAACAAAACTGGGCGTATGTCAGGGAAACACAGGAGCCAACTGAAAAAGCTCCTAATGGCCAAAGCTAGAACAATTTAAGCAGCAAAATAAATAAAATAAAATAAAATAGTATTGAATAACCCAAAGTGGAAAATAAATATTCATGAGTTCATATTGATATAAATAAATACATGAGATAATATACAATTCTCCCCTGTAGAAGGATTTTAAATTTTATATATACATATATATATATACTCCCTCCTCAATAGGTAGACCATAACTCCTCAGCCCTTCCATGTGGGCTTCACATAGTGACTTCCTTCTAAAGAGTAAAACATGAAAAGGGAAGGGAGAAGTAACTTCACAATGGACAAACTAGACAAACACTATTCCAACCAGGCAATCAAGTCAACATCAACAGCGATAAATCATTCTGACAGTGTGTACCCTTGATATGATGTGATGAAAATGGCAATTTGCCTCCATGGTGTTCTTTCAAGAAACCTGTAACTCCAGTCTAATTATTGTAACAATTGTACCATACTAATGTAAGGTGTTAGTAATAGTGGAAACGAGGTGGGAGATATATGGGAATCTCTCTGTACTATCCTCCCAATTTTTCTGTAAATCTAAAATTATTCTAAAAAATAAAAGCTGTTTTAATAATTAAGCTGTACACTTATGATTGTGCATTTTTCTATATATATGTAATTCTTCACTTTATTATGTTCTGAAAATCAAATAAATTATATGACTTGGTATAAGCTATAACTTTTGCCATAATAGACAAAGGGTTTTTTGTTTGTTTGTTTTTGTTGTTTTTTGTTGTTGTAGTTGTTATACTTTAAGTTCTGGGATATATGTGCAGAACGTGCAGGGGTTCTTTTTTTCTCTTTTTTTCATTTTTTTATTACACTTTAAGTTCTAGGGTATATGTGCACAACGTGCAGGTTTGTTACATATGTATACATGTGCCATGTTGGTGTGCTGCACCCATTAACTCATCATTTACATTAGGTATATCTCCTAATGCTGGAACCAACCCAAGTGTCCATCAATGACAGACTGGATTAAGAAAATGTGGCACATATACACCATGGAATACTATGCAGCCATAAAAAATGATGAGTTCATGTCCTTCGTAGGGACATGGATGAAGCTGGAAACCATGATTCTCAGCAAACTATCTCAAGGACAAAAAGTAGAACATGCAGGTTTGTTGGTGGTTTGCTGCACCTATCAACCCGTCATCCACATTAGGTATTTCTCCTAATGCTATCCCTTCCCTTACCCCCCACCCCCCAACAGGCCCCTATGTGTGATGCTCCCCTCCCTTTGCCCATATGTTCTCATTGTTCAACTCCCAGTTATGAGTGAGAACATGTGGTGTTTGGTTTTCTGTTCCTGTGTTAGTTTGCTGAGAATGATGGTTTCCAGCTTTATCCATGTCCCTGCAAAGGACATGAATTCATTCTTTTTTATGGGTGCATAGTATTCCATGGTGTGTATGTGCCACATTTTCTTTGTCCAGTCTATCATCGATGGGCATGTGGGTTGGTTCCAAGTCTTTGCTATTGTGAGCAGTGCTGCAATAAACATACGTGTGCATGTGTCTTTATAGTAGAATGATTTATAATCCTTTGGGTGTACACCCAGTAATGGGATTGTTGGGTCAAATTGTATTTCTAGTTCTAGATCTTTGAAGAATTACCACACTGTCTTCCACAATGGTAGTACTGATTTACACTCCTCTGATTTTTCCACATACTCTCCAGCATCTGTTGCTTCCTGACTTTTTAATAATCATCATTCTAACTGGCATGAGATGATATCTCATTGCGGTTTTGATTTGCATTGCTCTAATGAGCACTGATAATGACCTTTTTTTCATATGTTTATTGGCCACATAAACGTCTTCTTTTGAAAAGTGTCTGTTCATATCCTTCACCCACTTTTTGGTGGGGTTGTTTGGTTTTGTTCTCATAACTTTGTTTAAGTTCCTTGTAGATTCTGGATATTAGCCCTTTGTCAGATGAATAGATTGCAAAAATTTTCTCCCATTCTGTAGGTTGCCTCTTCACTCTGATGATAGCTTCTTTTGCTGTGCCAAAGCTCTTTAGTTTAATTAGATCCCATTTGTCAATTTTGGCTTCTGTCGAAATTGCTTTTAGTGTTTTAGTCATGAAGTCTTTGCCTATGCCTGTGTCCTGAATGGTATTGCCTAGGATATCTTCTAGGGTTTTTATGGTTTTAGGTATTACTTTTAAGTCTTCAATTCACCTTGAGTTAATTTTTGTATAAGATGTAAGAAAGGGATTCAGTTTCTGTTTTCTGCACATGGCTCAGTTTCTGTTTTCTGCATATGGCTAGCCAGTTTTCCCAGCACCATTTATTAAATAGGGAATTCTTTCCCCATTGCTTATTTTTGTCAGGTTTGTCAAAGATCAGATGGTTGTAGATGCATGGTGTTTTTTCTGATGCCTCTATTCTGTTCCATTGGTAGATATATCTGTTTTGGTACCAGTACCATGCTGTTTTGGTTACTGTAGCCTTGTAGCATAGTTTGAAGTCATGTAGCATGACGCCTCCAGCTTTGTTCTGTTTGCTTAGGATTGTTTTGACTATACAGGCACTTTTTGGTTCCATATGAAATTTAAAGTAGATTTTTCTAATTCTGTGAAGAATTTCAAGGGTATTTAATGGAAATAGGATTGAATCTATAAATTACTTTGGGTAGTATGGCCATTTTCACGATATTGATTCTTCCTATCCATGAGCATGGAATGTTTTTTCATTTGTTTGTGTCCTTTCTTATTTCCCTGAGCAGTGGTTTGTAGTTCTCCTTGAAGAGGTCCTTCACATCCCTTGTAAGCTGTATTCCTAGGTATTTTATTCTCGTTGTAGCAATTGTGAATGGGAGTTTACTCATAATTTGGCTCTCTGTTTGTCTATTATTGGTTTATAGGAATCCCTGTGATTCTTGCACATTGATTTTGTATCCTGAGACTTTGCTGACGTTACTTATTAGCTTAAGAAAATGTGGCACATATACACCATGGAATACTATGCAGCCATAAAAAATGATGAGTTCATGTCCTTTGTAGGGACATGGATGAAATTGGAAACCATCATTCTCAGTAAACTATCGCAAGAACGAAAAACCAAACACCGCATATTCTCACTCACAGGTGGGAATTGAACAATGAGATCGCATGGACACAGGAAGGGGAATATCACACTCTGGGGACTGTGGTGGGGAGGGGGGAGCGGGGAGGGATAGCATTGGGAGATATACCTAATGCTAGATGACGAGTTAGTGGGTGCAGCACACCAGCATGGCACATGTATACATATGTAACTAACCTGCACAATGTGCACATGTACCCTAAAACTTAAAGTATAATTAAAAAAAAAAAAAATTAAAAAAAAAAGGACATTTTGGGCTGAGCTGATGGGGTTTTCTAAATATACAATCATGTCATCTGCAAACAGAGATAATTTGACTTCCTCTCTTCCTATTTGAATACTCTTTATTTTCTTTCTCTTGCCTGATTGCCTTGGCCAGAACTTCCAGTACTACGTTGAATAGGACTGGTCAGAGAGAACATCCTTGTCTTGTGCTGTTTTTCAAAGGGAATGCTTCCAGCTTTTGCCCAGTCAGTATGATATTGGCTGTGGGTTTGTCATAACTAGCTTTTACTATTTTGAGATACATTCCATCAATACCTAGTTTATTGAGTGTTTTTAGCCTGAGGGGATGTTGAATTTTATTGAAGGCTTTTTCTGCCTCTATTGAGATAATCACGGGGTTTTTGTCATTGGTTCTGTTTATGTGATGGATTACATTTATTGATTTGCATATGTTGAACCAGCCTTGCATCCCAGGGATGAAGCTGACTTGATGATGGTGGATAAGCTTTTTAATATGCTGCTAAATTCAGTTTGCCAGTATTTTGTTGAGGATTTACGCATTGATGTTCATCATGGATATGGGCCTGAAATTTTCTTTTTTTGTTGTGTCTCTGCCAGGTTTTGGTATCAGGGTGATTCTGGCCTCATAAAATTAGTTATGGAGGATTCCCTCTTTTTCTATCATTTGAAATAGTTTCAGAAGGAATGGTACCAGCTCCTCTTTGTACCTCTAGTAGAATTCGGCTGTGAATTCGTCTGGTCCTGGGCTTTTTTTGGCTGGTAGGCTATTAATTACTGCCTCAATTTCAGAACTTGTTATTGGTCTATTCAGGGATTTGACTTCTTCCTGGATTAGCCTGGGTAGGGTGTATGTGTTCAGGAATTTATCCATTTCTTCTAGATTTTCTAGTTTATTTGTATAGATGTGTTTATAGTATTCTCTGATGGTAATTTGTATTTCTGTGGGATAAGTGGTGACATCCCCTTTATCATTTTTTATTGTGTCTATTTGATTCTTCCCTTTTTTCTTATTAGTCTGGCTAGTGGTCTATCTATTTTTTTAATCTTTTCATAAAACCACCTCCTGGATTCATTGATTTTTTGAAGGGTTTTTTGTGTCTCTCTCTCCTTGACTTCTGCTCTGATCTTAGTTATTTCTTGCCTTCTGCTAGCTTTTGAATGTGTTTGCTCTTGCATCTCTAGTTCTTTTAATTGTGATGTTAGCATGTCATTTTAGATCTTTCTCACTTTCTCATGTGGGCATTTAGTGCTATAAATTTCCCTCTAATCACTGCTTTAGCTGTGTCACAGAGATTCTGGTATGTTGTGTCTTTGTTCCCATTGGTTTCAAAGAACTTATTTATTTCTGCCTTAATTTCGTTATTTACCCAGTAGTCATTCAAGAGCAAGTTGTTCAGTTTCCATGTAGTTGTGTAGTTTTGAGTGAGTTTCTTAATCCTGAGTTCTAATTTGATTGCACTGTGATCTGAGAGACTGTTTGTTATTATTTCCATTCTTTTACACTTGCTAAGTAGTGTTTTACTTCCAATTATGTGGTTAATTTTAGAATAAGTGCTATGTGGTGCTGAGAAGAATGTATATTCTGTTGATTTGGGGTGGATAATTCTGTAGATGTCTATTAGATCCACTTGGTACAGAGCTGATTTCAAGTCCTGAATATCTTTGTTAATTTTCTGTCTCGTTGATCTGTCTAATATTGACAGTGGGGTGTTAAAATCTCCCACTATTATGGTGTGGAAGTCTAAGTCGCTTTGTAGGTCTCTAAGAACTTTCTTTATGAATCGGGTGCTCCTGTATTGGATGCACGTATATTTAGGATAGTTTGCTCTTCTTCTTGCATTGATCTCCTCACCATTATGTAATACCCTTCTTTGTCATTTTTGATCTTTGTTGGTTTAAAGTCTGTTTTATCAGATACTAGGATTGCAACCCCTGCTTTTTTTTGCTTTCCATTTGCTTGGTAAATATTTGTCCATCCCTTTATTTTGAGCCTATGTGTGTCTTTGCACATGAGATGGGTCTCCTGAATACAGCATGGTGATTGGTCTTGACTCTTTATCTAATTTGCCAGTCTGTGTCTTTTAATTGGGGCATTTAGCCCATTTACATTTAAGGTTAATATTGTTATGTGTGAATTTGATCCTGTCATTACGAGGCTAGCTGGTTATTTTACCCGTTAGTTGATGCAGTTTCTTCATAGTGTCAACAGTCTTTACATTTTGGTATGTTTTTGCAGTGGCTAGTACTGGTTTTGCTTTTCCATATTTAGTCCTTCCTTCAGGAGCCCTTGTAAGGCAGGCCTGGTGGTGACAAAATCCCTCAGCATTTGCTCATGGGTAAAGGATTTCATTTCTCCTTCATTTATGAAGCTTAGTTTGGCTGGATATGAAATTCTGGGTTGAAAATTCTTTTCCTTAAGAATGTTGAATATTGGCCCCCAATCTCTTCTGGCTTATAGGGTTTCTGCAGAGAGATCCACTGTTAGTCTGATGGGCTTTCCTTTGAAGGTAACCTGACCTTTCTCTCTGGCTGCCCTTAACATTTTTTCCTTCATTTCAACCTTGGTGAATCTGACAATTATGTGTTTTGGGGTTGCTCTTCTTGAGAAGTATCTTTGTATTTCTTGAGAAGTGGTGTTCTCTGTATTTCCTGAATTGGAATGTTGGCCTGTCTCACTGCATTGGGGAAGTTCTCCTGGATAATATCCTGAAGTGCATTTTCCAACTTGGTTCCATTCTCCCCATCACTTTCAGGTACACCAATCAAACGTAGGTTTGGTCTTTTCACATAGTCCCGTATTTCTTGGTGGCTTGTTTTTTTCCTTCTCATTCCTTTTTCTCTAATCTTGTCTTCATGCTTTATTTCATTAAGTTGATCTTCAATCTCTGATATCCTTTCTTCTGCTTGATCGATTCAGCTATCGATACTTGTGTATGCTTCACGAAGTTCTTGTGCTGTGTTTTTCAGCTCCGTCAGGTCATTTATGTTCTTCTTTAACCTGGTTATTCTAGTTAACACTTTCTGTAACCTTTTATCAAGGTTCTTAGCTTTTAGAACATGCTCCTTTAGCTCAGAGGAGTTTGTTATTTCCCACCTTCTGAAGCCTATTTCTGTCAATTCATCGAACTCATTCTCTGTCCAGTTTTGTTCCCTTGCTGGCAAGGAGTTGTGATCCTTTGGAGGAGAAGAGGCATTCGGGTTTTTGGAATTTTCAGCCTTTTTGTGCTGGTTTTTCCTCATCTTCGAGGATTTATCAATTTTAGTCTTTGATGCTGGTGACCTTCGAATGGGGTTTTTGCATGGGCATCCTTTTCGTTGATGTCGATGCTATTGCTTTCTGTTTGTTAGTATTCCTTCTAAAAGTCAGGACCTTCTTCTGCAGGTCTGCTGGAGTTTGCTGGAGGTCCACTCCAGACCCTCTTTGCCTGGGTATCACCAGCAGAGGCTGCAGAATGGCAAAGATTGCTGCCTGCTCCTTCCTCTGGAAGCTTCATCCCAGAGGGGCATCTGCAAGATACCAGCTGGAGCTGTCCTGTATGAGGTGTCTGTCTACCCCTGCTGAGTGGTGTCTCCCCATCAGGAGGCATGGGGATCAGGGACCCGCTTGAGGAGGCAGTCTGTCCCTTAGTATAGCTTGAGCACTGTGCTGGGAGATCTGCTGATCTCTTCAGAGCCAGCAGGCAGGAACGTTTAAGTCTGCTGAAGCTGCACCCACAGCTGCCCCTTCCCCCAGGTGCTCTGTCCCAGGAAGATGGGAGCTTTATCTATAAGCCCCTGACTGGGGCTGCCACCTTTCTTTCAGTGATGCCTTGCCTAAAAAGGAGGAATCTAGAGAGGCAGTCTGGCTACAGTGGCTTTGCTGAACTGCAGTGGATTCTGCACAGTTCAAACTTCCTGGCAGCTTTGTTTACACTGTAGAGGGAAAACCACCTAGTCAATCCTCAGTAATGGTGGACTCCCAAACCCCCAACAAGCTCGAGCATCCCAGGTTGACTTCAGGCTGCTGTGCTGGCAGCGAGAATTTCAAGCCAGTGAATCTTAGCTTTCTGGACTCCATGGGGTGGGATCCGCTAAGCAAGACCACTTGGCTCCCTGGCTTCAGTCCCCTTTCCAGGGGAGTGAATGGTTCTGTCTTGCTGGTGTTCCAGGTGCCACTGGGGTAAGAAAAAAACTCCTGCAGCTAACTCAGTGTCTGCCCAAACAGCCGCCCAGTTTTGTGCTTGAAACCCAGGCACCCAAGGGAATCTCCTGGTCTGCGGGTTGCAAAGACCATGGGAAAAGTGTAGTATCTGGGCTGGATAGCTCTGTTCCTCACAGCACAGTCCCTCACTGCTTCCCTTGGCTAGGGGATGGAGTTCCCCAACCCCTTGCACTTCCCGGGTGAGGCAACACCCCACCCTGCTTCTGCTCTCCCTCCATGGGCTGTACCTGCTGTCTAACCAGTCCCAGTGGGATGAACCAGGTACCTCAGTTGGAAATGCAGAAATCACCTGCCTTCTGCATTGATCTTGCTGGGAGCTGCAGACCAGAGCTACTCCTATTTGGCCATCTTGCCCGGGAATCCCCAGGTTTCATTTTTAAGCAGTTCAAAATTATTCTTATGTTTGCCTGTCTTGAAGGTGATAATTAAGATAACCCTTTTATTTACACATTTATTTATCTCATGTTACAGGTGAGGGCTCCTATAATTCATTAGTTCTAAAAAAAAAAGTTTATTCATTTTGGTAGTAATGGTTAGAGGGCAAAATGAAACATTGGACAAAATAAATATTAAGGCAATAGGCTGCCAGCAGTATCCTAAAATACCCAGGTACAATCAGTGACAATGGCTGCAAGCTTAGCTGGCCTTAGATGATCTTTCTTCTTTCTTTTTTTTTTTTTTTTTTTGGTTAAGTATTTTATGCCACATTTTCTCTCTTTGTTTTTCAGCATTTTCTCCAATATAGATCCATATTATTTTATGTCTTATAATTGCTTTTTTTTCCCCTGAGTTCTTCTCCCTTTTTCTCCAACCTACTGACTCCCAAGTGTGAGCTGCATACAACATAAGAATCTCATTTCCCTATATTGCTAAGACTGGGGTGCTCCGATGTCATTGCTTGCTTTTGATGTACAGGGCTGGTAGGCCCATGAAAAGGCCAACCTGCCTCTGTCTCCACTGCTCTTTCCCTCATGCCCACCAGTCAACCACTGCCCCATGGAAGCCAGCAGGAAGATCCTGTCTGGCTTCTGTTTCTCTGGAGAAATAGGAAGTGGGATGTCTGTGGCCTGAAGTAGGCTTGGCATGAAATCCTGAAATTACCCTGCCTCCTTCCTGTGACAGAATCTATCTTAGCCTGCAGGGTCCTGGGTTTTGATTGAGCTCCAAAAAGTGTAGAAGAAAAGTAGTACTGAGCGCAGCCGAGAAACCGTTATCACTTTGTTGAGGAGCTAAAATACTTCAAGGCCCATATTCAATAATTGTTGAATGGATAACCCTATGAATTTAGAAGGCATTGCTTAGGCATCATTGTAATGTTTCACTGATGTGTAATTTGTATAAATCCCTAGGATAATAGTATTTTCAAGCTACAGAAAGGCCTAGGAGAAAAATCTTCTCATCTAAGCCTTTTATTTTCTAAATGAAGAAACTAGCTCAAAGAGGTTACTTAACTTTCCTAAGGTCATACTACTACTGGTTGATCCTTCAACCAGAACCCCTTTTATTATTACCAGCTTTCTAACTAAATACATGATGTAGTGGTATAATAATATGTACTGAAGACAAATATGGTGCCCATTTGTTAGTATGAACCCTAGTTAATCCCTGGGTCCCATATCTCTCGAGGCATTGTTTATAACTAGACTCTCTCATGCTCTCATTGCCATTTCCTTTTTGCACATTGTATGAGTATATTTATGTTTGTGTGTCTTCCCTCTCCCTACCCATTTAGCCTCAATTAATGCAATGGCATTGCAGATTTAAAGACCCAATCTTGCTGACCACTACACTCTACCCCCAGAAACAGGGCATCTTAAACTACCCTATGGCTTAAGAAGAGCACTTCTTCCAAATGAAAACAGCAAACCTGTATTTGATCTTTCAAAATCAGACTTTTTTTTGGATCAGTGCTTAATTGGCAACATAATTAATTCAATTAACAATCAATTCAATTGATACAAAGAGAAACCCAACTTTGGCAGAAATCTGAGTTTCAGGCTTGGTGCTTTCCTATGTAAGTTCATTGCCATTGCCTCAAACATAAATTATATGGCTAGCTATTCCCAATGCAGTCGTCATCCAAGGATTTAATTTTTGATCATGTCTTAAGCTTTAGAATACATTTGTAAACTGCCCCTCTATGGAAAACAGATGCTTCATAAAAACAGCACTTACACTTTGGTATGTTCAGTGGAAGCAGGACAGGATATTCCACGAGTCCAATCAGACCATGGCATACAACTACATACTCAGACTAAGCTCTTAGTCCTAGTTCCCAAGAGTAGAAACAGTTTTAAGTGATTACAGAATTCTGCTATGATCAAAATTCTTTGTTCACTGGATTTGGCTAATAAAAAGTTCCTTGTTTTAGCCTTCAAAGGTTATTTTTAAAATGCAAGGCAACCTCTATCACTGTCAGCCAGGAATCCGTTAGCTGTAATTAGCTTATCAACACTGGGTCAGCTATGTTTTTATGGGAACAAAGATTTCATGGTCTGGAACAGAAAGCAATGGCAAAGTAGGTCCTGGAAAGCCAAGGGCCAGCAAAAGTGTACAAGAGAAACCCAATCAGCATTCTAAATAATCGATTTACAGGCCTTTTGATAAAACATGCAGTATGAAGATAGTTGATTGCTTTGTTAATAGTCTATGCTTAATTAATATTAGTTAGAGTGAGTTGAGAGATATTTTTCTTGGCTTCAAAGAGTTTCCCATTGCTGGAAGTATACATGCATAGGTTAGATGGTCACGTTGAGGGGGTCAGTAGTCTAGTGCAAGTAATGACACACTAGCAGCACATGAAATTAACATGGCATCATAGTATTACAGAATTGAATGGAATGGAAAATGTCACCATGTATTACATGCAGTAAGGATAAATATTCTTTTATGAAACTTTCGTTTCATTTGTCTCTGTGTACACATGTACCTAAGCATAACACGGCCATTGTGGCAAGAAAAGTAAATCACTGGTTTAGATGACTTCCAGAAACTATTCTATTTATTCATCTTGCCTCTCCATTATATTTTATCCATTGCGCCACTGGCCCCGAGCTCGTAAGCCTACTCTCCATTATATTTTACACCACCTCATTCATAGTAGGTGCTCAAGAACAATTATCCATAAAATCAAGTAGAAATAATAGAACCTTGGAGTCTCAACAACTCTGCAAGGTAGATATTCTGACCTTGGTTTTACAGAAGATTAGATTAAGTCACTTGCCTACATTAAATGACTTGTTCAAGGCCACCTAGCTGATAAGCTCCTGTGCCAATATTTGAATCTAGTCAGAACAGGGCTCTACAAGACGAGATATGAGTGATACTCCCTAATACTCTTCAGAAGCTAAATGATGAAATAGCAGAAATGAAAAGTAAAAATTTGCCAAAAATGTTTAGCCAATGGAAATTCAATTATTGTGACCACTTTAGAAATGGCAATGTTTTCAACTTGTGAATTCCTATTATTAAGATAAACAAAACTCTGAATCATATAATCTATAGTGACATTACCCAAATGTTAGTCCGTAGATTGTCTACATCATAATCACTGGAGGAGCTTTAAAAAATACATATTCCCAAGCTTCGCTCCTAGAGAATCTGAGTGAAAATGTACATTTAGAAAGCCTCCAGTGGTTATGCACAGACAGGTTTGAGAACCACTAGACCTAGTCACATTCCTAGGTTTAAGAACTTTTTAACTGAAGGAAATGTTGGAAGACATCTAGCCCCTTGGTGGCAATAGATTTCATCTTGAGGGCCAAAGGCAAACAATAAATAATGGCTGCTCAGAAAATCAGCACAGACAGATTCCAAAACAGCGCCTAGGCCCAAGAGTAACAGATGATGTCCGACATGGATAAGGAGGTAGAAAGAGTCTCACTATGGTCCAAGCCCTTTATTTTCCAGCCCTGTATGCCCAAAAACATATATTTCAGTGACATGGGAATAAAACCCAGGCTTCCTCACTCCTAGTTTGGTGCTTTATTTATAACAATTTCCATTATTCATAATAAGGCTTATCAGAAATGCTGGTTTCTAGAGTGCTTCTTGCTGGTATATGGCAGAAAAAGTCAACATTTACTTTATTTCAAAGATTAAGGCAAATCTGCCCTAATTGCTCCTACTCATCAATGCCTTGGCCACTTTAAAAGGCAAGTTGATTATTTTATTCCATTATTATCCATAAAATTTTAAAAACTGAGATCCCTTGAGAATTAAATATAGAAAAGTATGTGTTTTATTTTAAAAGTCCTACCACAGTTTCTGGCTTGAGTTTAAATTCATACTAAAGAATATATGACTGATATAAGATCTTTTCTTAAGAACAGCTTTGATGAAAGTGTATAGCATGAAGAAAGAATGACCGGTACCTGAGAAGAAGAGGAAACATCAGTGAGGGAAGGGAAAGGCACAAGAGAGGGTGCTTGCGGTATGAAGGGAACCTGTCCACTTCACAATTGTGCTAAAATATCTATGATATGGTGAAGAAAAGTCAGAGAATGTGTCCTCTTCCATCTGGAGCTTTAGGCACTTTGCTTCTTTAGCATCAACATCCTCATCAGTAAAACATGGGTAATAACTCTTACCCCTCAGGGTTGTTCTCAGAATTCATCAAGAAAAACCTTAAGCTGCAGAAAGAGCCCAGTGCAGCTCCTAGCATATACAATTCCCCAGTAAATGTTTATTTAATCGATATGCCAGGTATGGGCAGAAAACTTTGTATATACTGAAAAACCTCTCCATGAAAATTAGCATCAAGATCTGTTTAACCCAGGGCCCTATCTGAGATGAGACCCCTGAGTCACCCAAGACAACACCCAAAGGGAGCGAACACAGGAGGTAACATTGTGTTATAGGCCCCAGAAGACAGGGCTAATCAGAGTATAGTACCCAGAGATGGGAAGGGCCTGGGAGACCAGTTTTACAGACAAGGAAACTCTAAACCACCCATGATCAGGAAGCATGACCCCTTGCCTTGTCCCAGCTTCTGTAAGCAGTGTCTGGGTGGCACCTTGGGAAAACATGTATTTCTGGCCCTGGAAGCCTCCATTTGTGGATTAAACACAAGGTTTTATAGGGAACTAAACATTTTGACTTCATTCCTTCTCCAGCATGTCTGCCAAATATTTCCAATAGGTACTTTTGAACAACACCTATTCTGAGGTGATATGGGTAAATTGCAAAAACATTAATTTACTATTAACATAATTACAGGGTTTTTTCTCCTCTCTAGATTTTGTTTAGTGCTTGGGGCCAAATCCCTTTCACTCTCACAATACCTTCTTTGTTTTAAAAAGGAGATACTACAGTGTCTGGTTGGTGGGGGGAAAGTGCCCTTTGAAATTTCCTGTTATCACAGTCATAAGCTGTCTCTAATCAGAAGCAGCGCAATAAATAGACACAAGGCTCCCTTAAAATGCCTACAGTCTGCTAAGAATTAAATGTCTTCCTTTGCGTGTCTCCTCAAAATATATTTTTAAATAGTTGCTCAGTCCTAAGCTTTCCCTAATAAGGTTTCATTTAAATAAATTTGGAAATATTTTCCTTCTTCTAGAGAAAGCCACTCTATTTGGAAATGTCAGATAAAAATACATGTACGTTATAAGGCTATCACCTATTTTCAGCGATGTTTTTTCAAGCTCTCGCTTTTCCTTTCTTTCTTTCTTTTTCCTCCTTCTGTTTGCTGTTCCCAGTAGCTTCTGGGAGCTTCCTCACCCAAGAGGACCAGGCTCATCAGATCACAAACAATTGCATCTGTTTTCCTGGCTGTAGCCATTATATGAACAAAACTGGCCCCCATTGTCCCATATAGCCCTCCTGAGTCGCCCTAGCTCTCCAAACTCCAGCCAGGGCCATGTGACTATATTGAAACCAACTTGCCCTTAACTTTGGAAAATTAGCCACTCTCCTCCTTGCTGTGCCATGTCAAAATTGAAGAGTAAACAGAGGTCCCCCCAATCCCCCTGATTGCATTAATCATTCAAATGACGTATTAGCATTCTTCAGACTCTTCTGTTGTGCTTCTAAATTAACACCTCCAGGTTCAAGGGAATAGAAATTAACTGAATTATCTGGCAGCCCCAGATGTCCTAGCATGCTCTTCCTTCTTGCTGATTTAATATGCCTGAAGAACAGTTATGAGGCAGAAACACCGCTAATGGTCAAGAAATAATTTATGACATGTGTAACCAATAGCCTTAGCCCTCCTCCCACATTCCAAAGTTGTCCAGATTCCAGGTGAACCCTGGTTACCATGGGGACCCCATTGCCATTGGGCATGGCCACCTTACTAAAGCTAGGAGTCCAACTGCCCAGGACCAGCTGCATAGACCCCAGAAGCAGAGCTCCAGAGCTGGCCTGAGGGGTCTGTCCCAGAGAGCAAGAGAGGGTGTGAGAGGAGAGCCTGTGGGATCCAAAAAGGGGCCTCTCTGGTACTTCCCAGCTCTGGCCATGAGCAACCTTCTTGTCGAGGCATGAAAAGGATCAGCGATTGATTCCACAGAGCTGTGGAAGGGCTTTTTAGAACATTGATGTAATCCTTCACAACAGAAGCCAGTTTCCCTTGGGGGTTAATCCTGTCATTTGGGAGTGTCTCCAGGGCATTAAGCCATAATTGCTTGCGTAACTCCGAGAGGCAAACAGGAAGCTGGAGCACACATTCATTCAGAAGCTTCCTAGAGCAGGCAGGTCCCGTCCTTGGCATTGCAGCTCCTTCCAGACCAAAGCGCCATGGCCCATCCATTCTGAAGGGTGTCCCCCAAAAAGAAGGAAGCCTGAGAGCCCACAAAGGAATCTCACCCCTATCCTGGCTCCCAGCTGCCTGGCTGTCCCCAAGCTAGGAGTAGGGAGATGAGGATCAGGGGAGGGTCAACACGAGGCGTCACCTGCACCGAGGGGCCTCACAATAACAGGCAGAAATGCAAACGCTTTCGCCATGCCTTGGTGGGAACTGAAACATCAGATGTTTATTAAATGCCATAGCGGTGGCGACTACTTTGCACAGTGAGCCCAGAAGTGTATGCTGTCACTTTAAAAAAAATTGAGCCGATGCCAGGCTAGTCATGGTAATGCTCCCATGGCATGATTAGATTCATGCCCAGGGTTGTATTTGCATATGATATTCAGGGCATGATTTTTTTATTGTTCTTAATCAGAGCCGAATGTCAACAAAATAAATGAAGTTGCGAGTTGAAGTGAAATTTTTATCACATCAGGGATGTGCTTTTTCTCCCATTTATCACAGCCCATATTGAGAGAGTGAAATTTTTTGAAAATGTGGTAATCAATGGAAGAGCTCCATATGGCAGGGATCAAAGGTGTTACATAGTGTGTGGTTCTGCTTTATTGCCAGCCAGTACTGTTAATTGGACAACAAGATCAGAGGCAATATTAAAATCCAATTAAATTGATATGAACAGATTGCCAAGTGATGTACACTAATGTATAATTGAGTATCAAGCGAATGCAAGTCCCCGTCTTCTGCTTCTACCTCCTGAATAAATGATGGCGCCATAGAGGACAGAAACAAGTTTGCACATTAGCTGCACAGCTCTGGGCTCTCATTTGTTACTTTCAGAGTTGATGACTTTTGGTTTTCCTCCTAGTCTGTCTTAAAGAGACAGGCCCATTCCCTGTCCCCCAAGCCCCCACCCTTTACCCCCCACCTGGGGTGGGTTTTCTTCCCCGAAATCATTTTCCCCTTTCGGGGCCTGGAAATGAAACCCATGTTTCATATGCTTCATTACATGTCTATTATATAGCAGGTCTTAAAGAGCAGTGCATTGATAATATATTGTGCTAGTTGTAAATGATCTGTCCATCTGGAGCGGCACGCTAACACATTTCTAATGCCGTTTCCCAGATATAAATTATAGCAGAATGTTTCTCAAGCTGAAAGGAAAGAGAAAGCAAGCAAGCAAAGCCCTGAATGAACACTGTCAGAATACCTCGGCACACAAAGGAGGGCCGGAGCCGCAGGTGAAAGAGTTGTCTGGGATGTGGATCCCCGGAGTGGATCCTGTGGCCCAAGCTCCTGACTGGTTACCAGCAGGAGCTGAAGTGGGCCTCCATTCATTCGTCTCCAAACAAGGCCGGGAAGGGACAGATCGAGAGGAAAGCAGGCCCTCCCACTCAATTAGAGCAATTAGCTCACAGGCCGTACAGGGGCCAGGCCTGGCTGAATGGGATCCCCCAGCCCCACCGTTTGTTATCCGAGCTGAGCTCACACAAATTAATGAGGAGAGGGAATGAGGAAAGCCAAGGGCTGTTGCTGGCAAACACTCTGGGGGCCTCGTCCCTTCCTCCTGCAAGAACAGCCCCAGATTACCCCCAACAATAAAACCTGTTAACTTATACAACTTTGCTTAAGAAACAAGCCTGATGGGACGTTGGCAGACTTCCCTGCTGCCAACCGAGAACTATTGCGGGCAGCCGCGGGCTTCTCAGGACTTAAGCGCATGATGGAATGGTAAACGAGGGAGCAGACTGTTTATTCCAGCAGCCAGATTGTTTCTGGCCATAAAGTTCTGTGTTTGGAAAGTTGTTTTTTTTTTTCTCCCCGGTATATTACCAAAAAAAAAAAGGGGGGGAGAAGAGGGTGGAGAAAGAGGTACTGAGCAAAGATTATGTTTTATTTTTTATTCAAGCTGTTCCAAAAAAAGCATCGACCTTCCTGGGTTTAAATGGACTCTGCTAATAAATACATAAGCCCATTTCAGTATTGCAGAAAAGGGAAAGGAAGAAGGAAGCGAGTCCAAGCTGGAGCAAGGAGGAGCGGTGTTATTAAAACAAATTCTAAGGAATGAGGTTTCAACTAGTTTGGAATTTGAGTTGCAAAATTAGGCACATTTCAAGTTTTGATCAAATATTTATGTTTCTTTACAAATAGGTACACACTTTAAGAGATTAGATTTTATTCGTGGGCCTTAAAAAAACTGAGATGATATCTACACTCATAAACCAGTTTCAATTGTATTTTTTGGCTTATATTAGTCAAAACAAGTGGCAGATTCCTGGTCAGTAGCTACTTACTAAGCAACTGATAAATCAAAATGATGTTTTGCTTTCTTTTCCCCAAACCCTCCTGACTTAGGTCCAAACAGCCTCATATTTGCAGTTCACCTTGAAAGTGGAGCAAAGAGAAACTCCAAGTGGAGGCAGACCTACCACACACCTAGCAACACCGTTGAAACCTGGGATTCTGCCCCCACAAACCACAACAGATAAAGCCGGTGAAGGCTGGCGTCCTATTAAGTGAGGAAAGCAAGACCAGACTGTCTTTTGCCTAGAGCAGAAGTGTGCTTTTTAATAAGGCAGGCAGCTCAGGGCTGTAACTCCTCTCTGTAGCAAGAGTTTCCCCACAGGTAACAGAAGGATGGGCTCTCTAGCATGGTACTCAAGGTCTCTTGGAATTAGGGTGGAGCAGTTTCTAGAAGCTGCTGTTTTACCTGAATTTCATGGTGCCTACTTGCGCATACTGTGAGCACTGGGTTGCCAAAAGCAGCTCTAAGATGGGAGGAAGCAAGGAAAGACCCTGAAATATCTTTTTTTTTTTTTTTCACATTATGGATGGATGTGTAGCATGAGAATAAAGTCACAGATGTTTGGGGTAGTTTGTTACTTCAGCATAACCTAATCCCCCGACAGATACAATGAACTTAATATTTTAGCAAAATAAATTGAGTAGTCTGCAACAAACAAAAAGTACGTTGTTTATCTTGAAACAACGTCAGCCTCACTTGGTAACAGTGCCCCAATATTTCTGGACCTGTTCTGGTGCTCAAAATGTGGAAAATCAAAACATCTGAAGAACTGGGTGATACTGATCAGAACAGCTCCTACAGTAGAACTGCTCTTGGTGCCCATCACTGTGCAGTGCATTTCAGAACCTTTCTTCTTTCACTCATCACAACCTGCAAAGTAAGAGACATTATGCTCGTATTTTCAGAGGAAGCAACTGAATCTCAGAGACGTTAAGTAACTTTCCAGAAGTCACACAGGGAACGAGACAAAACTGAAATTTAAATACAGACCTACCTAAATTTAATCTATATTTTTTTCTTACTTTTGTCCTACACAATCCAGCCTCCCACAGTTGCTTCATAGAAAAGATCAGTCATTCCAAAGTCTATTTAAACTATAAACTTGAACCCATCACCACATGGAGACCTGGATTCAAGATGCTTAAAGAAATGACAGTTATTCCTGAAAAGACCAAGGAGAGTCTCATAGGTGGTTCTGAAGGCAATGCATTAGGAATCTGGGGCCCTGGGTGTCAGGATTTTTGCTAACACATATTATGGCTGTGAGTAAGTCACTTCCACTCTATGTTCTACTTCCTCTAGAAACAGTGGCACCAGCAACCTACCTGTTCTCTTAAATGCAGATTTGTTTTAAACACTGAAATCACTTTAAATTCTTCAGGGAAGAAAACAATCTAACCAAATCACCATTATTATCATATATCTATGTTGTAATGATCAGGACCATTCTCATTCATTCTGATTTTCTTCCTTCCAGGAAACATGAAAGGATTTGAAATTAAGTGTGGCCATGTATTTTTGGACAACACAGAAAGTGGTTAAGTGTCTCTCCCGATAGAACTTTTTTTTTTTTTTTTTTTTTTTGAGATGGAGTTTCGCTCTTATTGCCCAGGCTGGAGTGCAGTGGTGTGATCTCTGCTCACCACAACCTCCGCCTCCCAGGTTCAAGTGATTCTCCTGCCTCAGCCTCCCAAGCAGGCATGTGCCACTACGCCTGGCTAATTTTGTATTTTTAGTAGAGACAGGATTTCTCCATGTTGGTCAGGCTGGTCTCGAACTCCCAACCTCAGGTGTTCTGCCTGCCTTGGCCTGCCAAAGTGCTGGGATTACAGGTGTGAGCCACAGTGCCCAGCCCTGATAGGAGATTTAAGAGCCAGCATGCTTCATTACACACTTTCCCCTTATGGCAATGATATGGGAGAACATATTGAAATTGAGCCTCCATCAGCTTAAATCCTTGTGTGACTATAATGAGCAGGGCCTCTCTGCGACCCATGATGGATATATAACATGACAGTAAAGTCAGAGATGTTCAGGGTACTTTGTTACTGCAGCATAACTTAGTCCCCCTGACAGATACAAATCCCACAGAGAGTATCAACAGGAGAAAGCAGGCTAGAAAGTAAAGGCATTGAATGAAGAAAATCCAGTCTTTTAAGAAATATTTATTAAGCACCTATTTTTATCACTGGGTGTGCTAGTGTGCTAGAGATACAGTATTCTTCCTAAATTGGGAAATCCAAAAGAGCATTCTGTATAGAAAAATACATGCATATGTATGTATTATTATAGATATGTTTATTACGTATTATGTGATTTGAAATTGGAAAAGTATTTGCCTTCGACAGATATTTTTATTATCAAAATCTATTTGTAGTCTACAGAAAAAAAAAAAAATTCCCCCCAAAAGCATCCACAAATCTACCTCTCAAGTGAATCTGCTTAGTTGGTTCCTTCTCTTTGATTCTCTGTGGTTATTCATTTGTAGATGTATGGCTAACTACACCTAAAAGAGAGAAGACTGTAACCTAGGTGTATTAAAACATTGCAGGCTGGTGAGCATTTCTATAAACTTCTTCTAAAGGCTAATATTAAAGATCAAGATTATAAAAGAAATAGATTACTCCTCCCCATGGGGATCCCATCTTTATTACCACTTAGGGCCAAATAAATAAATAAGTAAACTTGAGGTTTCCCCCATTTAATAGAGTTTACATAAAGTTCAGTTTTGTTTGGGAGAAAAACAATTGTCCATTGTAATGAGTTCATGCTACGTGTGGCTTGGTTCTCCTTTCCATCTCTTATGGGCTTCCCTTCCCTGTGCCAGTGAGGTTTTCACATTGGTAAGCAGTGGCTGGCATTCCATCATAAATAACCTAACAGCATGCAGTGTAAAACCTTAGAAAAAGCTTTTTTAGGAAACTTGGCAAGAAAAATGTTATGTGAGAAAATGTCAAATACCATAGTCCCATGGCGATTTTTTCAATTCTTTTCCATTTTTATAATTGTTTATGAAATTGAAGTTTTCCATAATTAAGCTTTTCCATACATTAAATAGAAATTCATTTTTGTAAATATAAATATATATATATACACACACACACAGGCACATACACATATGTATGTTTGTGTATATATATACATTTAAAAGGCAAGTTGAAGAGTATGTGCTGTTGAAGAGTACGTGCTCAGGACCAAGAAAAACACCGCGGAGTGGTCAGAAGCAGCACGATGTTGGGAAAAGCCCCAGCTCAGCTACTCTCAATCTCTGTCCTTACGGCAAATCCCTTCACCTCTCTGGGCTTCTGCCATCTCACTTACAAAACAAGGAGATCTTGCCAGATGCTTTCAAATGCCCCTTCTTGCTCGTCCATCCATGGATCCATTCCTAATGCTGCTTCCAGTTTGTAAATGTTATTGGGTAAATTGAAAGTCTGTGTGGCTAGGATTCCAACTGGGTAGAAATATGTCAGCCAACAGCAAAAAGGGAAAACTCAAACATGAAGAAGTTATGATATCAGAATGGTGAAATGGCGGAAGATGTTTCTGTTTTCCCAAACTTGCTCAGTGTTATTGCTATATTACTTTTTACAATTTTATAAATCAATAAACATTAAATAAAGAGAACAGTCTGTGTAGAGGGCAGTATTAATAATTACTCTCAAAGAATGTCAACACATGAACACAAACCCTTCCTTATCTTTATAGGCACACAATATATTTACTATACACCAAATCAATATGATTATCAGCTCTAATTTTCAATAGCAAAATTTTCTTAAGCAACACAATTTATTTGCCTACAGATGTCAGGTAAATTCATTTGGCAAGCACTTTTGTTATTCAATTGTCTGCTTTGGCATCATGGGCACTATAATAAATTTCTAATGTCATCCCACCTCACCCTGGCCACCCATGCACATGTGCTTATAGACATGACAAAGTTGGCATTCTCAGGTTAATACTTATACCAAAGGTCATAAAAATCATGTTAAGCAGAAGTGCCCAGGGAATTTGGGTCTCTCTCTATTACCTTATTCTCTCTAGATTTTTGACAACATAATATGATTACATAATAAGTCAGGGCAGGAAGTAAAGGAGACACCATTCCAGAAACCCAGGTGAAGCCCCCATGGAGCCACCTGAGTTGCATATCCAACCTGTGTGTAAAGTCAGGGAGGAAAACACTGTTGAGCCCCGAAAATTCCCACTCACTTCCCCGCTCCACTCCCACCCAACCAAAAGCAGTTTCTTCCATGGGAGAAATTATGCAACTGAGAAAATGATATGTTCTCCATAGCATTACACACTGATGTTAACAAATGAATTATTTTAACCAACAAAAAACTTGGTGGTCCACAGAATCGCTTCCTCCTCAGTGCATTCTTACTTTCTCAAAATGACACCAAGTAGTGTCTTTTTGACCCTGGCTATAAGAAGTCAAGATTTCAAACCATCTTTCCTTCAGAATATTTGAAGTTTTCACGTGACTTCTACATCCCACAAACCAGCTCACCAGAAATGCAGGCTCAGTCAGTGGCTCTAAAACCTTACCTGAAGGATCTCAAGTCTGGTTGCTGCCAATACTTCCCTGAGGTTCAAGAAGAAAGAAAATGCAACTGACACACCCCCACCACCTCCAAAGTGAGACTTCGGCATTGATAGGTATCCTCCTACCTCAACAAAATAAAACTGCACAGAGCAGAAAGCCAACTGGAAGCCTTGGCAACAACCGAAAGAGTGAGACAACCACTCTACAGAATTTTCCTCCTCACAAGCTTCACTCATTCTCTTTTTGAAGGCGGTTCCTGTTTTCTCCTCCAGCTGGTAATCCAGCTTTTGCAATAGACAAACAAACATTATTTGTAAATCTCTTGTCTTGTCACATTTTAGAAAATCCTTAGTCCATCTAAGATTGGGAGATCCTTAAACTAGGCAGGGAACTGTGAAGGGAGGCAATAACTGGAACAAAAAGTGCCTGAGAATCACTGAGGCCATGTGCTACATTGCCCAAGTACCTCATAGAAATTACTTACCTTGACTCTGAAGCCAAGGTATTGGGTTCTAATCTCAGCTCTGCCGCTTATCAGCTTGTAATCTTGAGCAATTTATTTCCTAACTCTATGTCTGTTTTTTTCACTCGTGTAATGGAGATAATAATAGTGCCTTTTCCATTGGATCCCTGTGAAGATTAAAGGAATACTTATAATAGTAGCAGAACATGGTAACTATTACATATTAACTATTATTGTTGCCAGTTAGCCATTGTATGTCTTTGGATAAGCAATCACTGCACCTCCTTGAGTCTCCATGTACCAAATGAAATTAATAATATCCTTATCCATCCAACTTACCTCACAGGGTTATTGAAAAGATCAAATAACCTAATTGAGGTGAAAAGTTCTTTAGGATGGAAAAACACTTCACAGTAATATCTGTAATATATTGCTTTTTAATATAATAATATTATACCTCAGCTGATTAAAACAAAGTTCTTCATTTTGAAGGAATTAAAAGAGAAAAAGAATAATCCTGGATTGGCCAGAAACTCCATCATGGGCTAAGGTGAGGGGACGACTTTCAAGAGAACATACCAGCCTTGATTTTACTTCCAGTAATACATCTTACCCCCGGTCTATGGAATGAATTGGGGGAATATGATTAATCCGCATCACTATGGCTCTATGGCAAGTCACTTGTGTTTGTTCTGAGTGGCAAGACAATATAGTTTCTGGTCAATTCTGTCTTACTACAAGAGTCCTCTAAAATCAGAAATGTTTTGGGCACTGCTAGTAATTTCTAGGCCATGCAATTTCTGACCCCAATAACTGTCACAGGGGATTGGCAGATGCTGCTGTTAGAACTGCCCAGTCCCAATAGCTAGCCAGGCCAGATGATTATTTGGAGTTCAGGCCTCACAGGCAAGCCACCAGCTCTCCCTGAATATTGGTTGGACTGAACTTTTGGATTAAACGACCAGTTGTGCCAATGCCAGGTGAACATGGTTGGAAGCAATGAGATGCCAAATGAATCAACTCCATGGGCACTCCTAGTCAACAGCTGAATGCATCGTCCATGTTTTTATTCTGTCGACCCGATGCCTTGCTAACACACACCCTTGACCATATAACTGTGTGTCTTCTTCTTACCACCCTCTCCATTTCTTCCTCCCTAAAGTGCTATGTCTTGGGCTATCAGTCTCATTTCCACTCTTCTGAACCCACTTCCATTTCCACACTGTCCATGTGGTTCTCAATAATTGGAGTTACTCCTCCTCCTAAAAAATTCATATTTCTCTCTCTCTAATTCACCGTGCATAGAAAGACAACTTTACTATTACATATTTATGAAAATAATAATAATAAAAACTGACATTTATTGAGTTTAATCTCAGCTGGGCATTGGTCTCAGTACTTTACATAAATTATCTCACATAATCCCAGAAGAAGTCTATGATGTGAGTACTATTATTTTTCTTTTTTATGGATGTATAGACTAAGGCATATAGATGTGCTGAAGGCCATACAACATGCATGTGGGACATCCAGATACTGGTAGAACCAGGATATGAGCACAGGAAGCCTGATTCACAGAGCTGCAGATTTTTAGTGAAGTGCAATAAACTCCAATATACTCACATGGGACATGTGCCTTCACAACCCAAAGTAATTTCAAGTCACACTGGATTCCCTAGGGATGGTAACTCAGGTAGATTTGCCTTATATCCCTTTGAGGAATACAAGAAAGGATTACTTCAAGGCTCTTTGAGCTCTACAACACGGACTCTTGGTTTGACCCCAAAATTCTAATTTTCACCCATGTAACTATGTGTAACTATATGAATATTCTTCCTTGCTGTGTACAAACTTCCGGAAACACAATTACACCTTCCAAATGGATGTCATATCTTTGCCCCATCAAAATGTTATGGTCAAGAACTTCTTGTGCCTGCCCCTGGGGGCCCGGTGGTGAAGACAGCACTCATAGACTCTGCCCAGATGGAGATTACTACAATTTAGTAGAGAAGACAGCCATCAAATGAATGATTGTAAATAATTAAGAGAACAATGTGAAGAAAGCAAAGTGCCCTAAAGAAAAGACAGGATGCTTTTGAGAAAATGGAGGGAGAGGTAGCTAATTTCCTTTAAACCCATGGCATCCTTCTTGGAATTTGAACTGAATGCTTTCAAAATTGCCCCAAATCCTGAAATCACTTAATAAATATTTCTGAATTAATATCCTAGACAAAGGAAATGAGGTAATACTTGCAAACCAGAGGAACGCGTGGCAGTTTCTTTATACTCCCAATGCTGGGAAAAAGTTGAAATGAGCTCAAACAGAGAACGACAAGAAATGCAGGGCACATTTTGCTGTGGTTACAGCCCTTCTCACTAGCTGGATTGTTTTGGGCCTCATTTTCATGAGGCTTAATACAATCAGGAAGAGCTTAGACACCCAGCCAGTATAAATACCCCACCGGAGTCTGATCAAGGAGAGAACCAAAACCTAACCAGCCTGGGCTCTCTTGTGGTGCCCAGACACACATGTGGGCAGATCCCCCAGCCAATAACTCTGGCCCCCTCTGGGGGCTCCCCACCCTCACCAATCAACACATTCTTAAAGTACCCTCAGGCTGCTGACGCTCATAATCAGACCTGGGTTGGATTGCAAACATCTCTATAGTGCCAGTGCTGGCTAATGTGATTAGGCACAGAGCATTAGCCAAATAAAAGGGATGGGGAATAAGGAGCCAGAAAGACAAGGAGATGGAGAGAAGGAAAGGAAACTGTGTGCACAAGGTGGGAAGAAATGGGGAAAGGCCTTGTGTCACCCCCAAAGAGAGGACACTAAAAGTCAAGGGAACCCTCAAATCAAAACAGTTTATTGCTGAGTCAAACAGCTGGCCAGCAATCAACAAATATTGAGCTCCTACTGTGTTCATGTTCCCTTACCATTAGCCAGCTCACAGCCCACCAGAAGGCACACTCAAAAAAAATGCCATAAAGACCGATGCTTAAAGCATCCACCAAGATGATACACACTTTCATAACAGAGTTTTTGAAGGAGAGAATAAATGAATGGATACAAATAAACAAGTACCCTACTATAGGGTTAATTCCATGTGTCAACTTGGCTAGGTTATGGTGCCCAATTGTTTTATCAAACGCTAGTCTAAATGGTGCTGTGAAGGTATTTTTTAGATAAAATTAATGTTTAAACTAGTAGACCGAATAAAGCAGATTACCTTCTATTATATGGGTGTGCCCCATCCAATCAGTTGAAGATCTTACGAGCACAAACTGAAGTCTCCTGAAGAAGGAGGAATTCTGCATCAAGACTGCAAAATTGCAATCCTACCTGAGTTTCTAGATTGCTGGTCAGCTCTGCAAATTTTGGACTCACAACTGCAATATAATTCTCCCCTGGGTCTCCAGGCTGCTGCTCTGCCCTACAAATTCTGGACTGACTAGCCCCTATGATTGTGTGCACCTCAAAATATCTATGTATCAGCTGAAATAAAGGTTATATATATATGAAAAAAAAAAAAAAATATATATATATATATATATATCCCTGGGTTCTCCTGCAGGGTTAGGAGAGCCCTACAGGGGCTCTAAACCTTTATTAAAAAAAAAAGGATTTATATATATATATATTAGATTTTGTGTGGGTGTGTCTGTGTGTGTGTATCCTATTGGTTCTATGTTTCTAGAGAAACCTGTCTAATACACCCATTAAATAAGCCCATTGATTGTAAGGCAGGCCCAAATTCCAGGAATGTTAAAATGTGAAAAACTTGTGCTTCTTAGAATTCAGGAGATAAGGTCACTGTAATTAGTATAATAACTTCCAGTGTACTGAGGATTGCCAAGGAAGACAGAGGATGCTATGGGAATTAGTGCAGAAATACCTGCATGAACCTGGCAGGGTCAGAGCGCTGGGTAAGCAGAAACGAGAACTATTAGAAAGCATCACCAGCCAGAAGACAAAATGGGCTCAAGTGGCAGAAAAGAAAGGAGGTATTCTGGTAAAGAACAAGGAACCTGCATGTGCTGTCCACAGACACTCCCACCACTCAAAGCCATGACCGACTTGCACTGTCCTGAAGGCCAGCCTCCTGCATGTGGCCCACCAGCCTCTTCTCCAGGCCCTGGAAGAGCAGAGCATCTCACCAGTGGGTGAAGGTCTCCAGCTTTTGCATCTGAGACAGAAAGCTGTGAGCCCGCATTCCACTTGCACAATGCCAAAAGGGTTAATTCCCAACATCCCCCTTTCTCCCCCACCCTGTAAGTAGTGGCAATCTTTTCTAATCATTTCCATTTCTATTCCTCTTTAATTCTCCCACTCCCCTCTTTGTTTTCATGACCTGTGGGAACCTGAACTGCAGCTGGAGGTAGAGACTGCCTTTATACTTAAAGCAGATATTTAAGCAATTATCCTGTCACTGGGCCTTGCCTTGCCTCCTGCATATGGGTCGCTCCCAAGCAAGGCATTTGGTTTCTCCTTTGTTCCCGGTGCACAGAGTAAAATTGTTCCAGAAAGCCCTTGCCCTTGAGCAATGGGGCCGGGAAGATGGGGGTGAACTCTGCTGGGATCCTGGATGTCAGAAAGGAGGCAGGCAATGGTGACTTGGGCCACTTTCGGCCTCTTTGGCTCTGTCTACCCCATGCTGCACAGGCTATCTCCCTCCAGCAGCAAAGAGTCTGTGAGACACTCATGGCTGCTCCTCACCACAGAAGCTCAGGTGGTAGGAAGGCCAGGCCTGTGATGTAGAAAGTTCTGCCTGCTGCCCTATGGCTGCAGGTGCATGCATGCTCTCCTCTAGGGCTCTCCTAACCCTGCAGGAGGACCCAGGGATCAGGCACCCCAAGGAGAAGCAAGGATAGCCCCATCAGCTTTGCTGTGACCTGAATGTGTCACCTCCAAGACGGTGATCTCGCAGAACCACTGGTATTGGTTTCCTGTGATCGTTGCAACAAATGACCACAAACTGGATGGCTCAAAATAAGAGAAAATGTATTCTTTTACATTTTTGGAAGCCAGAAGCCCCAAACCAATAAAACAGGGATGAAATCAAGGTGTCAGCAGGGCCACACTCCCTTAGGAGGCTCTAGGAGGGAATCTCTTCTTTGCTTCTTACAGCCTTTGGTGGCTGCCAGCGTTCCTCAGCTTGCAGTGGCATCATTCCAATCTCTGCCTCCTTTGTCACATTGTCTTTTCCTCTGCATGCATCAAATCTCTCTCTGCTTCTGTCTGATACGGACACTTGTGATTGCATTTAGCACCCATCTGGATAATCCAGGGTAATCTCCTCATCTCAAAATCCTTAATATAATCCCATCTATAAAGACTGCCATGTGAGGTAACATTCATAGGTTCCAGGGATTGGGACTTGATGTTATAGTCTCACCAATGCACCACAATGTAGCAGTCTCTTGTGAGGTATCACCCAGAGTCCTTTGTCTCGTGACCAGGAGAATTAAGGAGTGTGGACACAAAGGGTGGGGTAAGAGTGAAAGTTTAATAGACAAAAGAAGAAAGCTCTCTGCTGTGGAGAGGGTCCCTGGAAGAGGGTTGCTGTTTTTACAGTTGGATGCAAAGGCTTTTATAGGAAATCAATGAGGGTTGGGCATCTCATTTGAATAAGATGCAAATTTCTGGTCGCTCCACCCTGTCCTCTTAATGTGCATGCGGCTCTTAGCTTGAGTTATTCCATATTGCTTTGTTCCCCTTACTGCACATGTGTCAGAGGAGGGAATTTTCCATTGTGGGCAAGCCCCCCTGTTCAAGTTCCCTTATCTGTGCCTGTAGGCTGTTCTTTTGTTTGAAAAGATTCAACTGAAGACCCATGCTAACTGCAGACCCACACTAACTGCCGGCCTGAGTTTTTTCCTTTCTCCTCTCTCACTATCCCTCCCTACAGCAATCTTATGCCTACTTCTCTCAGAGTAAGAGATGGGACCAATAGATAAGGTGTGATGGACCTCTCTCCTATCCTACATTCCTAGGTGTTGAGGGGAAACCAGGGTCTTACCAGATGAGCAAGGACCAGCTCCTTCACAGTCACGGAGGTCAAAGAAAGAGAGTGGAGTGGTTGGGCTTTAGTGTCCCATTGTCAAAAACACTGGGTAGAATTAGGTAATGAAAAGATGTCTGGGCTCAATCTTATACAAAATTATTTACTAACCATGTGGCTTCCAACAAGTTAACCTAATGTCTCTAAGCTTTGGTTCCCAAACATATAAAACGGGCACATCCATAAGGAGTCATTAGGACTTATTTCGTATTAACCATGTGCTGGATATCATGGTGAGCACTTTCCAAATATTTTCTAATCCTCACAGAGGTTTATAAATTAAGGATTATTATCTTCATTTTACAGATGAGTAAATGAAGATTCAGAGAAATTACATAATATGCCCTGGGGTCACACACCTTAAAGTCACTCACAGAGACTTACTTTGTAGCCAGGCCTGTCTGACTCCAAATCATAAGACAATTAGCCCAGAGAGAACTTAGCCTCGATCCCCATTAGAATCACCTGGGGAGCTTAACATATGTAGCTGTGCAGGGCCATCCTGACCAGTTGAATCAGGATCTCTGGGGATGAGGCCTGGGCATTTGTTAAAAGCCTCCCAGGTGACCAATGTGCAGTCAAAGCTGAGAACCTGTCAGATACATGAGCCCCTCCCCCTCCTCACGCTGAGTGAGGGCCGTGGTCCTTCTCCTCTGCAGGCTGGTCGGTCCCAACCGCACATCCTCGGTCAGCCCTTCCTGATAACTTTGTCTTGATCTAACAACGAAAACCTTCCCTGCTGAACAAAGAACATCCTCAATTATTCATTCATTTATTTACTCGTGTATTGAATGAGTACAAACTCCATGCTGCTTTCTTTCCAGCCCCTCAAACAGTACCTGGCTCTTAGTAGGTGTTTGGTGAAACTATTTCATTCAGTGTCTACTGCAGGTCAGGCATTATAAAGGTTTCCTTGTTAGGTACCCCTTACATATGTTTTCTTTCCCATTTTGTCTAACCTCCTCTGCCCCATGAGGACAGGTCCCCTGACTCCTAGTGTGGGCCTGACCCTGCTGTGCCTATTTCCTGCCTTTGCCACTTGTGGAAAGTTGAAACATGGCCCCCCAAAAGACATCCACATCCCAATTCCTGGAATCTGTGAATGCTACCTTATTTGGAGAAAGAGTTTTGCAGGTGTGATTAAGTTAAGGATCTTGAGATGGGAACTCTCCTGGATTATCTGAATGGACCCCAAATGCCATCACAAGTGTTTGTATAGGAAAGATACAGAAGAAAGAGGCCAACAGAAGAGGGGGCGGCAATGTGACCCTAAGGCCGAGGTTGGAGTGATGCGGCCACTTGCCAGAAAATGCTCACAGCCACCAGAGGCAAAGAGTCTTCTCTAAACCCTCCAAAGGGAGTGTGGGCCTCCTGACATCCTCATTTTGGCCCAGTGATACTCACTTCAGACTTCTGGCCTTCAGAACTACAAGAAAATAAAGTCTGTTGTTGCTAATTTGTTACAGCAGCCACAGGAAACTAATACAATATTTGTCCTGATTTTTTACCTTGTGCCCACCACCTCAGAGCTCTAACCAAACCAAGCCTAATCCCCAACACCTGGTCCACTCCATGCCAAGTCATTTTCCCACATCATCATTCCACAGGGGCTTTTAATCTTCCTGCCGACTCCTGAGAGCAAGGGCCTAGGTTTCCTTGCTAGGCCAAAGGTCACACTGCCAGATACAAAGTTTAGAGTTTGTAGGACAAGGCCCTGAGTGAAGAGAAGTGGAATACGAGACTGATCCCAAGGAGCCATCAAAACAAGCAGGACAGTCCCTTCCATGGACAGCCCAACAGGATAGTTCACATCCTGGAGAGTTCTGGGGTGTAGAGATAGGCAGAAATAAAACAAGCTTGGAGACTAAAGTACAAAGTCAGAACATCACATTCCCCCCACGCCACAACTTCTCTTGTAGCCTCACCATTTCACCTTTCCCTACAAGGATCACGGGTCTACCATCACCTTCTGTGAAGTCTCTCACATTTACACAGCATTTACTGCTTTTGAAAAAGATTGCCACATCCATCACTTTATTTGAGATGCACGCTGTGAAGTAGGCAGGAGTGTTACCGTCCTATTCTACAGCAAAGGTCAGAAAACTGAACTGAGATTGGACAGTTTGGGAAGTTAATGCAACAATCAGTCTAACGCAACAGCAGGTCCCCTTACCTGCATCCAGTGCTCCACCCACTTCACTTCACCTCTTGCCTTCTGTGCCTCCAAGGCTTAAGTACAAGAGGTCCAAGTATAGAGAAGGTAACAGACCAGGCAGGGTGACCAACAGCTCACTCTTCTACACACTTTGGAGAAGCTCATACTTCTACTACACTTAATCCTCACAACAGCCCTAGGAGGCAGGTACTATTCATTATCCTCATTTTATAAATGAGGAAAATGAGGCACAAGGAAATTTCCCAATTAGCCCAAGTTTTAATGGGTAGCACGTGGAGGAGCCAGGCTTTGAACCCAGGCATTTTGGCCCCAGAGTCTGTGCTCTTAACCCAAAGAGAGCTAATGTAGTACTGCAAGAACTATTATCTTTGAGCTGGAACTTCTCAAAATATATTATAAACCAATGACGTTCTAAGCACTCTTCAAAACAAAGAACCAAAGGCAAAATGAAACTAACTTAGCCCTTTAGAATGAAAGTGATATTGCTTTGAAACTCCTGTTGGAAACTCTTTCCACCAGATGTGTCCATTTGTAATGTGGTCATTATTAGCCACACATGTTTGGGGCGCACAGGCGCGCGCGTGTCTGTGTGTGTGTGTGTGTATGTTAGTTCATGTACTGTGAGATGAGTGGCAGACTCTCCAGATGGTTCACTAGAAACCTTACTTCAGGGCTCCCCCAGTGCTTCTGCTCCATCAAAGGGACTTTGAGTTTGGAGTTTGAGTAAATTAACAACATCCCTGTTCTTTATTTATCTCCCTTCTGACTGTGATAAATAGCCCTGGGGAATCCTTCCTATTTCTGGGTTGAGAAAAAAATGAAACATCTCTGCCTACATTTCACACCAATATGGTTCGTAGAGTATTTATTATAAGCTAGCTGTATTCTAGTGTTATAGTACACGTTTTCAATCTCCCAAAAGTAGTAAGTGTACTTATCACCATCATTTCAAAGCCTTACTAATTACCTTAACCAGGTGGGGCAGGATGCCACAGCTGTGTAGAAATAACTGTAACTTCCCTATAAGAACTGGCAGTAAAACCCACATGTCCAATGCATACAGCCTACAGGTAAAAATATGCTGACACCGGTTGAAAGATGGTTTGGGAGGTCTCCCAGTCTAATCTCTTTATCATATAGATGTGAAACTGAGGTCCAGAGATAAGAAATGATTTGTCCAGGAATACTCAGCAACAGAATAGCAGTGCCTGCTTGTATTGGCACATTATGCAACTTAGATGAAACTTCATACAGAGAATATCAGAAAAGCTGGGCAATATTTAAAAAATTATCTGGCACAAGAGATGTTCCAAGTCAGGGAAGAATTAGAAGACCAAGACTGAGAGAATAAAAAGGAAACCCAGAGAAGTCAGTCTGAAATTTTAGACTACTTTTCCTCCTGACTCTAGAGGCTCAGCCAATTTCAGTCGAGGTGTCTGAGAAGTTTGAGAGTAAAATGTAACAGACCTTTTGACAGACTATCTTCTGGATATGAAAAAAAAAATTATATTCAGGACCTACCAAAACTGAGGGGCTGATAAACTCCTGAGCTTTGGGATGGGACATGAAAGGGACATAAGCTTACCCTAGGAGTAAGGTTGAATCAAAAAGACTAGATCTCACTGGACTAAAATCCAGATTTGAACAATTTATGCCTAATTATATTAAGGTGGTATTGAATTTCAAAGGGACGGTGACTTTCAGTAAGACGCAATTTAAATCCTCTCTAGAGGAAGATAACTTTATGCTTAGTGTCAAATTATCTCTAATTTTTATATACAATACATAGTACACAATCAAAAATAACCAGAAGGACTCAGATAACAGACTTTTCAGACACAGACTTTAAAATGACTATGCCTAATACATTCAAGGCATTTAAAACCAAGATGGAAAATTCTGCCAATCAACTGGAAACTATTTAAAAAATAAGAAAATAAAACTTCTAAAACTAAAAGATACAATAACTAAATTTTAAAATCATGGATGGCTTTAAGAACAGATTAAATGGAACTGAAATGTTAATTAGTAAGAGCGAAAATAGGTTGGAAGAAACATCCAGAAGAAAGCACTGAAAGATAAATGATGGAAAATAGAGAAAAGAACATATGAGATAAATTAGGACCTATTGCATAGGAAGAAAAGGTCGAAGTAATATTTGTTGTCATAGAAGAAGAGGAGAGAAAGAATAGAGGAGGAGCACTTTTAATTTAATTTTTAACTTTAGAGCATTTTTCAAAGCTGCTGAAAGACCAAAAGGCACAAATTCAAAAAGTACTTACCATGAATCTTAAGCATGATTTTTAAAAAATCAAATCTTACCTACATATCAGAAAACAACTGATAATTAACCAAAAAAATGGAGGATTCTTTAAAAGAAAAATTACATAAACAAAAATATAACTCACATCTCACCTCTCATCAAAGAAAACACAAGCCTGGCAGCAAAGTAATGGTGTCATAAAAGTGCTGAGAAGATAACTGCCATTCTACAATCCTATACCCAGCTAAAATATCCTTCAAAAAATGTCAGTGTAATCAAGATGTTTTTCACACAGTAAAAACATAGAGAATTTGTCAGTAGACTTGAACTAGAGGAAACGTTTATAGGCAGTAGCCAAGTGATCCCAGATGGGAGCTTGAAGGTGCAATAAGAGCAACAGAAATGATAAACAAGTGGATAAGCTAAGTGAGCAGTTACTACATAAAATAACAATAATACTATCTTGCAAGATTTAATATATGTGTCAATGAAAATTTGTGGTCATAGCAGCATATAAGTTGAAGGTGGAAAATATAAAGTGCTTTAGGGCCCTTGCTTTATTCAGTAAGTGATGAAAGCTCTAATTTATGTTACAGTTGTCATATTAAATATATACATGTAAATTTTAATAACCACTATAATTATAACCAAGAACATACCTATAAAAATCACAAAAATATAACAGGCAAGTTAATAGAGATAGAAATGAAATAATAAAGGAATAGTAAGTCCAAAAGAATGTAAAAAAGGAGAGAAAATGAAATACCATAGGTAAGACAAACAGAAAAGAGTAAGAGTGTAGATTTAAACTCAAACAGATCCATAAATGCAATAAAAGGCAAATGGACAAAATGCTCAAATTAAAAGAGAAAGATTATCAGACTGGATAAAAACCCAAAACCCAAAAAAAAAATGAGCATGCTGCTTACAAGTGACACTCATTAAATATAATCATACCAAAATGCTGAAAACACAGGAAAAGGTATACTGTGCAAATACTAGCCACAAAGAGCTGGCAAAACTAAGTTAATATCAAACAAGTAGAATGTAAGGCAGGAATGATTTGTTGAAATAATAAGGGACACTTCACAATGATAAAAAGTATTCAATTGACCAAGAAAGTACATAATTCTAAATTTACACATAGGTATTAATATAGCTAGTCACCAGTGGGCTAGGTCCCAAGCGATGAGAAAAGAATACCTTTGGCTTCAGAGGATCATCTTAAATGAAGACAAAAACAGAAAAAAAACAGGAAGAAAAATGGAAAATAGATTAGGAGAGTCATGGAGATAGGAAAGAGATGCAGAGAGAGAAATTAAAAAGACAGTTGGGTATGGATACAAAGTCTAGGGAAAATGAAAGAGAGGGAAGAAAGAAGGCTAGAAAGGACAGAGAGCAAAAACTGAAAGTAAAGCTAAAATGTGTTGACAGAAAAAGTATGAAGTTGTTGAGATTCCACAAATGCACCTCCTTCACGGAAGCTTAGCTCTTCACAGCCAGGGTCAGACTTTCCTGTGGCACATCGAGTGACAACTGCCTTTATTAATTTCAAATATCAAAATCAGAAATCAAAAAAGGAGCAGTCATCACCATAACCCCCTTTCTGGCCTCAGAACTTGCATACAAATTGTGGTGTTCTCCACATCGTAAGAGCAAGAACAATCATGCATTTCCCTTCTGCCCAGAAAAGCCAATAAGTCACAGATTACGTAGCCATGCCCTCACCAGCCAGACCGCCAGGACCAGGTCCTGTGTATGGTCTTGTCAATGATGAAACCAGGGAGGCCTAAAGTCAGGACTCAATTAAACCCTGAATTCAACTTTTGGACCATTTTCCACAGACGCAAGTTGACGCAGGTGAACAGGCCAGGGAAGATGATTTTGTAGCAAATCTATTTCTGCTGTGCCCTATCTGCGTGGAATGTTTGCTCTGCTTTTTGTGCTTAAAAGTGCTTTGGGGATGTGGAATTTTTTGCTGGGATGAGTACGTGGGACAGAAGAGTCATCATTCTTTAAGCAGATAGATTTTAATAACGGTTTTGAAAACACTGCCTGGTGTGCAGGGCCTGCAGCTGTAAGAACTCTATTGATCCCATTGACGTGGTATTTGTAAAACTTATGGCTTCTTAGAGGATTCATTCATTTATTCAACCAGTAATGGTGAGCAAGGCAGATATGACCCTACCCTAACAGAGCTTACATTCTAGTGGGGAGAACATGAATAGTCAAACAAAACAATTGCCATTTGTTATGAGATACCAGGACAGAGAATAACTGGAAAGAGGAGAGAGCCCCCTTCGGAGAGGGTTGTCAGGAAAGGTCTCTTTGAGGAGGTGACACCTTGGCCAGGTGTAAAGAAAGTGAAAGCCAGCCACGTAGGAGCCAAAGACAGCTTTTAGCAAGAGGGGAAGCATGAGAGAAGGCTAAGGTGAGAAGGGAGGCTTTGGTGTGTTTGAGCACTAAAAGCCAAGACCGGCCGGTTGGTGTGCAGAGGAGGTGCCATTTGAGGGACCATCATGGTGGAGACTATGCAGAGCTTGCAGGCGGTGACCAGGAGTTGGGTTTCACCATGCCAGCCATGGAAAGCTTCCAGGAGCTGCCAGGTAGAGGAGTGACTTGATCCATTCAACAACTGCAAAAGCCACAGGCCTCAAGGGCAGCTGCAGAAGAAAAACTGTGAAACTTGAAGAACTTCCTGGCTAAGAGTGGCTGGCACCAGAGCCAGTAGGTAAGCAAGTCCCAAGAGCCTCCCTGCCCCAAGGCTCCAAAAGCCCAGCCTTTGCTCAGCTGAGATGGTCTAAGAGAGATAGGTCTTCCTCAGGGAAGGGAGAGCCTGGACTAGTGACTCAGAGGTTGTTCTTGTGACTGTAATTACACTGCTGAGGTTAATCCCAGACCCAGTGTTATCACAGTACTTCTGAGCATTAATTCTGTCCAAAGGAAGGCAGCTAAGTTTTACCCAGTAAGGAGATACTACAGGGTTAAGCCGGGTAAACTATGAACCTCAACCAAGTGAAACAAATACAAGCCATGTTTGAGTAGAGAGACAGAGGAGATGCTGGTGTGGTCGAGATTTTGGACCAATATTTCTCTAGTGTGGTCCATGACTCATCTGCATCAGAATCAACTAAAAGACTTGCTAAAAATTCTGATTCCTGGTTTCATACAACTCAGATCTGCTGAATCCAAATATGGCTTTGAGTTTGGAAGGGACCCTTTGTGGCAAATGCATCCTTGCCTGTCACATCATTGGCATAATATATCATAAATATAGGAAAACACTACTGAATATGTGCTGTTAGTTTTCTAGACCCCCAATGATCCCTGAGCATCCCTCTTATCTTTTTTTTTATTATTATACTTTAAGTTCTAGGGTACATGTGCACAACGTGCAAGTTTGTTACATATGTATACATGTGCCATGTTGGTGTGCTGCACCCATTAACTCATCATTTACATTAGGTGTATCTCCTAATGCTATCCCTCCCTCCTACCCCCATCCCACGACAGGCCCCCGTGTGTGATGTTCCCCTTCCTGTGTCCTAGTGTTCTCATTGTTCAAGTCCCACCTATGAGTGAGAACATGCTGTGTCTGGTTTTCTGTCCTTGCAATAGTTTGCTGAGAATGATGGTTTCCAGCTTCATCCATGTCACTACAAAGGACATGAGCTCATCCTTTTTTATGGCTGCATAGTATTCCATGGTGTATATGTACCACATTTTCTTAATCCAGTCTATCATTGATGGGCATTTGGGTTGGTTCCAAGTCTTTGCTATTGTGAATAGTGCCACAATAAACATACATGTGCATGTGTCTTGATAGCAGCATGATTTATAATCCTTTGGGTATATACCCAGTAATGGGATGGCTGGGTTAAATGGTATTTCTAGTTCTAGATCCTTGAGGAATTGCCACACTGTCTCACTGTCTTCCACAATGGTTGAACTAGTTTTCAGTCCCACCAACAGTGTAAAAGTGTTCCTATTTCTCCACATCCTCTCCAGCACCTGTTGTTTCCTGACTTTCTAATGATTGCCATTCTAACTGGTGTGAGATGGTATCTCATAGTGGTTTTGATTTGCATTTCTCTGATGGCCCGTGATGATGAGCATTTTTTCATGTGTCTTTTGGCTGCATAAATGTCTTCTTTTGAGAGGTGTCTGTTCATATCCTTTACCCACTTTTTGATGCAGTTGTTTGATTTTTTCTTGTAAATTTGTTTAAGATCTTTGTAGATTCTGGATATTAGCCCTTTGTCAGATGAGTAGATTGCAAAAATTTTCTTCCATTCTGTAGGTTGCCTTTTCACTCTGATGGTAGTTTCTTTTGATGTGCAGAAGCCCTTTAGTTTAATTAGATCCCATTTGTCAATTTTGGCTTTTGTTGCCATTGCTTTTGGTGTTTTAGACGTGAAGTCCTTGCCCATGCCTGTGTCCTGAATGGTATTGCCTAGGTTTTCTTCTACGGTTTTTATGGTTGTAGGTCTAATATTTAAGTCTTTAATCCATCTTGAATTAATTTTTGTATAAGGTGTAAGGAAGGGATCCAGTTTCAGCTTTCTACATATGGCTAGCCAGTTTTCCCAGCACCATTTATTAAATGGGGAATCCTTTCCCCATATCTTGTTTTTGCAGGTTTGTCAAAGATCAGAGAGCATCCCTCTTACCTTAATGAGTCTCAAGGTGAATTTACAGAATTATGAATATTTAAATCCAGATATATAATTTAATCTATTTTTTTTTAAATAGTGTTGCTTGCCATAAAAAATAACGAGTTCATGTCCTTTGCAGGGACATGGATGAAGCTGGAAACCATCATTCTCAGCAAACTAACACAGGAACAGAAAACCAAACAACGCATGTTCTCACTCATAAGTGGGAGTTGAACAATGAGAACACGTGGACACAGGGAGGGGAACATCACACACAGGGGCCTGTTGGGGGGTGGGGGGCAAGGGGAGGGAGAGCATTACGACAAATACCTAATGCATGTGGGGCTTAAAACCTGGATGACGGGTTGATAGGTGCAGCAAACCACCGTGGCACGTGTATACCTATGTAACAAACCAGCACATTCTGCACATGTATCCCAGAACTTAAAGTAAAATAAAAACATAATAATAATAATGTTGCTTTAATATGTATGTGTTGTTTCCTAACAGCTCTACTGAGATATAACTGTTGTACAATAAACTATATATTTAAAGTGTATGTGTGATAAGTTTGACACAGAAATATATCCATGAATACATCACCACAATTAAGACAGTGAACACAGCCGTCACCACCAAAGGTTTCCTCATGCCCCTTGGTAATCCCACTGTCTTGCCCCTCCCCCTCCCTCACCCCATTCCAGACAACCACTGGTCTGTTTTCTATCACTGCAGATCAGTTTGCACTTTCTATATGTTTTAGAAATAGAATCACACAGTATATCCTCTTCTTTTTGTCTGGCTTCTCTTACTCAAAATTATTTGGAGATACATCAATGTTGTGTGTATTAATAGTTTATTTTTATTGCTAGGTGGTGTTCTATGGTACAGATATACCACCATTTGTTTATCCATTCACCTGTTGATGGACAGCTGAGTTGTTTAGAGTTTTTGGCAATTTCAAATAAAGATGTTGTGAACATTCTTGGACAAATCTTTACACAGACAAAGGCTTGCATTTCTTGCTGGTATGTACCTAATGGATGGGTCCTCTGGCAGATGTATATTCAACTTTTAAAGAAACTGCCAAACTGTTTTCAAAAGTGTTTTATTGATTGCTTTACATTCCCACCAGCAGCTTATGAGAGTTCCAGCTGCTGCATATCTTTTCCAACACTTGGTATGATCACCAATTTTTATTTCAGACATTCCAATAGAGATACAGTGGTACCTAATTGTGGTTTTAATCTGTCTTTCTTATATGTTTTAATCTGCATTCCTCTTGAGCATTTTTTATGGATTTACTGGTCATCAATATATCTTTTTTGGTAAAATGTCTATTGAAATCTTTGCCCATGGTGCAGAGGTTAATTTTCTTATAATTGAGTTTGGAATTTCTTTATATGTTCTGGTTATTCCAGGTCCTTGGATTGGGTTTGTAGATCGTTTGGACAGAATCTTAACAATAGTGAATCATTTTATTCATAAACAGTTTATCTCTCCAATTATTTATGAACTCCTTAATTTCTCATAGCACATATAAGTCTTGCATGACTTTTGTCATATTTGTTTGCAGTATTTTTTATCTTCGATGCTGTTGTAAAGGCTATTTTTTGTTTCAATTTCTGATTGTTCATTGTTAGCATATAGAAATGTAATTAAATATTGTATCTTTTTTTGTTTTTTGGGGGGTTTTTGTTTGTTTGTTTGTTTTTTGTTTTAGAGACAGAATCTCGCTCTGTCGCCCAGGCTGGAGTGCAGTGGCGCGATCTTGGCTTACTGCAACCTCCGCCTCCCTCCTGCCTCAGCCTCCCAAGTAGCTGGGATTACAGGCATGTGCCATCATACCCAGCATTTTTTTTTTTTTTTTTTTTGAGACGGAGTCTTGCTCTGTCGCCCAAGCTGGAGCGCAATGTCACAATCTCAGTTCACTGCAAACTCTACCTCCCGGGTTCAAGTGATTCTCCTGCCTCAGCCTCTTGAGTAGCTGGGATTACAGGCACGTGCCACCATGCCTGACTAATTTTTGTATTTTTGGGATTACAGGCACGTGCCACCATGCCTGACTAATTTTTGTATTTTTAGTAGAGGCAGAGTTTCACCATGTTGGTCAGGCTGTTCTCGAACTCCTGACCTCTGGTAATCCACTTGCCTCGGCTTCCCAAAGTGCTGGGATTACAGGTGTGAGCAACCATGCTGGGCCTGTATCTTGATCTTTTATTTTGCAACTTTGTTAAATTTACTTATTAGTTCTAGTAGCTTCTTTGTAGCTTTCACAGAATTTTCTACACATGCAATCATGCCACGCCCAAATAAAGACAATTTTTCTCCTACCTCTCTTATCTGGAGGATTGTTTTCTTTTTCTTGCTATTTTATACTTCCTACATCCTCCAGTAAAATGTTGAATGGAGGAATGAACATCCTTGTCTTATTCTTGAACTTAGGGAAAAATCATTCAGTCTCTTACAATTAAATACAATGTTAGTGGTAGATATTTCATAGATGCTAATTATTGTTAGGACGTTTACTTCTTTTCTTGGTTTCCTGGACATTTAGAATAGGAAAGGAGTTGATTTTATCAGAATGTTTTGGATTTATTTTGTTAAGCATCTACTGAGATAATCATTTTATTTTTAAATTTTTAAATTTAAATTGTTAAATTGGTGAATCACATTGTTTGATTTTTGAATGTTAAATAACACTGAATTCCTTAGATAAACATCACTTGGTCATGATGTATTGTCCATCAAAGGGTCTTCAAAACTTCATGGAAAGTGCATATTACGAAAAAACTATGCATGGATTTCAAATTTTTTTGCATCAAAATACAGTTGTGCTAAATTGTTATAACATGTCTGAACAGAATCAAGTTTGAGGCACTAGGAAAGATAAAATATCAGTTTGAAAAAGCTCTTAAGAGAGTAACATGAATTCTGCTAAAATTGAAGCAAGAGCAAGCATTAAATCTATTGTGAAGTTTGGATGGAAGAATGGTGAAATCATTGAAATCATCGACAAAGGTTAAAGCTAAAGCTAAAGCTTATGGTGACAATACCCCAAATAAATCATCAGTCTACAAATGAGTAACTCATTTTAAGAAAAAAATAAGATGACATGGAAAATGAAGCTCACAATAGCAAGCCATTTACATCAATTTTTGAGGAAAAAAATCATCTTGTGTGTGCCCTAATTAAAGAGGACTGTTGATTAACAGCACAAACAATGGTGAACACCAAAGACATCTCAACTGATTCAGTTTACACAATTCTGAATGAAAAATTAAAGTTCAGCAAACTTTCCACTGGATGGGTGTCAAAACTGTTGCACTCAGATCAGCTGTAGACAAGAATAGAGCTTTCAATTGAAATTTTAAACAAGTGGAATCCTGAAGCATTTCTTTAATGAATTGTAGCAGGAGATAAAACATGACTTTACCAATGCAATCCTGAAGACAAAGCACAATCAAAGCAATGGCTACCAAGAGGCGGAAGTGGTCCAGTCAAAGCAAAAGCAGATGTCTGCTTTTGAGTATCAGTGTAATGCTGTCTTATAGGTTGAGTTGAAAAATATTTTTTCGTCTTCAATTTTCTGGAAAAGTCTGTGTAGAATTGATATTTTTCTTCCTTAAATGTTTGGTAGAATTTCCCCATGAAACTCTCTAGGACTGGAGTTTTCTTTGTGGGAAAGTTTTTAAATATGAGTTCAACTTTTAAGAAATAAGAATACTCAGTTTACTTACATTTTTGAATGAGGCTTTATAGTTTGTATCTTTCAAGAAATTTGTCCATTTAATCTAAGTTGTAGAATTGATTGGCTAAAGTTCTCCTTTATTATCCTTTAAATAACTCTTTATTGATAATTCATATCTACTCTCTCTTTTTCTAGTCAGTCTAGCTACAGGTTTATCAATTTTATTGATAATTTTATTGATCGATTTTATCAAAGAATCAACTTTGGGTTTTATTGATTTTTCTCTATTCTTTTTCTTGTTTTTAAATTTATTTCCATTGTGATGTTTATTTTTTTTCTTCTTACTTTGGTGTTCTCTCTTTTTAATTTCTCAAGGTAGAAGTTGAGGTCATTGATTTGTAACTTTTTTTGATATAGACATTTAGTACTATAAATTTTCCTTTAAATATGACTTTAGCTGCTTCCCACAAATTTTTATATATTTTCATTATTGCCAATTCAAAATAGTTTTTAACTTTGCTTTTGATTGCTTCTTTGACCCATGGGTATTTTTAAGTGTACTATTTAATCTCCAAATACTGGAGAGGGTGGTGGGTTGAAATACCTTTCTGTCATTAAAGTTTTAATTTACTTGCTTTGTGGTCAGAGAATGATTTGATTTGGATTCTATTATATTTACTGATATTTGTTTTATGGTAGAGTATAGTCTATCTTGGTAAACAGATATCCCATGGAAACTTGAAAAGAATGTTTCTTCTGTTGTTGTTGGGAAGTGTGATCTATAAATGTCAATTAGAACAAATTTATCTGTAGTGTTGTTCAGATCTCCTATATCCTTACTGATTTGTCTATTCACCTATTCTATTGAGTACTAGAAGATAGCTGTTCACATTTGACTATAATTATGTATTTACCTATTTCTTCTTGCAGCTCATTTTTTGCTTCTTGTATGTTTAGGATTGTAATATCCTATTGAGAAATTGAAACTTTTATCACTATAAAATGATATTCTTTATTCTTGATAATATTATTTGTTCAGAAATCTACTTTATCTGATATTAAAATAGCTGCTCCTTCCTTTTGATTAGGTTAGCATGAAATACCTTTTTATATTCTTTTATTTTTGACTTATTTATGTCTTTAATTTCAAGTGGATTTGGGGGTTTTGATTTCTTATCAAATCTGAAAATTGTGACTTTTGGTTGGGATATTTACATTTACTGTAATTAATAATACACTTGGATTTTAATCTACTATATTGCTATTGGTTTTCTATTTGTCCCATCTGTTTCTTTTATTTCTTTCCCACTTTTTTTGAATTAATTGAATATTTGTAATAATTCCATTTTATTTGGATGGTTGATTTGTTAACTATAACTATTTCTTTTGTTATTTTAGTAGTTTTTAAGGATTTATTTCATTCATCTTTAACTTATTACAGTCTACCTTTGAACAATATACCATTTTACATGTGGTACATGATGGTTAATTTTATGTCTCAACTTGACTGGACTATGGGATTCCCAGATAGCTGGTAAACTTTATTTCTGGGTGTGTCAGTGAGAGTGTTTCTGGAAGAGTTTAGCATTTGATTCAGTAGACTGGGAAAGAAGATCCATTCTCACCTGTGGGGATGGGCGTCATCCAATCTGTTCAGAGTCCAAAGAGAAAGACAGGTGGAAGAAGAAAAAACTATTTCTCACTTCTTGAACTGGGATACCATCTTCTTTTGCCCTCAGATAAAAGAGGTCCTGCTTCTTGAGCCTTCAGACTCTGGGACTAACACCAGAACCATCCTTTTATCCCCTTACACCTTTGACTCCTCTGGTTCTCAGACCTTTGGACTCAAACTGAATTCCTGGTTCTCCAGCTTGCAGACAGCATATCATGAGATTTTTTTGGCTTCCATAATCACACGTCAATTCCCATAATAAATCTCCTCTCATATATATATATATATATATATATATATATATATATATATATATCCTATTAGTTCTGTTTTTCTGGAGAACTTGGACTAATACTTTGCTACTCCAGAGGCTACAATAGGAGGACTGCTTAAGCCCAAGAGTTTGAGGCTAGCCTGCATAACATAGCAAGACCCTACCTCCAAAAAAAAAAAAAAAATTCTCATGCTGCTAATAAAGACATACCCCAGATTGGGTAATTTATAAAGGAAAGAAGTTTAATTGACTCACAGTTCCACATGACTGTGGAGGCCTCACAATCATGGTGGAAGGTGAAGGAGAAGCAAAGTCACATTTTACATGGCAGCAAGCAAGAGGGCATGTGCCAAGGAACTCCCCTTTATAAAACCTTCAGATCTCATGAGACTTATTCACTATCATGAGAACAACATGGGAAAAATATACCCCCATGATTCAGTTATCTCCTACCAGGTCTCTCCCATGACCCATGGGTATAATGGTATTATTACAATTCAAAGTGAGATTTAGGTGGGGATACAGAGCCAAACCATAACACCTATATACCTCATTTTTCACTGTTTCACATTTCTAATGGAAATTTTATCCATTATTTCTTCAATTTTTTTATCCTGCCTCTCTCTCCTCTTTAAGGGCTTCAGTTACACACAGACTAGTTAGAATTGCCTCACAGTTGATTGGTGCTCTGTTTCTCTCTCTCTCTTTTTTTTTTTTTTTTTTTTTGAGATGGACTCTCGCTCTGTCACCCAAGCTGGAGTGCATCTCAACCCACTGAGGCCTCTGCCTCCCAGGTTCAAGCAAGATGGGGCTTCGCCATGTTGGCCAGGCTGGTCTTGAACTCCTGAGCTCAAGTAATCCACCTGCCTTGGCCCCCCAAAGTGCTGGGATTACAGGCATAAGCCACTGCACTCTGCCTCAATCTGTTTTTCTATCTGTGTTTTATCTTGGATAGTTTCTATGCCTATGTCTTCAAGTTCACTGATGCTTTCTTCTATAATGTCTAATCTGTTGTTAATCTCATTCAGTGTATTTTTTTTTCTCTTGGACATTGTGGGTTTTGTACCTTCCGTGTCTCTACCTAACATTCTTAATCTTTTTGCTAGTTTTTTTATAAACTTAAAACAGTTATAATTGTTTCAGTGTCCTTGTCTATAAATTCTATCATCTGTTTAATTCCTTAGTTGGCTTCTATTGATAGGTTTTTCTCTTTGTGGGACATATTTTTCTGCTTCTTTGCATGTCTCGTAATTTTTTATAAGGTTGCTAGACGTTGTGAATTTTACCTTGTTGGGTACTGGATATTTTTACATTTCTATAAATATTTTGAGCTTTCTTCTGTGACACAATTAAGTTGCTTGGAAACAGCTTGGTCCTTTCAGGAATTTTTTAAGCTTTGTTAGGTAGAATCAACATTTAATCTGGAACTAACTTTTCTCACTACTGAAAAATAACTCTTCTGAGTATTCTACTCAATGTCCTATAAATTATAATGTTTTCCACTTGAAATGAAAGAAATAGAAACTATTCCTGGCCCTAAAATCTTCAGAGGTATTTTTTCTCTAATTCTTTTAGGTAATTCTTTCTCTAGCCTTGTGTAGCCTCCTCAATGCATGTGCTGATTAGCACTGCTCAGCAGATGATCTGAGTAAAACCCTCTATAGAGCTCTGGAGCTCTTTCTCTATGAAAGTTTCTTCATTCTGCCACTCTACCTTGAGAACTCTAGCCACCTTGCTTCCCCAGAATTCCAGCTATGTCTTCTAAGGAACTTGCCAGAATTCACTGGGTTTCCCCTCCCTGTACCATGACCTGGAAACTCTCTCCAGGCAATAAGCTGAAGTGATCATAAGACTCATTTCATTTGTTTCCCATATTTTCAGGATCTCCATCCTTGTTGTCTTTATGTATAATGACTTGAAAGCCATTATTTTATATACTTTATCCAGTTTTACAGTTGGTTGGGGGTGGAAAGGTAAACCTTATCCTTGTTACTTCATCCTAGTTCGAAGAGGAAGTCCTGAATATACCTTTATCATAGCAGTTCCTATATCTGTCCATGTAATGGCCCCTTACAAGACCATACCTTCTTTGAGACTAGGAACATACTTTACCCACTACTAAACACATAAAATACATTTAATTAGTATTGATTAAACTGAGTTATTATGATAGAATGTGTCTCAATCATTCCCACTCTAGTAATGACATGGAAGATATAACTCTCTTTTGTTTAATATAGGGTATGGGAATTAGGATTTCTGGGTTCTGATCCTACTTCTACTATCAAAGAGCCTATATAGTTTTGGAAAAATATATAATCTTGATAGTTCTTGATAATGAAATGAGGATAACTGCTCTTGCTAATTTCAGAAGATCACTAGGATGAATTTTCTAAGCGCTAAAAAATCAGCCCAACACAAAGATTACTGAAGGCAATAGCAAGAATCTCCCAGAGTGCCTAAGAAATGACCATACCTGGAAATACATTTTTGAAGTTAACATCACTGAATACTTATCAACATTACCTTCCAGAATTGTAAAGTGCTGGAACAGGAAGAAAGAACTGAAAGGATCTCTTCGCATTTTACAGATAGGAAACCTGAGCCCAGAGAGGTTAAGTGAACTGTGCAAGGACATTCAGACAGTCAGTGACAGAACTGGGAAAACAGCTCTTCTCATCACAATGCCACATCTTTCTGTCTAAACCATCACTTTCTTATTGTTTTCATTGATTTTTGTTCACTTATTCTTTGGCATTCCTGATGATTTCACAATCTCAGTGGGGGTCATTTCCACGGGTGTAGTGGATTGCAATGTCACAAATTTTTAAAGAAATTAACTAATCCAAAGGTCACTTGCATAACTGCCACGGTACACATTAGGAGGATGATTTACAGATGCAGAGAATATTCAGCAGCAAAGGGTTCTCTGGCAGGAATAGTGTTAATTCTATGCCACATGCTGTAGTTTGAAGCTGGAACATTATTAGGGAAAGAAAACCCAAGACCAGTGTGTTAGTCTGTTCTCATGCTGCTATGAGGAAATACCCAAGACTGGGTAATTATAAAGGAAAAGGGTTTAATTGAATTCTCCACAGGGCTAGGGAGGCCTTGGGAAACTTACAATCAGGGTGGAAGGGAAAGCAAACACATCCTTCTCCACATGGCAACAGGAAGGAGAAGAATGAGAGAAGTGCAGAGCAAAGGGATAAAAGCCCCACACAAAATTATCACATCTCATGAGAACTCACTCACTAACATGTGAACTGCATGAGGGAACCATCCCCATGATTCCGTCACCTCCCACAAGGTCCCTCCCTTAACACATGGAGATTACAATTTGAATTACAATTCAAGATGAAATTTGGGTAGGGACACAAAGCCAGACCGTATCAACCAACATATTTTAGTATTTAACTAACCAGTGATCATCAGAATTAAAAGAAACACCACTGTATCTTAGGGCAGACCCTGACCAATCAAAACCAAGGGCTTGACAGATGAAAGTAATCCAGGGCAGGAACTGAAGGGAGAAGAGTCCATAGGGATGGATGCTGAATGAAATCTACTTAGCTTCCAATCTACTGAACTTCCTCTATTGGACAAACCCAAAAAACACAGACCACAAAAAGGGAAAAATCAGAAAATAAGGTCCTCCAAGACACAATGTAACAAAAGTCCAAGGGACCTTCCTGGAGCTGAGGTCAAGTGGAAGAGGAGACTGGCAGGAAGCCTGGAAGTATTGGGCACTCATATTTTGCTTGAGTTGTGCCTAAGATGGTAATGGATTTTTCCATTACAATATCCTAGAGCATCTCAGCAATATCCAAAGCATCCTTTAGAATGAATCCTCTTCTTCTGGGTTGATGGTGGAATGCAAACTTGCTCCCTGGCTTCTGAACATTTCTTATAAGCAGACTCTCTGCTAGAGGAGCTCAACAAAGGGTCTATGCAGCCATTCACGCTGTGATCTTTGAGAATGCCCTGCCCCTCAGTTGTTCAGTGTGCATCCTCAAAACTGTGTGTAGCAGCCCTGCTATGATATTTTGAGACATGGTACATAGGAGCTATTTGTTGTTCCACATAACTAACAAGGGCTCCAGTGATCTTATAAGACTCACTTCTTTAATTCAAGTTCTAAAGAAAAACATTTATCTTTCTCTTTGGCCAATATTTGGGTTTCTGATATTTGGTTTGCAACACTGAAAAGAATAGAGGTCCAGCTAAGTAGAAAAATATCTTTATTCAGAAGTGATAAAAATTATGCATTTAAAGACTGAGGAAGCAAAGCCTCACATGGATATAGACATTTGTGTATTTCTATATCAGTCAGGATAGGTTAGATTATGCTGCAGTAATTTAAAAACCCAAACTTTCAGTGGCACAAAGCTACAAATGTTTATTTCTTGTTCACATCATGCATCCCTGGGAGATCAAGCAGGGGCTCTCACTCCAAGGCCCAAGCTGATGGAGCAGCTACTATCTGGAACTTTGCCAGCAAATATAACAGAAGGAAAAGAGAATGCTTGTTTCTCACAGCTTCCACCTAGAAGTGACACATATTGGCTTTAATTAACATTATCAACCAATCCAAGTCACATGATGGTGTCTGCCAGTGTCCAGGAAGTGGAATTCTTCCCACAAGGAGGTGAACTGCCAATTGGCGAACAATGGTTCAGTTAGGCCGGCATGAAAATAAAGGGTTTCAGGGAAGTCAATCTAGGATGGTGACCTAATATTTGGGAACAAGATTTATTTTTTATTCATTTGTTTGTTCATTCATTCATTCACTTAACTAGACCATTACTTACCTAGAGTGAGGGGAGAATACTGCCTTGCTTAGGAGAGGTAAATGAGACCAGCCACAAAATTCCAAAGAAATAGGCTAAGAATCAGCAAGAAACCATGAATCTTGCTGAACACAGCGAGAAAAAATGTAGAAAGGAATAGCAGAGATTGGGTAGAGGAAGAAGGAGAACCCAGTGAGCTACCAAAAGCACATCACTGAGGGACATTTGAGGAGTAGGGAGAACATCAGAAAGGACAATAAATTGAAATTGAGACCTGTCCCCAGACAGCAGCCATCAACTGCCCTCAAGTAGCAGTGTCTGGACACAGACTCCTGGACCCGGAAGATGCTCTCGTACACTCACCAACAGACCAGTGCGCTTCCCAACAAGGCCGCAGACCACTCCACGGCCCAGCCGCCCTCCTGGGACAGCCACCATCTTCCTCTCCCTTTTCCATCTTGAATGGCAATTAGGAGAAGGTTAACTGAGTGTCTTTCTCCCAGGAATCCTCTTCCACTTTTCAAAATCACAGCATTAGCAAAAGAAAATCCCAGCTTAGGCTAACAGGTAGGAACGTGGTGCAGCCCTGGGAGCTGCTGTTGGAAGTGGGGAGATTGGGTGAATCTTCCCAGCGGGAGGTTAATACTCATCATTCGAAGTTGCAGCTGAGGCCCATTTGAGTGACAGGCAGCCGGGAGCTGAAAGAGCCGCTCGGATCCCAGAACTGCTGGCATGCGGGCTTGAAAGAGATTTATTTCAGGATAATTAGCTGGGAGTATTAAAGGTGGCCAGGAAGATCCGCAATTACTGTTTAGCAAACAGAAAGAAGACACACACATGAAAAAAAAAAAAAGCCAAAAATGAAATTAAAAGACCCAAATTTTTCTCCACTTGAAAATTGTTGAATAATTGAAAAAAAAAAAAAAGAGCTCAAAGCAACTTCATTGCATTGACATACATGCAAAAGTGTTAGAGGAGGAAGGAAGGGGAAACAGAGAGGAAGGAATGGGATCTTGGGTGACAAGGCTAATGGCAAAAATACTCTCACCAAAACTGAGTATTTGGAGGGCAGAATCTTAAGGCAAATTGTTCTTACATCAAATGGAAAGTTCTTGCACCTCTTTTCTTTTTGCTTCCTTTTACCCACACAAAAAGAACTATGTCAACACCAGTATTCCTTCAGTTTAAAAGAAAATCAAATCAAATCTTAAAGTGCAAGTATCTGAAACAAGAAGTTTCACATTTCCCAGACATTTCACAAGAAAAACTGAAAAAGAGAGAGGGAAGGAAGCAATGAGGGAGAGAGGAGGCCCTGTTCCTTCATCACTTGTGCCCTAGAGGAAATCAGCACCTTCATCTGGAGCCAAAGGAACTGCCAGCCCTTCACCTTTTAGAGTTGGAGTTGGAGGGCTGAGAGAGCTCCTTCTCCTGTTTTCTACTTTTGCACCCTGGCTGGAGATGAGGTTGTCCAAAAAGGAAGATATTATATTTTTACCTCGTTTTATCATGAGAGGATCAAGTATAGAATTTTCTAAGTAGTCTGATTAATGACAGTTTTGTTCCTTATTTGGGACAGGCAGACTGGATGGCATCTTCCTCGCCACACCTGGTCACCAACCTTGGCCAAAGCAGTAAATACAACTGCACCCATCACAAGGCTTCATTTCTGGAGTGTGCCAAGGAGGGGCCCATATGGCTCCTGATTACTCACGGAATCCACTCAATAGAGATGCATTCTTTCCTTAGCTTTTAAATGTTCACTCCCAGGTGTGTCCCCATAAAAAGGCTCCTTGGAAAGTGGAGCCTTACATTTTTATGGGCTAAGGTATTGGCCCAGAGTCTTTCAAAAGACTTCAGAAATAAATGTCAGGTCCCTGGTTGAGGGATCTGAGGAAGAGGCACCAAGAGAGAGGAGAGGGCTGACCGAGGGGAAGGGAGGCCACATTGCTCCCCGGGTTTGCCGCGTTCTCAAACCTGGTCAAGAGAAAATGCTACACTAACTACTCACAAGGCTGGTGGGTTCACAAAGAAAGACCCAGTCTCTGGCCTTGCCTGTTTACATCTTGATGAAAAGATCTGCAAAATTTTTAAATACATGAAACAAGAGTTTATATTATTTATAAAAACATACATATATAGTAAACATACAAAGTGTGCATGGGAAGGATGCACACAAACTTCTCAGAGGGATGAGGCCTGGGATTTCAGCTCTGACAAGTCTTTATTCTTTATGAAAGATAGTAACACTAAAGGGAAATGAGGAAAGGGAAACTGCTTGAGAAGAGCTATGGGGGCAATCCTGCTTTGCCATGCCTTCGTGTGTCCCAAGGAAGATGTGAGGTTAACCTGGGAAAGTTCTCTTCTCATACATACACGCCTGATCTCTCATGACTCCTCTCATTATGTGGTCAGTCCTGATTTCTTGACCCATGATGTCCTGAAGCTACAGAGAGAAGTCTCCTGCTCTTCAGGCCTCCTTTCCTCACAAGATCACAGCTTCAGGCAGAGAGAACAGTGTCTTCGGTCTGTTCAAGATTCCCCATAAAGCCTATCACAGAGCTGGGCTCCTGTAGGTGTGCAGTAGTGAAATGGGATTCTGAAAGGAGATGAGGTTCTGTTTTTCAGGCAATTGGGAACAATTAGCCAATATTCAGGGATGTTTGCTAGAGTATTGTTTACAATAGGAAAAAATGGAAACAATCTAAATATTTATCAATAGGAAATGGTTTACTTGAATTATAATATATCAGTAATTGGAGTATTTTACAGAATATTTGAAAGAATGAGATAGAGTTATGGAATAATACCCTAAATATAGTAAATAGAAAATGTAAATCCTACTTTAAATACATTCACACAAAAAAAAAGTAACACTTTGAACACAGGCCATAGGCGGTGGCTCACACCTGTAATTCCAGCACTTTGGGAGGCCAAGGCAGGTGGATCACTTGAGGCCAGGAGTTCGAGTCCAGCCTGGCCAACAAGGCAAAACCCCATCTCCAGTAAAAGTACAAAAATTAGCCGGGCACGGTGGTGCACACCTGAAATCCCAGCTACTTGGAAGGCTGAGGCAGAGAATCACTTGAACCTGGGAGGCAGAGGCTTCAGGGAGTTGAGATCACACCACTGCACTCCAGCTCAGGCGACAGAGTAAGACTCCATCTCAAACAAACCAAAAAAAACTGTATATACTATATATACTATTATATATATATAGTATATACAGTTTTTTATATGTATAGTATATACAGTTTATATATATATATATTATATAGTATATAGATATAGATAGATAGTATATATAGTACATAAACATCTTTACATAAATGGAATCATAACTGGAGGGCTATATACAATAACAGTCATTATCTTGGCTTGTATCTCCCTGTGTTTTGCCATTCTCGCATTGCTATAAAGGAATGCGTGAGACTGGGTAATTAATAAGAAAATAGGTTTAATTGGCTCACGGTTCTGCAGGCTGTACAGGAATCTGCTTCTGATGAGGCATCTGCTTCTGCTGAGGGCCTCAGGAAACTTACAATCATAGCGGAAGCCAATGGGGAACCAGTGTATCACATGGTGAGAGCAGGAGCAAGAGAGAGAGATGGAGAAAGTGCCACACGCTTTTAAACAAACAGATTTCTAGTGACTAACTGAGTGAGAACCCACTCATTACCAAGGGAATGGCACTAAGCTATTCATAAGGGATCTGCCCCCATGATACAATACCTTCCATTAGGCCCCACCACCAACATTGGAAGTCACATATCAAATAAGATTTGGAGATTTGGAGGGGACAAATCCAAACCGTATCATTCCCCAGCCCCCACGCCTGTGTCATGCCAGGATTCCAGGGTCATACAAAGCAATATCTTTCATATGGTCCCTCCAAATTTTGGTCTACTCTGGTTATTACATTATCCAAAAGACACAGGAATCATCATATCATCTTTGGGCATGGGAGTCTTCACAGACAATCCCAGTGACCAAAGTGCATTCTTGGGTACAAGAGACATTTTACCCATTCCTTAGGCCTTGTCCTTGCCTAACGAAAAGGTAAAGGTATGGACAAAGTCCCACCCTTTAGAACCTGTTTCTGATCCAAAATCACCTCCCAATATGTCTCGCCCAAAGCTTCTGCCTATTTTTCCCAACCTACCGTGCCCTCACCCCCAAGGAATAATCCCATCAAGTTGCTAGAGCTTTTAGAAAGGGAGGTTAGGGGCAGACAATTTCTGCTTTGTCTTTACAGTATGAAGCTGGGTGTCTTCCTGGAATGGGAGAAGGTAACAGAATAACAACAGAACACAAATTAATATCTCTATAAATTATCCTGCTATAGATGAATAGATAAATGGACAGATTAGACTGATGGAAGATTAGATAGATAGATAGATAGATAGATAGATAGATAGATAGATAGATGGACAGATAGATAATATAGAGTATTAGTCAGGATTCTTTAGAGAAAGAGAACCAACAGGATGTGTAGAGACAGATATAAAGAGGCTTATTTTAAGGAATTGGTTCACACAATTGTGGTAAGTCCAAAATCTTCAGGGTGGATCAGCAGGCTAGAGACCCAAGAAGAGCTTCTGTTTGCATCTAAAGGTGGTCTGCTAGCAGAATTCCTTCTTCTTCCAGAAAGGTCTTTGTTCTATTAAGGCCTTCAACTAATTGGATGAGGCCCACCTACATTATAAAGAGTAATCTGCTTTATTGAAACTCACAGATTTAAATGTTAATCTCATCCAAAAACCATCTTCACAGAAATATCTAGAATAATGTTTCACCAAAAATCTGTGCACCATGGCCCAGTCGAGTCGACATAAAATTAACCATCACAGATAGGTAGGTAGGTGGAAAGATATATGTTAGATGGATGGGTGGGTGGATAGATGGATGGATAGATGATGATTGATAGAGGATAGATAGATAGATAGATAGATAGATAGATAGATAGATAGATAGATAGATAGATAGATAGATAGACAGACAGACAATATAGCTATAGAAATACATGAGAGACAGATAGAGATGATAGAGACATGGTTTCTGGAAAGATTCATTCCCACACTGAATACTCTGGGGGAGAATTGGGAATATATTTCTTAATCATTCAAATTTTTTATAGTGAAAATGTACTGATAAATTATTTGCTCTGTGTGTGTGTGTGTGTGTGTGTGTGTGTGCACGTATGTTTAAAGGACAAGGATTCTGGAGGGAAGAAAGGGAAAAGAATGCTATTTATTCCTTCAAACTGCTGGCAAAGGAGCTCTGTTGTCCTCTGCTCCTTTGTAATAGGAGGTTAGTGTTACAGTCACCTATCAGATGCCAGGCACGTGCTAGGCACCGGGTGTGGGGAAGTGAACAAAAGGGAAGAGCTAAACTCCTGGAACATACATTCATATTGTTTAATTCTAAAACAGCTCCATGAGGTAGATAGCAATGCCTCATTTTTGCAGATGAGAACACTTTCATAGATGAGGTGTTGTTAAGAAAACATCCCTAGCCCACACATTTTCCCCCAGAGCCTTAGTCTGTTGGTCCCCAAATCTCATGCTCTGCTTAGGACAAACACTGGACTCTCTCTGCAAAGGGCATCTGTGTCTCTTAGAAATTAGCACGACAAGCATGTTGCAGCTTTTTCAAAGAGACTTCAATTTTCCTCCTGCAGCCCAGATAAACTTTCCACTGCCTGTGGACCCTGGCCATGGCTGGCAGCCGGCTCCAGCACAGGCGTGCCAAACACAAATAAAGTTCGAAGGACAAACTCAGCCAGAAAGCATCAGACCTTTCCATCCAGCATCCAGACTTATTATTTCTTATTATTTCTCAAGAGCATCCACTGCTCTTTTAAAAACAAGAGCCCTATTTTGTGAGCTGCTCAATGGTCTATTTTAAACTCATGGCTGTGTTTGTTTACGTTCAATCCTAGGCCTTGGCCTTTGCAATAAACCGCCACTGGCATCATGCAAAAAGCTAGTGGAGACTGCCATATCACTGTTTACAGCCTTCTCACTTCAAGAAAGGGGTGGAAATCAAATATTTGCAATTGTCCAAATTCTGAGAGGGCTCTAGAAAGGAAAAACAGTGCTAAGCTGACAAGTCTAAGAATTTCTGGGGCAGGAGTGAGTAGTATCTAGGGCTTGAAATGGAAAAGAGTGAATTCTTCTACACTGAGGGAAATAATCAACATGTTCATATATTCAGCAAATACTCATTGAGCACCCACTGTGTGCCAGGCACTGTTCTAATCACTTGAACACAGCAATGAACAAAACAAAGAAGCTGCCCGTAGGGAACTTACATTCCAGTGAGGGAAAGCAGACAATAAACAATAATTAATAATATGTTATATATTATGTTTGTAATAGATTAAAAATAATAATAATTAATACATTAGAGAAACTTCAGATGTTTCTCATAGAAGTTCAAGACGTTTCCTAAAGAGAAGGCCAGATCCTAATGTGACATTAGCCAATCATTTCAGAATTGTGACAGCTGAACTGTGAGCACTGTTGGTGTGATTTTTGTCACCTCTTCAACCCTCCTCATCAATTTGGCCCATATGTCTGCTCACCAAGGTGGGGCTCCAGCATAACAGGGAAGGAGGCCAGACTGATTCTCCATGGCCTCCAGACCTCCCCCCACAGCATGCCCTCCCTTTCCTGGAGACAAGAAGGCTTCGGTCTCCACACTGACATCAGCAAGACCTTCCCTCTTCTGCCCTCCAACCCCTCAGGTCAGAGAGAAAACAAGGTGATACCAACACAGTTGAACACCGAATGGGCTCTGGTTTGCATCCCACAAGTATTTTCTTTTTTTTTTTCTCTTACTATTTTTAATCGACACATAATAATTGAACATATTTATGGGGTACAGTGTGATATTTCTATACTATACATACATAATATGTAAGGATTGAATCAGGGTAATTGGCATATCTATCACCTCAATCATTTGTCATTTAATTATTTGATTTGTGTTGGTAACATTCAAAATCTGCTCTTCTAGCCATTTGAAAATACATAATAAGTTGTCCATTATTGTCACCCAACAGTGCTCTAAAACACTACAACTTATTCCTAATATCTAGGTATAATTTTGTTTCTGTTAACCAACTTCTGGCTGGTCCCCCTGCCCCACTCACCCTTTCCAGCCTCTAGTAACCACTATACTACTCCATACTTCCATGAGATTAACTTTTTAAGCTTCTGCACAAAAGTGAAAACATGCAGTATTTCTCTTTGTGTGCCTGGCTTATTTTACTTAGCATAATGTCCTCCAAGCTTATCCGCATTGCCATGAATGACAAAATTTTGTTATTTTTATGGCTAAATACTATTCCACTGTGAGTATATACAATATTTTCTTTATCCATTCATCTTTTATGGACACTTGGGTTGATTCCATGTCTTGGCTACTGTGAATAGTGCTGCAATAAACATGAGAGTGCAGATATCACATCAATATACTAATATCCTTTCTTTTTGGTATATATTTAGCAGTGGGATTGCTGGATCATATGGTAGTTCTATGTTTAGCTTTTTGAGGAACCCCATACTGTTTTCCATAATGGCTGTACTAATTTACATTCGTACCAACAGTGTTCCCCTTTCTCCACATTCTTGCCAGCACTTGTTATTTTTTGTCTTTTTGATAATAACCATTCTAACTAGAATGAGATGATTTCCCATTGTGGTTTTGATTTGCATTTCCCTGATGATTAGTGATATTGAGCATTTTTATATGCCTGTTGGCCATCTGTATGTTTTCTTTTAAGAGATGTCTATTCTGCTCATTTGCTCATTTTCTAATCAGATTATTTGGTTTTTGCTGTTCAGTTGTTTGAGATCCTTGTATATTCTGAATATTAATCCCTTATTGGATGAATAGTTTGAAAATATTTTCTCCCATTCTGTGAATTGTCTTTTCACTCTGTTGATTGCTTCCTTTGCTGTGCAGAAGTTTTTAGTTTAAAATAATCCCATGTGTCTATATTTGGTTTCATTGCCTGTGCTTTTGAGGTCTTCTCCATAAAATCTTTGCCCAAATCAATATCCTAAACTGTTTCCCATGTATGTTTTCTTCTACTAGTTTTATAGTTTTGGGTCGTACATATAAGTATTGAATCCATTTTGAGTTGATTTTTATATCTGGTGAGACATAGGGGTCTTGTTTTATTCTTCTACATGTGGATATCCAGTTTCCTAGCATCATTTATTGAAGAAATTGTCCTTTCCTCAATGAATGTTCTTGGTGCCTTTGTTGAAAATCAGTTAACTGTAAACATGTGGATTTATTTCTGGGTTCTCTAATCTATTCCAATGGTCTATATGTTTGTTTGTATGTCAGTACTATGCCATTTTGGTTACTATAGCTTTGTAGGATATTTTGAAGTCAGGTAGTGTGATGCCTCCAGCTTTGTTCTTTTTGCTCAGGATTGTTTTGGCTATTTGGGGTCTTTTGTGGTTTCATATAAATTTTAGGATTTTTTTTCTGTGAAGAATATTATTAAAATTTTGATAGAAATTGCATTGAATCTGTAGGTTGCTTTTTGTGGTATGATCATTTTCACAATATTAATTCTTCCAATCCATGAACATGGAATGTCTTTCTGTTTTTGTGTATCTTCCTCAATTTTTCATCTATGTTTTACAGTTTTTCTTGCAGAGATCTTTCACCTCCTTGGTTAAGTTTATTCCTAGATATTTTTATAGCCTACTATAAATTTCTGCTAGTTCACGGTTGGAATATAGAAATGCTACTGATTGCTGTCTGTTGATTTTGTATCCTGCAACTTTACTGAATTCATTTATTAGTACTTAGTATTTTGGTGGAGCTTTTAGGGTTTTCTGTATATAAGATCATGTCATCTGCAAACAAGGACAAAGTATTTGCTTTTTAAATGACAATTCCCCTCTCCTCTTCCTCGCAGGGACAATGCCTAACCAAAAGCCTATCCTTGATGAAGAAATTTCAGACTCTGTGAAACCTAAATAAGCAAGCTAGTTTTAGGCCAAGAGGCCTTCTGGGTACTTTCTTGGAATCATATAAATCTTTATCTCTGCCCCCTAAGTCTGCCGTTCATTCTCCCCTTGCATCCTTCACTTGCCAAATTTCAGAAACAATTCTTTTTTTTTCTAAGGACCAGTAGTTACTATATAAAATCACATCAGAAAACCTGCATATTTGAGCAAGACGTTTGTTCAGAAGGCCTTTGAGTGCCCTTTGGGAGAGGGGATCCAGTACAGATTGATCCCATGGTCTATATAGAGGCACACACACTGCAGTGATGTTTTTGACAAGACCCATGGTTGATTTGCCAGTTCATTAATGAATGAACCTAGAGTTGCACATTACTTTAGCCCGAGAGAAAGCATATGATTATGGCATTTGTGGTGTAAAATGCTATAATTAAAGATGCAAAACACAGTTTATTACACACCCATTTTCAGTGCTTGGAACTTTCTGAAACAGTCTCCTTTTTAGAAGCACTGTTTGCAGGTAATAAGCCTCAGGAGGTTTTCTTCCACCCTGGGCATACAAAAGATGTAAAAGAGCAGGGCTGGGGCGAAGAAAGGGGCTTCCAAATTGTTATAGTGAAAGAAGAAAATGAGGCCTACCTTGTCCAGTGAAAAAGTGAAAGAAGGATGCTTACCTCTCTCAGAATTGAGCCCCAGATAGCTGGATCTCAAGGGTTAGGACAAAGTGCTGTTTTGCATTCAGAAGGTGGCATTTGGAAATTATATCATAGATCTGAAAGACTGCATTTCAACAGTAGATCATTGTAATATAGAGTCTGTCCTCTTATACTAAGTTCACAGCGGTTTCTTCTGAGCCATTAAAAAATAAATAACTGTAATCATAACAAAGACAAAAACACCATCATAGATGTATAGCATACGTTCCCTGCCAACAGCACCAAGAAAATTGCCTGGCTGCACCTGACACCTCTGAGTTAGAGCAGGTAAAAGAAATGGTCCTGATTTTCCAGGTGGGGAAAGGAAGGTAATGAGGCACAGAGAGGTTAGGCAAGCTGCCAAGGGAGAGGCAGGTCAGCAGCCAAATCAGGACAAAAACTAGCATTCCTGATTCCCTATTCAGTGCTCATACTCCTCAGACTGCACTGTCTCAGAAATGTCAAACACATTATGCGGGAATATTGGGAGTCTGTGTTGAGGCAGAAAAGACTTGATTTCCAGTTAATAAAATTATCAGTACATACACCACATAAAAATGCCCTGCCTAGCAGACTGCACACCTCAGAGAAGACCCTGGGAGCCCAGACACCCCCAAGCAGCACACCCTTGTAAATGCTGGTTAATAGCGAAGCTGTGAGATGTTGCTCCCCCAGCCTACCCGCCCCTTCAGGACACATGATTAATTGTAAACCTGGAAGAACATCCACATATGCAGAGTGGAGGGAGTAGGGACAGTCACACTGGAAGCTCCTACCTAAGTAGTAACTTTTTTGCCCTTTTCTTGATCCAAAAAATATAAATGTGTGGAGGATGTTAGATAGAGAATTTCTCATCTTAGCTGCAAATGCACATGCAGACAATAAGACTGCAAATTCCAACCAAGCCAGGCTAGGAACCCCTCACTATAAACATCCAGGCCCTTTGGCCCTTCTCGGGAAGGCATTCTAAAGGATACTTGGATCTGGGCCATGTGTGTACAAATTGTTTGCATACATGTACACACACTGCGCAGAGTATAATTTTCTGTAACTTTTTATGAAGATATGTGCTACACTGAACAACTACGATAAACCGATTTCATAAAATTATAAAATGATCTTTATATATTCCTTGGAAGACGATTAGTCAACATCTGTGATTTGCGCTGGTCTGGAAAAGCATCTTTTCAGACCTCCAAAGAGAGATGTGCTAGAACCCTCCTCAGTCACCTCTAGGAGAGCTTAACAACTTTGTCACTAGAAAGTTCTTCCTTAAGCTTACACCCATTAAACTGTGGCTTAAACCAGCTCCCTCTATCCTATCAGAATCAGTATCACATTTGCTTTCTTTTGGCAAATTCCAATTTTTCTTTTCAGTACTGGTAGTAACCAAGGACTTCTTGGCAATAAGAAGACAGCATGCAGACTTATTTGAAAACAAATAGAAATCATGAATGAGGATCTTTTACTACAATCTAGACTTAATGTTTCTAGCTGAAGTTGAGAGTAAGAGTGTAAGTTACCCAGTCTATACCTGAATTGACTGAGAAAACTTTGGTTATTTCTACCTAACATGACCAGTTTAAACTTTAATAGTAGTCATGGAGTTTTGGCCATTCTATCATAGCACAGATTAGCATTTCTGGTGTACACGTGGGTAAAACTGAAAACCCTAAAGTTGAAGATTCAATTAACTTTGCTAAGGCCACTAAAACGACCAGTGTGTCCCTCATATGTCCTTTTCAGAGGGAATGCCAGATCTTGGCTTTTGATCCTAGCATAAACACTAATTTGCTGTGCAACCCTGGGAAAATCACTTGATCTCTCTGAACTTCCACTCTTTTTCACTTTTGAAGTGAGGGTAGCAGAATAGATTATCTTAAAGAGGACTAAGATGTCTAAGAGTCTGTCTAATAATGTTATGATGATGATGAATTGAGACAAAGCTTGTGAACTGCTTAGCTCATTGTCTAGTACACAGTAAGCACTCAATAAATGTTCACTGTCATTATCAGTTTGTTATTATATATGCACACTCTGGGCTCACCAACTTGAAATAGAACTTTCGGTCCTATTCCATTGTCCTGTAAGGATGTTACCCTTGAGCTCCAAGATCAAGCAATAGGTAAGTTTACAATAGTTGTAGAAAACTCTATCTTTAACCATAAGTCTGTGAAACTTCAGAATCATGGGAGTGGCATATAATAAAGCATAAAAAGGCCCCATGAAGTCATTAATTTAGTCTGTTCCTTTGTGATTGGGCAACAATGACTCAAATTAGACCAGTTCTGTGTCTTCATTACTTGATCGCAAAGTGTGTCAAAGACCTACCCTGGGTCCTGCCTAAATACTACTGTATGTGGTTTATATCATTCCTTATGACCACCTGACACTTTCCTTCTCCTGTGCACATAGGAAGACCATATGTCCCCATCCCCCTTGCAGTTGGGTTAGGGCCATGTGGCTTAGTTCTGGCCATTAGAGTTTAGCAGTGGTGATATACCCATTTTCAGACCTAATCCTTAAGAGCATCCATGAGACATTCCATCCCTCTTTTTCCCTTAGTTGCAACTGTGGAAGCCACATGCGGAAACAACGAAGTGATAAGATGGAAGCTACCTGGATCCCACACAGAACAGCGCTGCCTTGAAATGCTGCCCAACCCACACCGAACTTGACAAAAGCAAGAAATAAAGCTTCACAGTATCATGCCACAGGTGTGTCAGGGTTTGCTTCTGCAGTGTAACTTATATCCTAATTAGTAAGAAATCTGGCTCTTCAACATATTAAGGGAATGGACATTTATTAAGTGCCTACAGTGTTTGTCAAACTGTGATGCAACCCATTCCTTGGTCATAAAATCAATGTAGTGGGTTGCAATCACCATATCCAATGAAAAAACACAATATAATAGAAACTATCAGGGAGCATTTTTAGACTATAGGTTAAAATTGTTTTATGAAATGTTTGTTTTCATTTTACAAGTGCACGTATGTAGTTGTTTGTGCCGGCTCATGATGTAAACTGTATTTCTTACTGTGGTTCATGGTCAAAAATGTGAGAGTCTCTCAAAGCAATTTTATAAGGTTGGTATTATCTCCACTTCATAGCTAAGGGCACCACCATTCAGAAAGGAACAAGTGATTTTTCAAAGTCACACAGTTACTAAATTGTGGCACTGGCATTTAAGCCAAGCTCATGTGCTGCTTCTTCATCACAGCTGGTGCAACCAGCAGCCTCTGGCCCAAAACCACATCAGCCAGCTTCCTCCTGGGTCTCCTGAATGTGCAACCTCCAACTTTACCTGGCCCTTTGCACATTTTTAGGAGCCATTTGTGAGCATTTCAATAGCTTCTATTTGCAAATATTTTAAACAGGTAGTATTTTAAAACACACGCCTAGCTATAAAATAGATCAGTTTATATTTGATTTCTCCCAAGTGGTACCTTGAATACCACAGAAGGAAAACCCAGGTTACTTAGGAGAAATGTTGGCTGATGCCAGGCCAATGATGGCAAAAGGGGGTCTGATATTTATAAATCACAAGCATAAGACAGAAAAAAGAGAAACCATCCATTCTTATAAGGCAGATGAGGTAAAACAGAAAAACTTGAACTCTCACAAGGCCTATCCGTTTCACTCATTCTCATTGATTCCTTAAGTGCATCCGTGGGCAATTCTAAACTAAAATATGGATGCTGCATATCATGAAAGTCCATTTTAAATATTCCTAGGAGCTTTGCCCCCTTTAAATATCAATCCATGTGCTTGTCAGCTTGGCTTCTAGGAAGTTCAGGCCTTGATTCGTTTGGGGAATGTAAACATTTTGCTGCCCAATTTGGAAGTTGGAAGCACCATTCTCAGTCTCATTCTTGGACACAAGGCAGGGCGCCATGGCCACCCGACTGGAGAAGTTCGGGGTCATTTGTTCAGGTTTTACTTAGCATGGGCAAGAGACATGGTAATGTCAAGTTCATCTTTAACCCTTAGTAAAAGGGCCAGAATTCAAAACGAGCTCAGGAAGGTCATTCAAGTCTTGGCTGGCAGCTTCCCACGGAGCTGAGTCATGCTTAGAAGGTGGTGTGGTGCAAGATCTCTAGCCTTTTGGCCGGCAGAGGAGCTTCCTGCACGCAGGGAACCAGGCCCAATGCCCACAGGTCAGACAGGTAACAAAATGAACAGGATTCTAAGAACACTTCTCACTCACTTTAAGTGCGGTCTATTCTATTCCAGCACAGCCTAACCAGGATAGCTGCCAGAGACAAACCTTTTAGCTTGCCTCGAGGTCCCCCGAAGAGCCACAGTCAGAAGGCTAGCAAGACTGACTTTGTAACCCCCACACCCTGTCTGGGCAGCTCCACCCTCAGTCTGACATAGCAAACATACGTGGACACATCATGACTCCCAGCCCCTTTCCGGCTTACAGAGTGGTCCTGGAGGCAGGATCTTTCATGTTAAATACTTCCAGCTCAAATATTCCATCAGAAACGTGTGGGCCCCATCTGGGCTCACATGTGCTGGCATGGCCTCGCCCACACCCCTCCTTATCTACCCCCAAGACATAACAGTCTGATGTTCCCGCTCTTCATCCCTGTCTCTTTGGGAAGGGAAGATGTTACTCACTAACCTAATGAATGTATTTAAAAATTGCAGCTGACTGCCATAGTAAATTCATGTCATGTTTTTTATGATAGATAATATTTCAGAGACACAGCTCTGAATGGAACCAAAGAAAAAAAGGGGGTCTTCTTAGAAAAACAATTTCTGTTCGGAAACTCAGCCGCCCGGCTTTCAGCTGTTACTTCTATAGAAAAAACACATTCTGAATTGTGGCAGGCAGGCGACAAAGCCAGCAAGGGACTGGTACATAGAAGGACTTTTTGTGTAACTTACACCTAATGTGGGAAACTCCAGTCATGGTGCTGCACCTTTAAATCTCATTAAGCCCTTTCTAGGTATCAAAGGTGGGCCAGTCGTGCCATTTCCTGAGTCCTGTCAAGCACGGTTACAGGAAATTGACAAAAGAGCTTCCATTAGCCTGGCCAAAATTCACGTGGCCCTATTATTAAGATGCTGCCAAGTTTGATCACCCTCTTAATCTATCAAGACTCCAAAAGGATAATCTCTTAAAAGCTTCCCCCTTTCCCACCCTTCCAACCCCCAAGTCTTTTTCTTTGTGGCTTAAATCAAGGTAAGTTGATTTTGCACAAAGTTTGGAGGGAAAACATGCTGGTAGTTGGTAGCTGACAGGAAACAAACACGAGACTTTTCTACCTGGAAACTGTTCCCTTTGATTCAAGACTGAATGTCACCACTTTGTAAAAAAAAAGATGATTAAAAAAATGCTGCCTTCCTTTTTTTTTTTTTTACCTTTTTTTTTTTTTCAACCAAGAGTCTTCTCACAGTACCTGGCACTCAAAAACTCCCATTAGGCACACCAGAAGAATACTCAAAGGGATTACGTGCTCTTTGCTGGTTTTGTTTTATAAGCCAGAGGCCATTCAAAGAAAATAGAGCCTCCCGTCCAGGTGTCCCTGCCTGGCAAAATAATGGACGCAGATTGATGTGATCTGGAGGTAAAGGACATTAACATCCTCAGACCCCTGGCAGGCACGCTGCCAGCCTGGCTCTGGAGAGGCCTTGAAGAGCAGAGCAAGACTCACTTGCACCCCTGGACATCTCCCGACGAGGGCTTTTATTTAGGGACCAGCCTATAGGCAGGTGCTCCTCCCCCTCATAACAGAATGGGCATGCAAGACAGACTGCCTGCATTATTGGTTTAAGACGGCCAGCTGACAATACACTGCACCTCCTTTTATTTATTTCCAGAAGGTACACCTTTCTCCAAACTGAATTGTCTTTGATTTAAAAGCAGGGGTGTCTTCCCCCACAACCCCCCCTCAGCAAAGGAACTGAATCCATCTCGACACAGCTGCTCAAAGGCTGGCTGGTGGCTGTTACCTACTGAGGAGAGCTTTTGTGCTGCCCAAGGGAAGATAAGGACCGCACTGTGCACATAATTTTTGATCATCCCTGTTTAAATATGCTGTGTGTCAATCAGAGAAGTTTGAAGAACATTATAATTACAAAATATATTCCTGCTCTATAATCAGTATTGTTTGTTATAGTGGACTTAGCAGTGATAACAATTTCAATATGTAATTCACGGAACTTACAAACACCTATTTTACATGTATGTTCAGGAAATATGCTGGGAAGAAGGAGAACAAATCAAAGGGAACTGCACTGGTCAATGGCCTGTCTGATGCAGGGTTGTCCTCTTGCGATGGCGACAGTGACGATACAATGGTAATAAACTGTCCCCACCTTGCAGACATTGTGTGGCCAGAACTCCTTGCCCCAGAACACTGGGTCAGAACACATTAGGTTCATTAAGTAATTGACAATTGCCTCAATTTTACTTTCACTTTGTGTGGGATTTTTCAGGACTCAGCCTAAGTCAGGCAGGCATCCACAGTCACCTTCAAGTTGCGCGTATGTGTGTGTGTGTTTTGTTTTTCTTTTTGTTTTTTGAGACAGAGTCTCGCTCTGTCACCCAGGCTGGAGTGCAGTGGGGTGATCTTGTCTCACTGCAGCCTCCACCTTCCGGGTTCCAGCGATTCTCCTGCCTCAGCCTCCCGGGTAGCTGGGATTACAGGCAAGTGCCACCACCCCCAGCTAATTTTTGTATTTTTAGTAGAGACAAGGTTTTGCCATTTTGGCCTGGCTGGTCTCGAACTCCTGACCTTGGTGATCTGCCCACCTCAGCCTCCCAAAGTGCTAGAATTACAGGTGTGAGCCACTGCGCGCCCAGGTGTGCGTGTTCTTAAGAGGCCAAGGAAAGAAACAAGAGAGGAAGGCCACCAAGACACCTGGATTGTGCCTCTAAGAGGTACCTCTAAGTGGCAGACTGGATATAAATTTTAAAAGAGGTCCCTGATACACCCTCACCCTTCTCTCCACTTTGAAACCTGGTTAGCAAACCCACTCACTCAGCTTCTCCCCACCCCTGGATGGCTTCCTTCACGCTCGCCTCCCACAGGGCCCCCCTACTTTGACATCAGGATCGTCCACTAGCACTCCAGGCCTGGAGAATGGACTGCACAGAGTTTGCTGCCTTCCTGGGAGTCCCTCGTGAGCTATCACAGTGAGGCAAGCTCCAAGTGAGAAACAGTTTGCCTTCACTGACTTCCTTTGACCTACAGAGTCAAACACACACATTTTAGGCTGCCAATCCCATGCTGTCCACCATCTGACCCCAGCCTTGCAATTCATCCTCCCTATAAAAAGCCCTCTTATTCACAATCCCCCGTACCCTGCTGGGAGTTCCTGCCACCGCCTCTGCTTGTGCCCTTTCTCCTGCTCTGAGGGCACTCCCTGGCCCTCCCACTCTACTCTCACCCTATCCGTCTAGATCCTACCAGTACTCACCCATAGCCTACCTGCTCCCAGAACTCCACACCAGGACTGAGTTTCAAAGTCTCTCATTTGACACTTGGTATACCCCCTCTTCGGTGGAGTTGCAGAATTCCAGAATGGAAAGGGGACTTACCCATAACCTGATGCAGCACCCTTCCCTTGTTCTTCTGTTGACAACTCCTACGTGTAGACTCAGTTTGCCCAATTCCCAGAACCGTGATCGTGCCCCTAGCCATGCACCTTCCTGTGTTCTGTAGTGCATGTTGCCCATCTGCTGCCTCTCCCTGCTCTCTCCAGAGCTTCCACTGGTGGCCCTCCCAGTAGAAGAACATGAAAGAGCTGGCAAATAAAATCCCTGCTGCCATATTGATTTAGGTTGGCTGACAGCTCTGAGGCTGTAAGTTCTCTTTTTACTATCCACAACGTATAGCTTTCTCCCAAGTAAATTACCTATTATTTACAAGACGGGTTGTCCTCGTCCCACCTTTATCTCTTTTCCCCAACTCCTCCCCACAAAATGAATCCTTGTCAAGGCAATAGATGTCTTCCTTAATTGCCACAGTTTTTCTTCCCAATTGTAGCATCACTGGCTTTCCGTTCAAGATCCCGAGTTCTGGACCATGTGCCAGGGAGAGATAAAATCAAATACCAGGAGATGAGTTACAGAGGGAAGGAAGCAGGAGCCGTGCTCCTCTGTGAGTCCTGGTCTGTACTTCCCAGACTGCACCGCACCCCATGCTCCCGTCAGCCCAAAGTGCCGCCCACACGAACGCCAGCTTACTTCTGATACCCTCATTTCCTCCCACGTCTAATGTTCACCTCACCAGGCCTTGTCTGCTTTGTTCTCAGAGTTTAGAATCATTTTTTTTGTTTTGAACAAAGCCACTGTAACTTATTAAGGTAGTCCCATGAGAACACATAAGGAGATATGCAGTATATGTTTAATTCAGGGGTAACATCGACTTGGAGTAGAAAGGGAAGGTTTCATGGAAGAAAGAGAATTTGAAATGGGCCTGGAAAGACAAGTGGGTTTGTACAGAGCATTTCAAGTAGAGGACGTGAGGAGACAAAGTCACAGGAGTAAGATCCAATATGGCGGCAGACAATCGACCAGGACTGAACGTGAACTACAGAAGCTCCTCGACAACACACCTACAGATGGTCACCAGCGATGCAGTAAAGAGGCTTTTCACCATCACTTGGGCGAGTGGAAAGAAGGGGGTGGGCAGGAAGAGAAGGATGGAAGGTGGAGACCCCTAGGAACACAAAGCAACCAAATGTCACTCCTGGGGCACCCAGCCAAATGCAGTGGCCTATCAGGGAACTGACGGTGAGCGTTGGGAAGGGCCCTGGGGACATTTTTCCTGCCTTGTCCCCCTCTCTGCTAGCACTAGCCACAGAAGGGATAATGAAATATTAATTCTATCTGATCTGGGGCCACCCAAGCAGGATCATGTTACATGATACTTTAATGACCACAATTCAGGCAACACAGCCTGGCTGTGAAGGAGGAACTCCTCTCCCAGCCCAAATCCAAAAGGTGCTCACGTTACAGGAAGGAGCAGGAAGTGGGGCCCAGAAACGGATCATGGGACCCCATGGATGCCCCCAGGACCCCTGAGATCCTGCTCAGTCCATTCGAAATAGGAAGACATCCACTACTTTCCACGTTTTTCCTCATCGCCACTAAGGTGAGCTGTTCTTCGGCATAGTGTCACTCCAGAACTAATAAAACGTGAAAGTCTAATTGTATTAGCAATTTCCCATCATATTCTATTAATATGTATCATATTGGTATCCATTTTCACTAATGTGACATGAGAGGCAGTAATGTGATTACTTTTTTAGTGGAAACAAATGCTAATGTAATTAAATGTTGACCACATAGGCTAGGAGATATGGCAACCACCAGGTATTTGGGACTTTCTTCCTCTAGAAGAAAGAAAGGGGCCGGACGTGGTGGCTCACGCCTGTAATCCCAGCACTTTGGGAGGCCGAGGCGGGAGGATCACGAGGTCAGGAAATCGAGACCATCCTGGCTAACACGGTGAAACCCCATCTCTACTAAAAATACAAAAAAATTAGCCGGGCGTGGCGGTGGGCTCCTGTAGTCCCAGCTACTCGGGAGGCTGAGGCAGGAGAATGGCGTGAACCCGGGAGGCGGAGCTTGCAGTGAGCCGAGATTGCACCACTGCACTCCAGCCTGGGCAGAGAGCAAGACTCTGTCTCAAAAAAAAAAAAGAAGAAAGAAAGGAAGCAGAGGAAGAGGGAGGTGTCAATCAGATTGGACAAAAATTTTTCAAGCAGACCATGGAAATCTATGGTCAAAACCTGCCACCAAACGAGCTCTTCTCTAGGACAATGCCTGGCGCACAGTAGGTTCCTGGGGTGAAGTGGGAGGCGAGGCAACGTAGAAATAGTAACTTGGTTGTTGATAGTGAGAGATCTGGCCTCATATATTCTGGAATCTAGCTGGGAAACTTTGGGCAAGTTAATTGCTTCAAGCCTTAGTTTAACCACTTGAATAAAGGAAATAATAGCAGCACCAAACTCAGTTCTTATTAAATTAAATGACATCATCCTCTTAAAGCACTTAGGCACAGTTTCTGGCACATGGTAAATGGTCACTAAATGGTGGAAATTATTGTTGTGGTAAACGCAAGAGCAGAATAGACTCAAATGTTTTGTCCAGTGATGTCAGTTCATGTTCTGCATGTCACCCTTTCAAATATGCCTTTGTTGTCCTAGAATAATTTACTTTTTTTAGAAGACTCAGAAGGAGATACCACATTCAAACTATAAGCAAAGAGAACATGGGAAATGGGAAGCAAGCCTACCCACAAACCCTTCTGAATTCTGTTCTCTACTGAGCTGAGAATGAGTGAGAGCTTAAGGCTCAAATTTCCAAACAGACCAAATACCATTTTGGAGAGTTAAAAAAAGTGTTGTTGTTGTTGTTGTTGTTGTTGTTGTTGTTGTTGTTGTTTTCATCCAGGTCCTTTGTTCCTTCTTCCTGCATAGTTCAGAAGTGAAAACCTAAAACCCATTTTCTCCCTACTGCCCACCAGGAAACAGAAGGGATGTTTACCTAGAGTTGCAGTCATTGCCAGGGACACAGAGGGTGTGCAGTGAGCACCCAGCACTGCTGACCCAGGCTGCTAACCAGCTAGGCAGCACTCCAGGTGACATGTGGCAGAAGGGCCTTTCTGAGACTTTTCCCAGCCGGGGCACGCAGAGGAGAAGAGCCAGGGATGACGGAGCAGACCAGAGGACCACTTGCGGTTGATTCCCAGCAGGATCAGAGCAATACAATATAGATTCTGGCTACCCAAGGCTGCCCAACGATTTCTGCCCAGAGTGGCACTATATCACTTCCAAGTTCCCTTCTCACTGGAAGAGCCTCTGGCTCTATAACACTGGCCTGAGAGAAACAAACCACTGGTCCATCAACTTTGACCTCTAACAAGCAACTCAGAGCTTTTCCGTCTTTCAGCATCCCTAAAACAAAGACCTTTCCCTGGGACATTTGGAATGCGCATCTGTAAAATGGGAATGGGCTTGTCCAAGGTGACTGGTCCTGACCCTCGAGGTCAGGACACATCAAAAATTTCATTTTCTACATCAGAGGATTCCAAACACTTGGAGGCCTACATAACTTAGAATTCCATCTGGCTGGTCTTCTTATAAATAGGGTTTATGTGCTGAGCATTTATGCTAAGCACTTTATTTAATACTAACATTGACTCTCTGAGGAAGGCACTATTAACCTCCTTTTATATATAAGGAAGCTCAGACTCAGAGAAATTAAGTGACTTGCCAAAGGCCAACAGCCAGTGACGGATAGAAGTAAGAACTGAATCTAGGCTGGCCCTAACCCCGGTATTCTTCTGCAGAGACCACCTACCTTTGTGGGGAAATGCCTTTTCTTGCAGAAGTTGCTGGAAGCTCACTGAGGGAAGGGGTCGCATTTCACCAAATCCAGTGAAATCAGGAGCTCTGTGTTCATCCCTGCCTCCACCTCTCACCAGCTCTGTGAGCCTGACCTGTGATTTGACCTGTCTGAGCAAGGAAGCCATGTGATTTACAGTCCAGACCAGGATGTATCTGAGAATGAGAGGAAGCACTAATCAGACAGGACACTGGGAGAACAGACAAACCGGGACTGTCCTATGAAAATGGAGACATGGTCACAAAGCCTCGCACACTCAGTTGCAAAATGAGGAGTTTGGATGAAACCTCAAGGTCATCTCCTTGTGAAAAAGGGAAGGTATATGCATCTGGACAGCTCACCAGGAATACAAAACGGGGACTGTGGAAGGCCAAATGAGTACACAGAAAGCAAATGTTTTAGCAGGAGTGCATTTGTTCATGTATTGCTTAAATTCTGAAAAACATGACAAAACACTTAAAAGAAAAGTCACTTCTAATTTTCTAATCTCACTGACTATAACTCCCTTGGAGTTTAGTGCATTTTCTCTCCTCATTTTTACTTATGTTTAAGAGAACACCGTTAGATATAAACATACATCTCTTTTTAATCAAAAGAGAGTAATAGTGTTCCACGCATCAGCCTGCAATATGCTTTTCCTCATGTCAGCTTTGCCTAGTAAGGTGATAGCTGTATTATATTCCACTGCATGGATGAAATCATACATCTGACCATTTCCCCTATTTCCAAACATTTAAATTGTAACCAACTCTTTCACAAACCAACTATTAACAATGTCATTAGAGCCTGGGCATGGTGACTCATGCCTGTAATCTCAGGACTTTGGGAGGCCATGGCAGAAGGATCATTTGAAGCCAAGGGTTTGAGACCAGCCTGGGCAACAAAGCAAAACCCCATCACTATAAAAGAAAAGTCATTATACATATATCCTTAAACATATACAATATTGCTGATATTATCTTATGCTTAGGTGCTGGATAAGAGCATTTTCAATTCTTACAGACCCAACTACACTACTCACCCAAAAGACTGTACCAATTTACATTCCCATTCCCATTCCCACTGACACTATATGAGTCTGCCCATTTCCTCACACACTTATCAGCATCAAGTTGTTTTCATTTTTCGCAATCTGCTAGTTGAAAATATATATATAATATTGTTTAATTTACATTTCTTTAATAACTAGTGAGGTTGAGTATCTTCTCAAATGTCTCTCAGCACTGGTATGTATTCTGTAAATTACCTGTTCATACTTTTGCTCATTTTGCTACAGGTTGTTGATCTTTTGCTTTCTGCTTTTTAAGACCTCTTTGTATACTAAGAATATTAATCCTTTATATGGTATGCCAATGTCTCCTTCCAGTTGGTCATTTGTCTTTTACATGTGTTTGGGTTGTCTTTTGTTATATAGAAAAGTTTTGCCTTTATTGAGTTCTGTTGTATCTATTCTTTCTCTAGGGGTTCCCATCTTCCTCTGAAAGGCATCCTATCCCCAAGTTTATTACAATTTTGTTCACAGTGAAAGTTCAGAGCACAAGTAGACTTCTGGAGTCATCCTGAAAGAGGGCTGGGCTGTAGTGGAGGCTTGCAGGCCTACAGAGTTCTGGGCCAGGCCAAGGGGCACACAGGCAGCCAGGCTTCTTCTGCTTTTCTCTCAAAATGTTCCAAAGGGCAGAGAAGAGTAAATCCACACTGCCAAGGGACAGGGGCCCTAGCTCAGAATTCCAGTGGAAGGCAAAAAGTTTTTAGAAATCCTGGGTTTCATCTTATTTTCTACTCCATGATTTAGTGGTATCTGTTTTTCTATAGAAGTCATATTTTGGTGACTAACCAACTAAAATATTTAACTTTTCCTGCTTGAAATCCACTAGGCTGATGGGGCAGCATTGAGTCCTTGGCAGTAACTGAACCCCAGTCTGAGATGCACCAATGCAACAGGGCTCTGCAAGATTTACCGAGCTTTCCCAGTGTTCACATTACTGTGAACATTACACCAAAGCAGAACTGAGGGACACTGTCCAGTTGACAAGTTTCACAGTTTAGGAAGCTTAAAGTTCCTTCCAGGATATGTCATCATGGCATCTGACCAGAGTACTGGTCCAGAGCAGGAGCAAAGTCTGGCCTTTCAGGACCTCTTTCCAATGCCTCCCTTTCCCATCCCCTCTCCTCCCCTTCCTCCACCAATGTGCCCCAGCTCCTTCACCTCCCTTCCACTCATCCCAAACTTTTCTTGTGATCCCCAAACTCATCTAGTTGCTCCACAGTTTTCCAGCATATTCCTTAATGAAGCAGCTTTACTCCTGCCTGCTTCAGAGCCACAGATTGCAGACCTGCACTCAGCCATCCAAAGGCCTAGGCAAGAAAAGCCCAGGATACATGGAATGTGGCATCTCCCGCTAGGACAGGTGCTGGGGCAGAAGGTTGAGTGTTGACGCTGCACTGATTGCTCAGAGGCACCTTAGTTACCCTCAGTCTCCTGATGGGCAAAATGGAGCTAACAACAGAGCTACTTTGTAGGCTCTAAGGAGGATTAAATGAGTCAATATGAAGTCCTTCAAACAGCATCTGTCACAAAGTAAGCATTCAACAAATGTTAGCTGTTGTCAATATTATTCTACTATATACAAATGCTCAGTTAGGATTTGTCAATTAATGAATGAGTCCTGTGCCACCACTTTCATCCACAAGAACAAGTGCCCCCATGCCCCAGGTGTTCCAAACCAAGGAGGGATAGAGGCTGGAGGGGGCGGCAGTGGGTGTTAAGCAGATATGTTAGGATAAGTAACTAGCTTGCCTGTCACATGGCACTTGCATCCTAGGCTGTTCCAAAAAAGAACAGCAGGAGATCTGTGTCTTGGTTTGCATCACTCCCAGCAAAAAAGATTTGGATGAGAAGAAACCGTCCTCAGAAGGACTGATTTTTTCAGATGGATTTACCTGGTGTCAGTTCACACCTTCTCAAAGTCTGACATTCCTTCTCTTGGGTTGATCCTGTAGGGCTCCCTCACACTTTTCACTCTCTCTTTTCAATTCTGAAGCAGCATTGCGATTTGCCACTGCTGTACCGTTTTCATTCCAACGGCCCGTAGGGTCCTATTCCCAGCATGGCCCTACCGCTTGCTAAATGACAAAAGATCAAAGCTTTCATAAAGCCACAATGAGAAGGAAAGGGAGATCAGGTTATCTGGGCCATTCACCATCCACATACCCAGGCCTGTGTGCACTCATTCGTGTACACACACACACACACACACACACACACACACCCCTCTGCCAGATTATAAATTGCAAAACCAAACAAGCCATAAACTCTTATGAGGGACAAGAGGGAAAAGCCATGCCGAGAAGATAACAACAACAATGTCAAATTTCAGACATGACCAGATTTTGAGGGGAGAGGTGAGGGGGGGTGGTTCCAAACCAAGGGTTTGGGATAGAAAAGCTGACAGCCCCTTAGAACTAAAGCAGCTCGACTGGGTGCCACTATAATAAATCAAAATCAGTTATGTAAAGTGTAAAATTATCATTTGGAAATCACTCTCTCTCTGAATAATTCAATCATTGACTTTCACATCAAACAACCATTTCAACCACCCACACACACAGTTCAGCCTCACACTGGTCTTAAACTCTCTTTAATTATCAGCATTAACCTATCACATTACTATTTCATTCCTATTTCATCCTGGGGGAGGGGTCAGTGATTATGATAAATCACAATGAACAAGAAAGACTTTGAGCTGTCCTTCCACACGGCTCTGGAGTTCCCTTGATCTGACGGTGACAGGTCTGCCTTTGTCCCAGGAAGGGACAAGGACAGATAAGCAGCCTCCCTCTTGACAAATGCATTACGGATGCCAGTCAGGAGAAAAAGGCCAAAAATGCTTTAGAACCCAGCTCTGCAGCCATGCGTGGCTGTCTCCCATGCTTACACCTCAGGCTGGGCAGGGGTATCAACTTGCCTCTCTGGTCGGTGGGTGGAACATGGAAAACCAGGTAAACAAGTTTCACCTGCAGCCTGGTTCTCATAATACCCCCACGGGCAACCGTTACCCTAAAATAAGAATAAAAAACAACAATTTTTTAAAGACATGCATTTGTCTAAAGTTAATCACTTACCCCCTGGAAGAACAAATTAGCCACAGATGGTGAGTTGCCTATTATATTTTTTAGTGGGGGCTCTGGCCCTTGCCTTAGTGATCCCCAAGAAAGCGGGAGTGCACAAGAATGGACATAAAGTGAAATATTTCACTTAGGAAAAAAGGGGTTTCCTCTGTTACTGGTATGGAGTCCAGTTTCCTAGTTCTGCATATTTAGGGGTGTCCCCACATACCTCTCCCTCCCCCTTACCTATCAGAGCTTCCAGTTTCCATATATTTAATAGTGAAGGGCAATCTAACGAAAGGGTAAGAATGTTTTTGTAAAGATGTTCATTGCAACACGTTCAGAGGGAAAGAAGAAAACATCTTCAGTGTCAACCTTGGTGCATAGGTTAAATAAATTGTGCCACATCCATTCAGTGGACTGCCTTTCAACCGTTGAAGATCATGTTGTACATGTGTATTTATAAGCAATAGAAAGCTGTTCATAATAGACTATTAAGAGAAAAAAAGTGAATCATGTGAGACCATATAAACATGTTTGATTCTGTTTTTTTTAATATGTAAGAAGGAGAACAAATTAAGTTAGGCTATGTTCGAAATTCTAATCATGGTTACATCTGTGTACTGTTATTATTAAAGGTGATGCTTACTTCTCATGCTCTACTTTTATTTCTATTCCTGTTTTCTAATTACTCTAAAAAAGAGCAAATGAATAGAGTGGTTCAGACGACTTCTTGGATCAAATCTACTTCTGCCACTTAGGGATATGACCTCAGGCACATTATTTAACATGACAGCCCCTCAGTTTCTTTATCTGTAAAATGGAGAGATAATGATCTGAACTTCAGGATTACTGTGAGGATCAATTGAGTTAATTTCGTAGAGTGCTTAGAAATGTGGCTGGCGCATAGTAAACACTATGCAAGTGTGAGCTATGATTATTAAGATCATCACATATTTCTTGCATAATTGAAAACTAAAAACCTGGGGCCACAGGCCAGCTGTTGAATCTTAGGCACATCCACATCTCTTGGCATGAGTGTCCTCAATAGTAAAATGAGCAAATTAGATAGATGACCTTAAAGGCCCGTCCCCATTCTGTGATGACATAATTCAACAGGGATGCTTCTATTGGGCCCTGAATGTAGCACAGAGGTGAAAGGGAACACTACATAGCAGGCTTACAGAGGGGGCTGGTGGGAAGAGAACGAGATGGGGCCTGTGGGATAGATCAGAGCCCCGCAAGCTTTGTGGAGTGCGGGGGAAGGAAGACTGCAAGAAAGCCAGCCAAGGCGGCTGCCTCTCCACTCAACTATGTGATTAAGTGACTGGCTTCTGTTTTTCACAAAGCCAGTCTCCAGCTCAAAGAACCTCAGGGACTATTTTAAAGACAAGTTATTCCTTTGTTTTTAATTGTAATTAAGTAGGTATTTTATAATATTTAAATGGTGCAATTTACATGTCACTTCCATGATGCGCTGGGTACCCTTCACCAGAAGGAGAGAACGTAAGTTTAAGAGGACTGCTGTGTATTATTTTGTGACTAGGGAAGTGCATTTATGCAATTGTGAGTAGAACGGAGATACTGGGATATTTCAAGACTTCATTAAACATGCCAGAACTTTAACAAATTTACTTGGAGCCAGTTTATTCATGTTAAGATTTCATTCATCCTTCTTCCCATACTTTGACAAAATGTTTAAGTTAGTTTCTCATTTTATTTGTCTACTGAGTTCCCTAAGTTAGGGAAATTAGTATTGTGTGTGCGGTTTGATTTAATTAGCAATTGGGGAAATCGGCCTGGCATGTTTCATGGAAGCTTGGGGAAATTGTCAATTAGCATTGTGTTAATTGGTGTCTGCCATCCTTGCTTTTTAGTTTTTAACCCCTTTTACCTTGTTCCCTCTTTCAGCATGTAAAATCTGGCTGTTTATTATTCTTTAAATAAAGGATTAATTGCCTGAATTCCTGCCTCTGCTCCGTGTCCTTTTTCTCCCTGAGCAGATGGGGAGTTGGGCAAGCCCGTGGTGGCGGCCTTGTTTCTTTCAGGCCCTCGTCCTCGCTGGCATAGGAGGAAGTGCTCTCTCCCACACTGCCCCACGCCCAGGCTTAAGCCTCCTCACTGCCATTTTCAATGCCCGGTGGAGCCTCCCTGTCCACAATCCCCGAAGACCCCACCTGGCTCTCAGGAGACACCCACTGTTCATTCTTCTGGAGTCTGTGGCTGATGTTTCAGATTTGAGCCACTCCCTTCGTCTGACCCAATCAGCACCCTCCTCAAGTGAAGCTGAGGGAATCTTTCCAAAACAGGGAAGGAAGTGTATTTTTATGGAGTGCCTCCTGAGAACCAGGATCTTTTAATCTCACAACATCTCCCAAAAGGTAAGTTTACAGTAAAGAAGCTGGAATTCAATCCCACTTGTGGGATTCAAAATAAGACTTTTTCCATCATGTTTCACATTGTATTTCTAGATCCTTGTGGTCCATGTGGTCCCAGTAGTGTGAGTTTCGCTGGGAACTTGATAGAAATGCAGAATCCCAGGTCCCAATTCAATCTACTAAATCAACATTTGCATTTAAGACTCCCCAGGTGATTCACATCACATCATATTAAATGTGCGAAACACTGGCCTACCACATGGCTTGGCCTCTGTTACGCTAGAGTTGCGATTAAATGCTAAAGTGCTTGTTGTACTCCAGTATCTGTTGTCTTCTCTGTCCACAGTCGTAGAGGTTTTAACAGGGAACTTAGCTGTCCAGTCCAGGAAAACATTTCCCAGACTCCCTTGCAGCTAGATTGTGAGCATGTGACCAAGTTCTGGCCAATCATCTGGCCAAACAAATGTAAGTGGAAGTTTCAAATGGCAACTCCCAGGACAGCTCCTTAACAGAGAGCTAGCACTCTACTCATCCCCATCTCTACCCATCCTCTGGACAGGATGGCTTGAGCTCCACTCCATGTTGGACCATGAGGATGAGGGTTATACTTTCAGGATGGCAGAGTAGAAATGTAGAACACTGGGGCCCTGGGAATTGATGGGGCAGAGTCCCCCGACTTATGCAGTATTCCCTTCTCCAGACTCTAAACTTATTTTTTAATCTTTTTAATTTGTATATATTTAGGGGATATAAGAGCAGATTTTTTCCATGCATATATTGCATAGTCCTGATGTCTAGGCTTTTTGTGTATCCATCACCTGAATAGTAAACATTGTACTCAATAGGTAATTTTTCAGCCTCAACACCATCTCACCTTTTGTAGCCTCCACTAAACTTTATTTAAGCTGCTTTTTTTTGAAGTGGAGGAAGAAACCTGTCATGAATGGACAAACCAACTCCTGACTAATACAGAAGCGAAAGCCCACCTTGTCTACATAACACATAGTGCTTCCCAAATTAAAGAAGAGGTAAGGCAAGGAAATCACCTTTGTGTACCAAACAAGGACCACTGAGCAGAAGTTTCTTAAAGATGAGTTTCAGCTGAATAAACTGCTTGCCAATGATTAGAACTGTCCAGCTATGATGAACGGGCTACCCCATTGAGATAGCAAACTTCGTGTCACCAGAACTGTTCAAGCAGAGACTTCCCCAAATGCTGCAGAGGAAATTCCTGTCCTGGGTGGAATATTGATCCCTTTAACCACTAACCTCTTTTCTCCAAAGAATTGTAAAACAAAACAAAACAAAACAAAACAAAAACAAAAATACTTATTCAGAGAACAATGGATTTTAAATATTGAATGTGCCTTAGTCATTGAACCAAATTAGGAACTTCTCTCCTAGTTTCCACGTCTGCTCGTTTATCACAAGAACCCTGTGCCATTTATTTATTCATTGCCTCTCAGACCCACACAGTCCCTTCTATGCTGTCCTCTTTGTTGCTGGGGCTGGGAGTCTACACTTCACAGACTCTCCAGCAACTCCTGGTTAGACTCTGCCAAAGGGAGGCAGTAGTGAGAGATCAGAGATGACAGAGCAAAGCTTCCTACTTTTTTTTCTCGGACATCAGAGGCTGCTCTGGCACTGACTGGTAGTTGCCATAGTGGCAGTGGGATAGAGTAATTCCCAATTCCAGCCACCCAGGGCTCAGCAGCAGCACCTCCTTGGCAGTTCCAGCAGCATAGTTGTGGGCTCAGGTGCAGGCTCTAATCCAGGGAGATTAGCAGTTTCCTAATCTCTGGATATCACCTATTCTTCCTTCTGCTCCTTCACATCTATTCACCATCTCCATTTTGCTCCTCCAGCCCTTCCTACACCTTTGTAACCAATTCCTGCATTAAATCTCCTCTTCGTAAAATATCTCAGACAGTTCCTGTTTTGCTGGCTGGACCCTGAAGGATGCAATCACCAGCACTCAAGGGTCTCTCTTCTCCCCTGAGGCCATCCTCAGTGCATGCCAGAAGGGAACATACATAAAATGAGCACCTGGCAGCAGCAGCGCCCATTGCCAGCCTCTCCTGCCCTGCCAGAACCCCCAGCTAAGCTGCCGCCTATCAGACATGGGCAAGACCGGAGTGCTGTAGAGTCTTCAAGTTAACACTGAACAATCACAGCTGATGAGGCCGCACTCTGAGGCAGATCTATGGCTTCAATTTCTCACCAGTATTTTAGCTCCCCAGGCTGGCTGTCATGTAGCGGGTCTCATTGAGAGGACGTTAAGGGATCCATTTTTCAGGAGTTGGCCTACACTAGCAGAACTCCATTTCCACGTAATATTTATGAACAAAAACCCTCAAACATGCTCCCACAGCCCAGTCCCCTAGCAGACTTAACTACTAGACAGCACCCATTTATAAACTAGCAAATGAAATCCTTCTCTTGGATAAGAAGAGCAGGAAAATTCTCTGCTGCAGATTTCCTTCAAGAGCTCCCCTGGGAGAGAGACAGATTCTGGAGAGGATGTCTCTGCCAACCCTGCCCTCTCCAGCTCAGGTTCCAGGATAAGTTCTGGGGTCCATTAGTGGGTTGGAGGGGTAAAGGTCAGGGGTGAGGAAGGAGGCATCAGAACACCAAGATAAGGAGGCTTGTAGATTTTCTATTCAACTTGCTATCTCTTATTCTAGAAAATACATTATCGACAATTGCAACCACCATACCCTCAAATCACTCCGTTGGATTGTCAACTCAGTGACTTCAAGAGACTTAAACCTTTGTGGGCATAATACATTTTGATACATTTTATACATTATCCTGTAGACATAAAAACTTATACAAGCCTATGGGACCTAAAACAGAATCCCGAGTTCAATCTTGACACAACCTCAGGATCTGAAGGGAAAGGGAGGCAGGTCCCTTGTATGGCCTTTGTAAAACCAACTGAGCTGCTTCAGAGAAGTTTAGGGGACACTCAGTAGGGATAGTGATTGTCAGTGGTGAGGCAAGGTCATGAATATTTAAAATATACTTACCATTTGTAGATGCAGCTTAGAATACACCTCAACAGTGCTGGGGGAAGATCAGTGTGTATTTGTACAAGTCCCTCTTGGTGCCAGGGTCAGCTTCAGGGGGTTCTAGGTCCTGGCTCAGCCCATTGGGAGAGCAAGTAACTGCCCACACTCAGGTCTCTAAACACCCCCCAGGTGTTGTGAGGTGAGGACAGAGTGGGGTCTTGGTGAGAGCCAGGAACTCTGGAGTCTCCTGGGGAGTCCTGACCCATACCTAGTTGCCACTGCTTCATTCCCATGCAGCTTTCCCATCACTAAGGCTTTTATTCCTGGAAAACTATTTTGCCCTATCAAAAACAATCCTTAGGAACCAAGATCAGAGTTGAATCAAATTTACTAATTGTATATTTCCTTTCTACGTAATACCCCCACCCATCTCCCCTTCTCTTCTCCCTGAATCCTAGTCCTGAGAGTTTCCACAGAGTTCCCAGTAGCCCCAGCAAAGAGTGAGAGAGGCACAAAACAGGGAAACAAGACACAAAGCATATCTACTCACTCCTCCAGACCCATGCACGATCACCTGCCAGGCCCCGGGGACCTGTCCTCCCAGCATGAGGCATCCCTCAAGGACCAGGTCTACAAAGGACATCTCCCAAGCTTTCCAGACACCAGCCAGCCCCTTTGTGCAAGAGGAAAGAACTATCTCGTGGGGAATTCTCATCAGCTGTTTCCCCTCTGCCTGAACCGAGAACAAAAGAAGGGTAAACTAGACCTACAGCTGTGAGGACAGTCATTTTGATCAGGGACTGACAGTCAAGGGCTGCTTTAATCTTGGCAGGAGGACAGAAGGTGGGCTTATTTTTTGTAACTGGTTTTAGCTCTAGAATTCTAACAAACGTAATCGCAAACTTTATGACTTACCCAAGTCTGGCACTACATCCATTCAATCCTCTATTTCCTGGGTTTACAACCCACCCAGGAAACCTGCATCTCAGATAAAACTTGGGCTCCAAATATTTGTTGGAGACAAAGCCTGTTTTTTTTAAATAAATGACCATTTACAGTTTGACAATGCAAACCAAGAGAGCACATATATGATGGCTTTCTGGGAGACTTGGGGCAGATGAGCCTGGACACTGAGGTAAATGCCCATTTGAGAATTGTTCTGGCCTTGGGCAGCAGGGGATTTCAGGCTAGCAATGAAGACATTTGAAAAAGAATAAGGTGATGATAATAATAATAGAAATATTCATGACCAATAACATATTTGCGAACCACATATTATTTTAGATGTCATTTAAAACTTGTTTACTCTTTTATTCTTAAAACTTATTTCCACCTGGATGGGCTACAGGCACATTCCGCATGCTCAAATGCATCCATCTTCTCCGCCTACCTCCCTCTACTCTGGCTCTGTTAAAGACATCAACACTCTTTCAAACGATGGAGCACAAAGCCTGAGAACAGCTGATTCACCAGATTGACACACCTTGCTTTCAAGTTCTGTGGCTCATTCCTTTGTAACACTTCACATCAAATTTTCTCTCTCCAACCTATCACCAGCATCCAAGGTAGGCCCTTGAGACATCTGTCCTGGACAACTGTAATAGCTCCTAACTGGCCTTTTCCTGTGGTCGCACCAGCTCTCAACCCATGGCTGGATGAACAGCCACAGAACTCCCCTGTTTGCCATTGCCAGTAGCCTCAGTGTTCTCATCCTTAGAAGTCTCTTTCATCTTGGTCCTAAGGACAAAATGGTGCCTCTTTATGCCACCTATTAATGCCTTCATACCAGCACAGAATCCTTTATTCACAATTCCAAAACAGAAAGAGCTCAGAAGGTGAAAAAACTGGGGGGAATTATTTGATGATAAAACTTGTCATGAGGCTATTTATAATGTTTATTTTCCTCACTTAGAATTTTCATTCATATCACTACAAAAATATTATTATCTTTGACTATGGAACACTTCTTCAGACCCCACTGGGGGTGTTATGAATTATATTTGATATGCATCATAATATCTTGCTAAATCTGAAAAATTCTGCATTTGAAACACATAAGGCCCAAAGGGTTTTAGATAATGGTTTTGGGGACTATATTAATGTGCATTAGAGTCATTACTCTCCATGTTTTATGTGTAGTTATCAATCAGTGAATCCTCAAATTGAGCACATGTTATACAGAAGGCGACTTCCCAGGCAATAGAGGCATACAATAGGTTAAAATACTTGATCCTTGACTACAGGTTTGTATAGCCATAGATCTGAGGTAGAACCAACATGCTATGGTCCCAGTGAGGGGATTTGATGGGAAAGTCATCTTCACAAACTTGATGTTCAGGAAGAATTTTGAAGAGGAGGTTTACCTACCCTGAGTGGTAAAGATGAAACAGAGAAAAAGTGATGAAGCTCCAGGAGGGCAGTCCAGGTGTGGGTGGGTAGGGCAGAAATTCACAAGAAATTCACAATTGCAGCCTAGGCAGCTATACTGGACTACTAGATTTAGGTACAATCACAAGAGAATTTGGCCACCCTTTGTATAATTTTCTTACTTAGATACTACTCCTTCTGCTGCTACCAATGTCCCTACCACAAGTGCAGCCAAAATGTCATCTGTACCCTCAACAACACTGGATGAGAAATGCTACTTCTGTTCCAAGAACTGTTTATGGAAAGTGCAATGAATGCTGGGACCATAGAAAATGTGGCTGGAGATGTAGCTGAGGTCAGATCATTAAGGGCCTATTTAGCAGGTGGTAGAGCCTAGAGGCTGAGAGTATGCCCTCAACATTTAACAGCTAAGCAACCCTGGGGAAGTTGCTTAATGCTTGTGTGTCTTGATTGCTTCAACTGCACCCTGGGGCTGCTGCCGCTGATGCTGATGAAGATGATACTACCAAATGCATTCAAGTATTGTGAGGATTCCGTGAGAATATGCATGTAAAGCCCTTAGTAAATATTCAACAAATGTTAGTTGTCGTTAATTATGTTACCATTCAAAAGAGCAAGAGAAAGCAACTGAAGGGTTGTGACATGGTCAGACTGGCATTACAGGACCTCAGGTGGACATTCAGAGTCTGCATTAAAAGGGAGGAGGCTGGAGGTAAGAAGACCAGTTAGGAGGCTTTGTGGTGATCCGGGCAAGAGATGAGACAAGGCTGAACTCACAGCCACGGCAACAGGATCTAAAGGTAATCTCTGAGTCTAATACAATAAATATCCATAGTCCATTCTGGTATAAATAAGTAATTACATTAAAAAAAAAGGTGGGGGAGAAGGGGCATCTATTTCTTACAGTAGGATTCCAATTAATAAATGTGAAAGAAATGATAGAAATAGAATATCATCATTAAGCAAATACACTATAGCTATTGTGACAGACGAGAAACATTGATAGATGCTAAACTTAGTGGGCAAAAGTATGATGGGAAACAGGATACTTACATAGTCTCAAATTATCTACCCACAAGATACTTACTAATTACAAAGAGAAAATAGTAACTCTATAGTGGACTAACCTGGCAGTCACTATCTTAACCAAGTGATCAAAGATCACATCACCAGTAGTAACACGTATTGACATTATGCATGTCCAGATAGGATATACTGAGAACACTGCCTCTGTGAGATTCCTGCCAAAAATGCAGAAAGAACATTAATCTAATTATGAGGATACATTAGAAAAACCCAAATCAGGAGACATTCTACAAAAGGACCAGTACTCTTTAAAAATGTCAAAGGCATGAAAGTCAGACTGAAAAACTCTCAAAGATTGAAACTAAGGAGAAACAACAATTCCACGCAACTTGAGATCCTGGTTTCAATCCTGAACCAGAAAGGAGGCATTCGTGAGGCAGTTGGTGAAATTCAAATGAAATCTATACATGAGTCAATAATACTGAATCAATGTTAATTTCCTAGTTTCTATGATTGTACTATGGTTACATAAGATATTATAAGATATTCACATTAGGGGAAGCTGGTGAAAGGTATTCGAGAACCTTGTACAGATTTTATAGTATTTTGTAAGTCTAAAATAATTTCAAAATAGAAAGTTAAAAACAAGCATAACTCCTTCATCTGACCTATCTTCCTGGGCATCACTTAGGGTGCTGAGTGTGGCAGCATGTGAAATTAGGTGGTCTCAAGTTGACACCTCCACATAAACTACTTATAAACCTCTCCCAGGCACATGGTCGCCATAATCACACTTGGTATTATTTATACACTTGTGCTTCTCCACCATTAGAGTGAGGACTCTTTTAAGAACAGGAGCCATATCTTACTCACCCTGGTACACCTGCCAACGAATGCTTGTTGCATGCGTTATATATCGTCAGCGCTCAATATGTTTGGAAATTTTTCCAAAGAAAATTTCCCCCAAGGCTATGTTCTTATGGTTAAGTCTGGTCTTACTTGAGAATAGTGAATAATGGAATCTACATTCACATGGCATGTTCATTTCAGGGAGCCAGACCCTCCTCATAAAATAATCATAGATAGCCAAGTTCTTAGGGGTTAAAGAGAGGAACTCAGAGAAAAAAAACTCTTCCAGAGACTATGGGGTTGGATCTCTCATCAAGTTCCACAGGGCAAACGCTAGGAAATAAAAATTCCATGTCCGTACTTGAACATCCCTCTCAAGGAGCCAATGTAAAACAGGGCTCATGCCCACGTCGCCAGCTGGGCACAGCATTCACAGCTTTCACCTGCTCTTTGGTTACCAAGATAGTGAGGCTTCCTGGTGACATAATGTTTATCATCTCTAAGGCCTTGGGACAACCTGAGGGACTTACTGCTTTTCGGAATTTTTAACCAGAGAGAAAGTGGTTTTGGTTCCAGAAAACAGGCAGAGAGGATGACAGGTCAGAGGTGAGGGGTTCTGTGGCTGCTGGGGTATAGGACTGGCCCATGGGTAACATAGTCAGTAGAAGGCAAGGAGGGAGATAGAAGTTGCAACACCGTTCTCTCCCACCCCCATCCTCTCACAGTTCACACCTGGACAGGCCTTAGATGGGTCTCTGTTGTTCTGGGGCTGAGTCTGCCTGCACCACCGGCCTGCTTAAGACAGACAGGGAGTGACACAGGAAGCAGCAGCAAGCATCTGAGTTCCCCTGGACTAAGAGGGAAGGCAGGCAGAGGAGAACTCTGGCCTTCCTGTGTTGGCCTGCCAGCAAGCCAGCCACTCAAAGTTCACTCCAAATCACCTCCCTTTGAAGAAAAGGCAGTAGGAACACTTCAACTGACCAGAAAGAAGACCCTTCTTTCTCTACTCTGTTTGATCATGATGAATAATGAAAATGTGGTTATCTATCAAAGCTGGGCAGAGGACTTCTGGAAACAATGACTGCACTTGACTCAATGCAGCCAAAGTCACCATGCAGACAAGTCCAATGTGCTGAGGCCTTGGCAGAGTTCAATGAGCCCTAGACCCTGCCCTTTAGGAGCTGCTAATCTGTCCAGCACAAACAATGTTGACTCCAGCCAGCCTCAGAATGAAACAGAGCCAAGCATGTCAGTTGTCTCTCCAACCAACTAATAATAAACACTCAGAATCCCTCCTTTATCCAAGCAATGAGGCAGGTCCTTCTGTGACCTGGGCTTGAGTGTGACTTCTGAAGCTAGGCTGCCTGGGTGCCAACTCCAAACCTACTACTCACTGGTGCAACCTTGGGTGAGTAACTTATTCTTGCTAGGCTTGTTTCCTCACCTGGAAAATGGTGATATTGCTACCCACCTTGAAGGGTTAATCCATGTAAAGGACTTATTTCAGCGAACGGTCCACAGCCAGCGCTTGGGAATTTGAGCAGTTACCCCGCATCCCCTCTCATCGAGAGGTCTGGCTGGGAGCCTCGGCTCAGTGGGTGAGATCCAGCTATTGGTCTTTATCTTCACATGCACCTTGACCCCTGACTTAAAGGGCTCAGAGAGGCACTTCTACTGCCACCCCTGAATTTGGTATAAACTTGGAAAGTGCTGATAAATCTATTTTTATTTATTTCTAATTTATACCCTGCCAGCTTCCAGAAAGGATGTAAAGTAGCACAGATAAATCTATGTAACCTCCAGTGACAGGAACCAGGGCACGCTCTTCTTCCACATCTGTCATGAAGGTCAGCCCACCCCCACCTCTTCCGAGTAGATCAGGGGATGTCCAGAGAGCAGTCACAGGAGGGAGGAGGTGTGGGCAGCTGCTGATTGAGGCAGCGCCCAGCCCAGCACCAAAGAGTCACCATCTCCCCACCCCTCCCCACTCCAGCCCGTTCCCTCCTGCCCTGCCAGCCTGCTGCTCCCATGTTTCCTGCAGCCACATCATGTCCATGCTGTCCCTGAAGACTGTAGGGACAAGGGAAATCAAGGGGCAAGCTGTCCTTCTATAACCACCCAAAAAATAAAATAAAGCCTGCAGATGAAATCAAATCCACAGTAGCTTTAAAGGGAGGGTGTGCGTTTGCTCATTTAATCATGAAAGAGCAGCCTAACAGTATCAAAAGAAGCGGGTGGGTTTCTTGGTGGCTGGTCAGTCACACTGTCCCCTACCCCATACCCCTGTACCTAGCTGCCGCTGGTGACACCCGCTCCTAGCAGCTCCACTCCCCAGAGGTGGCTCTAGCTGAGCTGCCCTTCTGTCTTTCCTCTGCCTACTCAAAGCTCCCCACCCTGCAAGGGCCTCCCTGTCCCAAAGCCCACCCTGACCTCTCCACTCACTGGCCTCTGCCTCTCTGAATGTCAGTGTCACCAACCATCTCAGCCTTCCCATAGCACTTCATCTCCTACTGACCTTCCATTTCTCACCAGCCCCACTCCCCTTCCCCATAGATGCTGATCAATAGCTTGGTAGGCTCCCAGAGAACAGGCTGATGTGGCAGCGTGCAGGGCTCACCAGAGGCAGGACATGCACTTGGGCTCATTCAAAAAACTCAGAGACTCTGCTGCCATCCAATCTTTTTGTAATGTGATCAAAGTACCCAAAAGCTAAGTGGGTAGTTCTCAAGATTTAAGGGACATAAGAATCAAACAGACGTAGAAAGTGGGAAAAGTAAGGACATGATCTTGGCTAAAATAGATTTTCAGGCACTATCCCAGAAAGTCTGTTTTAGTGGGTCCAGGTCGGGGTCCAGGAATCTGTACTTTTTTTAATTTTTTCTTTTTTTTTGAGACGGAGTTTTGCTCTTGTTGGCCAGGCTAGAGTACAATGGTGCGATCTCAGCTCACTGCAACCCCTGCCTCCCAGGTTCAAGCCATTCTTCTGCCTCAACCTCCTGAGTAGCTGGGACTACAGATGTGCATCACCATGCCTGGGTAATTTTGTATTTTTAGTAGAGAGGGGGTTTCACCATGTTGGCCAGGCTGGTCTCAAACTTCTGACCTCAGGTGATCTGCCCACTTTGGACTCCTAAAGTGCTGGGATTACAGGCATGAGCCACCGCACCCGGCCAGGAATCTGTATTTTTAATAACCTCCCCCAGCCATTCTGAGGCATGGGACCTCATCTCAGGCTCTAAGAAACAGACCTGGCCCCAGCACCTTGCGTGGGGGCAGAAAGAGAGCTGGTTTGGGCATACAGTGCCACCAGAGCAAGGCCCTGGCTCTGACACCAGGTAGGTGATCTCAGGTAGGTAAATGACCTGGCTGGGCTTCTGACTCCTCATTGGTGAAATGAGCCTCTGGTAGGAAAGGATTCCTCAAATTCTAACGGTAAAAAACAATGGCTAACATTTATTGAGCATCCATTGCGTGCCAGATGCTGTTTTAAGTATTTTCCACATATTTTTCCATTTACTCCTCAAAACAGCCAAATGAGAGGTACAAAGATTTTTATTTTACAGATGAGGAAACTGAAGAGCACAGTGCTGAGTAACTCATCCAGGCCACATGGCTGGTGATGAGGGATCCGAGATTTCAATCCAGGCAGTTGAAGTCCAGGGATAGAGCTCACCACCATGCTCTGCTGCCAGTAAGGACTTCCGGTCCAACTTCACAGAGGGAATAAGCAGGACACAGGTCATCTGGGTGGCTGCCATACTGGTCAGCCCATTCCAGGGCTCCAGCCACATCTTGGAGCTGTCTCTGGGTCACCCTACAGGCCAGTTGAAAGGGAAGTCTCACCACATGAGGTCAAATTAGCCTCGGACCCATGCGTGGGAGGGGTGCCCATTACTTATGCAAAACTGAGGAGGATTTCAAAAGCTGGAAGCTGAGTTTGCAGGCACAAGGAGTGCCCAGGCCTCCCCCACTTCAGAAGCTTTTTATGGGAGAGGACAGGACTTTAGAGGAGCAAGGGGCGGGCTGGGAACATTCCCATGAGACCAGATTGCCAAGCAGGGCTTGTCAGGGCAACAGGCCACTGCAGGCCTTTGCTGTCTTTCCCAGAACAGACAGAAAGCACAGATCACACCTCAGGCATGAAGGGGATGACCAAAAGTTCCCTGGGAGATCCCCAGGGCACTTGCCACCCCCATGAGAGCAGGAAGTCCAGGAAAGTGCCTCAGGGCCAAGGTCACCCTAGAGGGGTGGGGAGGGAGTGTGGTCCTCCCCCGAGCCATGCAAGCTGAGCCTGGGCAGATCCTGACAGGGAAGAGTGCAAGGGGCCCAGTGACACTCCCACTGTGGGCCCTGCTACCCAAGCCCCTGGCTGGGGTGCTGAAGTGTCTGTGGTATCTTCACCTCTGCTGGCGCTAGCTGTGAGGCCTACATGTCTCCCTCCTCCCCCACCACTAGGTGCCTTCCCAATTCCGCTTGTCAGAGTCCAGCTTCAACGGCCTCCATCAAGCTCATCCAGATAGCCCTTCCCATCCGCCTCACTCCAGGTCACAGACCCCTTTCCCACTTGGCTCCTCACACTCTGCCTTTGGAACCCTTCTTACATGACAGGCTTGTAGTGGGCCCAGCTTTTTGCTTAGGAGCTGGACTCCTAGGTCTGCCTGCCTGAGTCAAAAATCCTCATTCTGCCCTTCACAAGCTGTGAGACCTTGGGCAAGTCACTGAATGACCCTTAGATCCAATTTCCTCAGCCTTAGCTTAGGAATAGTAATTTCATCAGCCTCATCGGGTGGCTGTGAGAATTGCATGAATATACATAGTGGTCTTGGCATTAGTAAATGCTAAGGATTACTATTTTCCTGTTTGAATGTACATGTATTCTCCCTTTTGCTGGTATTTCCATGACAGCAGGTGTCTTCATATCTCCCAACTGCAATCATATACTCTTTTTTTTTACTTTTGAGATAGAGTTTCACTCTTTGTTGCCGAGGCTGGAGTACAGTGGCACAATCTCGGCTCACTGCAACCTCTGCCTCCCGGGTTCAAGCGATTCTCCTGTCTCAGCTTCCCAAGTAGCTGGGATTACAGGCACCCACCACCGCAGCTGGCTAATTTTTGTATTTTAGTAGAAACAGGGTTTCACCATGTTGGCCAGGCTGGTCTTAAACTCCTGACCTCAGTTGATCCGCCTATCTCGGCCTCCCAAAGCAACATATACTTTCTATGGAAGGGCTCCTGTGGGCTGAGCTAAGTCTGTGGGTCCCAGAGCTGCCCTTTAGGAGTCTCCAGGCTGAAACTTCTTGCCAGTCACCTGGTACCCTACATAAAAAGCCATTTTTGTTGGCATAAGCCTCCCTTGAGCCTTGGGCAGTTTCTGCACTCCCCTTAATCCCAGGCTTGGCAGATGCCCTGCAAAGTGAGAGGGAAATGTCCTATATTTCCTGCAGGGTGCTTCAAGGGCAGCAAAAGAAAACTAGGTGTGGGAGTGAGTGCCCACGTGCATGCACAGGTGGGGTGCCCCATGGAAGAGCACTGTGTTCTGTAGCTCAGTGCTTGTGTCTGTCACATAACTAGCAATGTGATCCTGGCCACATTTCTAACTCTCAAATTCTTGATTTCCTCATCTACCAATGAAAATTAGAATTTCTTCATACTGCTACTATGAAAATTGCTTCCAGCAAACATTTATGAACTAATCTTGCCAAACTAGGTACCAACCCTCTCTTACACAATGAATCAAAGGGAAAGGGGATTTGACCTAGAGAACCCAGACCACAGAAGAAAAATAAGCCCTATGCCTTTTATCAATGCTGTCAACAGTGAGCATGGAGTTTCCCGTGAGAACACAAACTCTAGTAATAGTGAAAAGTGCTATGAATTTAACAGTATCCACAAATTCAGTGTTTCTTCACATATCTTTACCCCCCAAGCACCATATCGTTACGTGAATGGAAGCAAAGTCAAGGCAAGTGTCAAGGATGTGTTGAAAACCAGATATTCAAAATGGTGGGCAAAACTATGCAAATGACAAGGGCAATGCTACCTTTTCAGTCCAGAAGGCAAACTTACCCTGAGAAAACATTCTTCCCCCTACACACACTCCCAACCACTTTAACCCAAGTGAAAAGCAAAGATAATTTGAAAGGAATTATTTAGAAACGTGCAAGAATCACATGAATAAAATGAAAGGGGTCTTTGTTTTATAATCCATTTAACAGCCAACAGCAGGTCTTGGCTCTTCTTCTGTAAAATGGGTACTCTAAGAGTGCCTACCTCATACAGTGGTTGAGAGAATTAATTGAGATAATCTTGTACTATGGTTTGAATCTTTGTGTCCTCTCCAAAATTCATGCTGCAACTTAATCCCCAATGCAACAATATTAAATGGTGGGGACTTTTGAAGGTGATTAGGCCATGAGACCAAGCCTCATGGATGGAATTAGTGTCTTTTTCTTTTTTTTTCTTTATTTTTTAGAAGTGAGGTCTTGTTGTGTGGCCAAGGCTGGAGTGCAGTGGCTGCTCACAGGCACAGTCATCACACACTACAGCCTTGACCTCCTGAGCTCAAGCAATTCTCCTGCTTCAGTCTCCCAGGTAGCTGGGACTACAGACAACACCACAAAGTTCCGCTTCTAAGGGATTTGTGTTTTGTAAAAGGGCTTGATGGGGCAAATTTTGCCCTTCCATCTCTTCTGCCACGTGAAGACACAGCAAGAGACACCATTTTGGAAGCAGAGAGTAGCCTTCACCAGATGTAATCTGCTAGCACCTTTATCTTGGACTTCCCAGCCTCCAGAACTGTGAGAAGTAAATTTCTATTATCTATAAATTACCCAGTCTCAGGCATTTTGTTATGGCAGAAGGAATGGACTAAGACATCTGGATAAAGAATTTAGCATGTTACATAACAAGCTTTTGACACATGTTTGCTCCCATTGCTGTTGTTTTTGTTGTTTCTGTTCTTGAATTGTTAAAATCAAAGAATCATGAATTAGGGAAATAGAAAGGCTAATCAAATGGTTCACTCTTTGGGTTGGAAATATTTTTCAAATATCTAAACCTCTTCTTCCCACAACATCTTAATCAAATGCAACTTGCATGGTTTTTGTGCATCCCATGGAAAACCCTGCCCTGGTCTCCTGACATCCGTGAGCTCCCTGAAGGGGGACAAAAGCAGAAAGCTCAAGTCAGGTGAAAAGATTGCCATTGAGGATTGGAAGAGGAGTGGCCGAAAAAAAAATGGAATTGGTCCAGAAGACACACACAAAAATAAATAAATAAATAAAATAAAGAGGGAGTGTTGCAGAGCTCTTTAAAAGGCTCACATGCCCTGCGAGAAACCTTCAAAGGCGAGAAGAATGAGCTAACCCTTCAGACCCTTTGAAATACTTATATAAATGGTGGAATCCCTGGGTCCACTCCTTCTTCAAATCCTGCCGAGTTAAGGACCCCCCACCCCCACCACCCCCCCTCCCAACTACATGCTTTAGGCAGTGTGTACCTGGAAAGCCAAGTGCCGAGGCATTGCAGAGAATTTCTCTCACTATTTCATAAGGAATGCTTAGAATATTCAGGCTGAGAAGTATTTCTTAATTTCCTGTGCAATCTGAAAGCATTATCCAAGGGTTATTTTTGTTTTGTTTTATTCAGAAGTGGGGTTGCTGGAGCATTCCTCTTGGACATGTTCAGATTTGAATTAATTAGAATTCCTGTACAGTTTTCTTCGGTTATAATTATAGCTTAATTTGATTGCTTAATGGCTCTGGTTTTCGTAATGTTTAGCACCTGTTGTAAATTGCACAAGCTAAATCACCTTCTACCTTCCACTGTGTTTACACCTAACTTTTGCCTTTTCCCTTTCAGCTGGTGGGCTTGCGACAACAGCCACGCGCTTTGCTCATTCCTGCCCTTTCCACCAAAGAACTCTCTCTTTCAAGGCTATTTAAGCACAGAAGAAGTGACTTTTACTTAAATGCCTCCTTAAGACTGTTAGATTTTTTTTTAAAGGAGAAAAAAATTGAGAAAAAAAAAGAGTATTTCAGATGCTATAAACTCTCAGGACTGACCTCTGGTATTATGTAGACTTCCACTTAAGGGTCACCTTTCTGATGCGCTGGGTGTACAGAGTATTTTTTCCCTCCTTTCCTTTCTAGGATTATTAGATAGCAGTGGAAGCCCTGCATCATTAATTGATTTCTCCCATGCATTGTGCTATGATACAATTTTTCAAGGCTGTGCATAATTGTGTTCTCTGTGCCAGCGTTCTATGTTCTGTCCTTGTCATATTGTCATTGAAGGCTGTTTCCACCCTCTGTAATTGGAGATGTTCTACTTTTGGACAAAGGTGTGGGGGCAGCTCAGGGGAACAGCGCTGACATTTACTTCATCAATTTATTTTTATTGTTCCTACATTTATTGCAGCTATAACAGCCCTTTAATAGTTATATCTCCTCCCTGTAGGGTATTCTGGTATTTGAAATTTTTTTAACTCATTTGTTCTCATGGATAACAGTAAAGTGCATTTCAGGATAACCTTTAGGTTTCAATCTCCTCTCTTCTTTTGGCTCTGAGGCCGTCTTCGCTTTAAACTTTTACTGCATTTGCCAGTCTAAAGGCCAGAGCGCCAAGTTCATTCTAGCACTGGAGTAACCACAAATTAGTGGTCCTGAAAATTTCAGGGAGGTTAGTCCTAAACCAAGAGTGCAGCTATTACAGTAATTCAAAACTGGTCGTCCTTTTAATGGGGAGGGGGAACTAAAGGAAGGTGGGTGGGAGGGAAGGGGAGAAAGTGAGGGGCAATGAGAGAGAATCCTAGTAAATACTGAGTCTCATGTTACAATCCTGGTCAAATAAGGATTGTAATTAAATCTTTATGACCAATGAAGCATCAGACTGGACCAATTCTGAGTCTCTGCCCTTCAAGGCCAAAGACACAGGATACAATTAAGAGGCAACTCCACTTGGATTTACTATTCTTCTTGTCTTTAGATACGTGACCCTCCCCCAACCTCCAAGCCCAGTGTCACCTCCCTTAAAAAGGTTACCTTAGTGCAGCCTTGGAAATAAGTCCTTACCTGAAAGCCTAGTGTGTTTGTTTACTTCTTTATTTTCTACCCAACCTGGAGAAAAAATAAATACTGGCTTTCTCCACTTTTCTACCACTATATCTGTGGTAGAGAAAACATTGGTGTGGGCAAAAAAAATATGTCTAGGCTTATTTTTAAGGCCATGATACTAAGTCATTGTCTAATACTTTGTGCTCCAACTGCCAGCTTTCAACCACTAATTTCCTCTGAATAGTATCTAGGCACATTTCAAAAGGAATTTCATTCTTGTTTTTACCCGCCTTCCCCCAGTTTCTCCTATAGAATCGTTGTCACACCTTCTTTTCCTAGCAGTGTCATCAGAATCTACCAGAAATTAATGCCTGCACCTCATCAGAGAGGACCAAACACTTTGTCCACTATCCAACACCAAATAATCAGCCAAGAGAAATGGCTCTGAATTCTGTACTGGTTCTAGCACAAGGTCCCTTTCCCTTCTCACTTGTTCCGTGCACATCATCTGTGGAATAGCATTGCTTATGCACCCCCACCGCCACCATTAATAAAAAATAAGGTTTTTTTCAAACAAAATAATCTCCATTATAGAAAGATGGGTCTAGCAAATCACTGCTAAAAGCAGGCAGAGATTGAGTGGTCAAGGCGAGTGTTCCTGGTCTTGGTCCCTATGACTAGGTTCTCTCACAATACTAGTGAAGGGCAACCCCAGGCCCAGGACATTCTGTAGAGGCTTCTAGAGCCAGAAAAGCCTCTACTGCAGCGGCTTCTACAGGCAGGTTCTGCAGAAGGGTGAACCTCGACTCTACTTTCTCATTTGCCTCACCCCCTATATCTTTTTCATTTTCTCCCACCCTGTCTCACAACTTCCACTGCAAAAGGACACTTTTCAGAAGACTGTCTTCTACTACAATCCTGGTATATCATTGAAAACTTCAGAAAGGGAAAATAAAGTGAAGAAATAAATCAAGTGCACAAAATCAAGAGGGAAAAACATCACAGACTATCTTCATGCTAGAATCCTAGCTTGGTCAAGGAAGCTATACAAATGAACAGTTCCAGGGGTCTGCTTCCCAACAGGGCTATACAAAAAAACACCCCAAAATCATGCTGCCAAGTTTCTGATGAGGGTAGGATGTTTGGAGGCTCTGTTGGGATTTTTTTAAATTATTATTATTCCGGTTAGACTTTATCCCTGGATAGTTATAGAAAGATACCACCAGCAGGGCATTAATCCAGATGAAAAGATTTTCATGTTTCCACATTATAGATCTGGCTCAAAATTCCAGGTCTTGCTTAGTCAGGTCCCTGACTCGTTTTCTCATCTGTGAAGACTTACAAAGGAAAGTCATGATGGGCAAACACATTGCAGCCTGATCCCTGACGGACTTGGAGAATATGCCCACTGCCCTGGCAGAGCCAGAGGCAGCTGACCTTCTGACTTATGTGCCAATGGCAAGAGTCCTTCTGCACCAGTCATCATCTGGATCATGGGTGTAATTTAGAGGCACTAACCAGCTGTAAGTGTCACTATGCATAGGCAACTTATTTTCAAAGACTGAGATTAGAGTTGCTGGGATCTAAATGACTAAAACTGCTGAAAGTTAATTTTGGTCAATTTTGCTTTTAAATATGCATGGCGTCTCCATTAATCAAGTCAAGAAGCAGGCCACAATTAACGTGAGCTAAGCTTGACAGCCATGGCATTCTAACAAGAAAGGAGACCTTCCAGAAGAAGAAGAGCGCCTTTGGACTCAGAGGTGAGCCCTGAATGTCCAGTGGGCACCAGGTAGCCTTCTGGGCAGCAGACCAAAGATGGAGCAGAAGAGCACAGGAAACACGAGGAGGGAGTGTGTACCACTCCTTCAGATTTGAAAGTGTGGTTGCCAGCAGCAGGACAGGGCAGGGCAGGCAGAGAGGAAGCCACCTGAACTAGGAATTAAAGGAGAAAGAGAGAGACCCACAAGTGGAAGACCTGATTCCATTGTTCTCTAGCCAGCTAGTAGGCATACTCTCACTACTTATAGTAGGCAAAGCTCATGAATTGATATTTCAAAGAAAAAGACACATTGGTGGACAACAAATATACAAGAGATTATCTAGTAGTTTTTAGAAAGCAGGTTAAAACATATATCAATTCATGAGTTTTGCCTACTTTCTTATTGTTATATTTGTCTTTTTGATTTACTGATTGCTCTTTACATATTAAGAAAATATGTTACAAAAATTTTCCCCAGTTAGTCTTTTTTTTTTCACTTTGTCTATGGTATTTTTGCTACATAGACCCAGATAGCTATATTTTATTTCCCAGTTTGATAATATTTTGCCATACGAAAGTTTCAGATTTTATGTTATCAAACTAATCAGTTTTTCTTTTATAGCTCCCATAGTTTCATGTCTGCTCTACTTGAATATCATTAAAATTTTCATTTACTTTTTTGTGATTATAGTCTTTTTCAATTTAGGGATCCAGATTTACTTATTTTTCAAAATGTGTATTTTTCCAAATAGCTGTCTCAACACTGCTGACTAATATATCAATTCCCCATTGATTTTCAATGCCATCTTTACAATTTAATAAAGTCTCATACAAATCTGGCTGTATTTATTGGCTTTCAATAAATAATTTTTATTTATTGAAAATAAATTTTTAATAAATAATAATTTTTAATAATAATTTTATATATATAAAATAATACATTTTATCAATTCATGAGCTTTGCCTACTATATTTTGTTCCACTGCTGTTTCTGTCTTCTCTCTGAACTAGTACCATACTGTTTTATTATGATACCTTTACAATGTAGTTTTGGTCAGGTAGAGTGCTGTTCTTTAAAAAATGGGGTTTATGGCTGGGCATGGTGGGTCATGCCTGTAATCCCAGCACTTTGGGAGGCTGAGGCAGGTAGATCACGAGGTCAAGAGATAGACACCATTCTGGCCAACATGGTGAAACCTCGTCTGTACTAAAAATACAAAACTTAGCTGGGTATGATGGCATGTGCCTATAGTCTCAGCTACTCGGGAGGTTGAGGCAGGAGAATCACTTGAACCCAGGAGGCAGAGGTTGCAGTGAGCCGAGATCACACCACTGCACTCCAGCCTGGTGACAGAGCGAGATTCCTTCTCAAAAAAAAAAAATGGAGTTTATCAAAAGAACAAAACTTTAAGAACATTATCCTAGACTAGAGATTTTTCTTTTTATGAAGGATATTCTTACAAAGAGTATATGTTGTTTTCTAAAAACAGAGTGAAATCTGTAAACCAAAAAATATTTAACAAGAATTTATGATATTAATAGCTGGGAGAATGGACAGAAAAAGATAAGGCAGAGAAGACAGCCTAAAGGAATTTTTTCAGTTAGAAGGTGCAAGATCACAAATATCAAAGCAATTAAAAGAAAAGGCAACCTTGTCTGTTGGAGTGATAAAAGAAGGTTTCTCAGGGGTAGTGACCGTGACGGACAGACATAAACACCACTCACAGAGCCACTGCATTGTCATCAGTGGGAAGGGTCCCTTTCCCCTGGAGATATTTCTTGCTAATAATAAAAACTGACATTTATTGAGTGCTTACTGTTTAACAGGCACTGCTCTAAGTGTGTTACGTGCATCAACTCAAACCCATGACAATCCTACAAAATAAGTACATACTCTCATTAGGCCTATTTTATAGGTGAACAAACTGAGGCACATGCCCTCTGTTGCCAAGCTACTCAGTGGCTGAGCAGAATTTGAACATAGTCTGGCTTCAGAAGGTTCATTCTTAATCGTTACGCTTTACTGTCTCCAAAACCAGAGAGAGGACTTGATCCAATGAACCGCCTCTTCCTGAAGCACTCCTCCAGATGACAAAACTATCAACAGAGAAAGGCCACCCGGCCAGCACAGCCTGGATACCCCTGTGTTTGGGCTGCAGAAGCACAAGCTTAATGAAGACCCCAAACTTCCTGAAGGGACAGAGGCACCTGGAACAATGCTGGCCCCCTGGCCAGGGTCTGCAGTGGATTCCCATCAGTGCTTGCAGCTTCTCTCCTGCAGGGGAGCCCAACAGTTCATGCTCCTGCACACTCTCTGGGCCTCCGGTGCAGTCTGGTCACCTGGGTGACCCCTGCCCACCTGGGACCAGGGTGGCCTCTGTCTGACCTTATCCCAGGCTGACAGCTGGCGTCGCACTCACCCAGACAGCCGGAGCTCCAGGCTGGATGGAGTATTGTCTCCCGCCCTGCCTTACAAATAGGAGAGAGAGAGAGCAGGCCACTCCTGTTCAGCCGTGGCCTCAGACGGGGGTAGGTCCCTCGAATTGAGGAGATAGGATGAAACAGAATGCCAGCTGCAAGTATTTCTGACTTTAAGAGAAAAGCAGGGCCCATGGCCTCCTGAAGTCCGGTGCCAGAAATTGTTGAAAACAAAAGGCCCTCTGGTAGGCAGGGTCGGGCAAGAGCACAAAGCCCCATTGTTAGGCTACACCAGCGGTTTTTCCAAGTTTTCTTTTTAAGCCACGGAACCGTTTGTAACCCCTCAGCCATGCCCTCGACGTCTGGAAGGGCTTTCAGGTGGAGCCCATTACCAGGAAGAAAACAATGGTGCTCTGAGCCCATTGCAGGCAGACACGGCATTGAGACAACGGTGCAAAATGTCAATTTTCCCATCGAGTCGCCTTTCATCCCTCACAGAGGCTGTCTCGAATGGGTGTCTGGGACTTCCTTCCCTGACATCCCTCTCCCTCCTCTCCCTGCCCGCCTGAACATGAAAACTGGAGAGGTCCGGATGACCCTTGCTCCTGGATCTGTTCTGGAAGGGCCCTAACCCTGCCCATCGCAGTCTCTCGGATTCTTCACAGCCAAGTAAACCTCCCTCTTCCTAATGCTGACAGCCTCTCAATAGCAGCGCCACCATGAGGTACGGTGCTCATAAATCTCTGCCTCTTATCCATCATTTGCTCCCTACTAGAAGGAAGGAAGAAAACGAAAGACGGAGAAAGGGGGATAGAAATCCTGACCCTGACCCATCGTCTTTTCAAAGAATGTTGGATGCAGAAGGCAGGTACCATAATTCTACTCTGGTCCAACCAGGAGCAGGGCTTCAGCCCTCTTAGCGTTGTGCTGGCCTGGTGGCCTCAGTATCATCAACTCACAGAATCTAATCTGGAATCTATGAGGCTGGATAAGGCTGGAGTAGACTCATGTTGGGAATTCACCTAAACTGGCAGCCCCAAAGTCTTCCCATTGGACTAGAAAGCAAGATAAAGCAAAGATTCTTTGTATTCGGGGAGTCCCAAATCCTTTAAGAATAGGATAAAAGTGAATACATTCATACATGCATTTTGCGTCCAGTTGCAAGAGGTGCATGAATCCTCCACAAATTCAAGGATCTCCAGTTAAGAAGCTCAGGCCCAGCTTTAGAGCTACCCTGTGCCATTCAGGAGTTTATGCCAGAGACAGCTAGATTCTCACCACACCTATTTTCTCTTCTGGGTTCACAGCTAAACCGGTCTCATGGAAAGTCCCCAGACACTCCCTTCCTCTCTGATGCCAAAGACTGAATGGATGATGGCACAGAGCTGGACTCCTGACAAGACTGGCAGACCCCCCAAAAGCTGACCTGGAGGCTCTGGGCCCCAACTGACCATCTGGAGTGGAGGCTGATTTCCCTTCAATGTGTCTGAGGCCTCGCTCACGTGTGTGGCAGATCCCCAAGAAAGCCACTCATGTGGCGGCTGCAGGTTAGATTTAATCCATTCCTAACAGGAGCTGGAATCTATAGTCTACAAGCCTGCCCTCCACAGTGCAGCAACCAGTCAAATCTTCCAGTGATGGGGCTGACTAATTTCCGGAGTACTAAGCATGTTCACCCCCGTGCCAGGGTCTGGAGACAAGGAGAGGAGCTTTCACAGTTCCTCACAGACTCTGTTAGGAGCTCATACAAGCCAATGCTCCTTCTCCACTCAGGTTCCTCTAGGAGGTCAGGAAGAGAGCAGGTAGCTAAGCCTACCCTTGCCTCTCTCCACCACCAGCCGTCATGCTCAGGGTGACCTCAGTAGCATAACAATAGTTGACATTACTGAACACTCACTCTATCCTGGGCTTTGTGCTGAGCTACTTGCATCCAGAACCTCATTTGGGCTTCTCATCACAACTCAGAAGAAGGTACTAGTCCCACCTGCCTTTTAACTTTGACCCAGAGAGGTTAATTACCTGTCCTCAGATCACACAGTTAGAAAGAGCACTCAGTGCTAATACTTCTAACTTGTCACGACTTTCCCAACTTCTCAAATCTCCTTACAAAGACAGACAGTCCTAGGTAGAATCACATCTGAAGGCTTCGCTAGTCATCACTTTGTTACCACCTGAGAAAAAGAAGAGGCCTCAAGGCAGCTACCATGGGCACCAGCTCAAGAAAAGGGCTCCTGGTTGCAAAGGCGGGAGACCAGGAGGCAGAGCTTGCCTTCCTTTCCCTTGGCTGAGACCTGGCCTGGCCCTGATGCTCAGAAGCACCTCCCAGCCACCTTGGCCTCTGCTGCCCTTCCCAGCAAGGCTACGACTCCACATGACCGAAATGGCTACAGCAGATTGGGCAGAGGGCTTGAGTGCTCAGCCTGGCTTAAGGACAAGCCTAGGCGGAGAAGAGCTCTGACTGGGCAGTCCTCCCAGCAACCCCACCCCACCCAGCAGCCCACCCTAACTATGGGGCAGGAAGCCTGGCCTAAGCCCAGAAGTCAGACTCCAAGTCATGCTGCTTCTCCCTGCCTTCCTGTCCTGTGGTAAAGGCTAAGAATCTCCAGTCTGTAAAACTGGTGGTGGCAGTGTGCAGTGGAGAGAGTCCAGCAACCTGCTCCCTGATTAAGGTGTTTGTTGAGTCAGGCATCCAGTTCCCGGCTAATCACATGAAGGGCATTTCCGCATCAACGCCAGGCACGCGGATCCCCGCGGAGCTTTGCGGGAGGCGGGGTTTAGCGTGGGGGCGGGACCTTGCGAGGGAGGCGGGGCTTGCGGGGGGCGTGGGCCTCTGACGCGGGATCAGAACCTCCCATAGCTGAGCCCTGCCTGTTTCCTGGCTTTGCCCAGATGCTTTAGGAACTTTTCGTCTTTAAATCCATTTCGCACGTTATTGCACATTCCTTTGTGCAATTTTTAAAAATCTATAATTTATGAAAGCTGTCATTCGATAGGGTCTTTACTCTCCCTGGCTGGAACTTCTTCTAAAGTACTTCTCAGTAGGCAGCGAATCACTCCCCTTTGATTACCATGTGATTAGTTTGTTCAACTGATGGCCTTTCTTCTCTAAGATACTCATTGTGTCTTCTGCCTCCTATGCAGTTCTTAAGAATTTAAATGAGCCGTTTTATTTCTTCCTCCAAGCCGGAATCTGCACACCCGGCCCCACCCTTCGGCCTCCCCTTTTAGTGAACCTAAAAAACAGCGGCACCGTTTCCGAGGGCCTCCTCTAACGGGGAATTTTATGTTGTTTCTGACATTGTTTGTTGTGCTTCCCACAAGACCGAATGCTGCCAAAGATTGAGAGACAGTGACATAAATGTCAGGGAAACGCCTCGGCAGTGTCAAGCCTAATTAGACGCTTGCACTTGGGGGACAACTACAGATACCATAAAACTCAGAGCTCGCCCTCTCTCTGCTCATGCCTGGAGTCTGGCAGATGGGGCAGGGCAAAAGAGAAGGCCCGGGAACAGGATGAAAGGGGATGGAGAACAGTTTCACTGGGATGCGGAATTTGATTTTGATGCATCCTCTTGTTCCTTTTAGGTCACTCTTGTCCTGGAAGCGCCCACAGGCAAAGCCATTTTATGCATCAGGCGCTGTAGGCACAGTGCCTAGGGGATGTGGGGTTGTCAAGGGCCAAAACAAGTTTGAGATGAAAAAAAAAAGGGCTCTAAATTACAAAACAGAAACTGTGAAATCAAAATAATAATTGAAGTGATAATTAACAAAGCAAATTATAAAAATTATTTTACAGCAGAAATATCTGCATGCACACCCACATATAGGGCGAAATGTAAATGCGTTTTAAAAATTAATATAATATGAGATTAGGATTTCAAAAGTAAGAGTGCGTTTGGCCCTAAAATGGCTCTATCTACTGATTCAAAACACATTTCCATGTGCCTGGGTGAGTCAATTACACATAAATTGCATCACTAATATTCAGGTTCTTCAGCACCAGTGTACCATGCCAGGTACACCGGGGGAACAAGGGAAATTACCCTCACAGCTATGAGAATCTATTTGAGAAGATATAACTAAGTTATGAAGAACAATTCACTTATTCATTTATTCAGTAAATATTTGAGCAGCTGTTACGTGCAACATTCCTGATACTGAGAATAAAACAATAAACAAAAGATATAAAAATCTCTGCCCTCTTAGAGCTTACAAGTCCGGTGAACAATGGTATAATAAAGTACTACGTTCAACATAAGTACCAATGATTTACAGAATGCTGAGTGTGATGGCGCAGCCCACATGATCAAGGACAACTCGATGCTGGCGGGAGTGTGAGTAGGTCTGGTCACTCGGTCACCCACTCTGCAGCTTGTGCTCCTCCACCCATGTGTACAGAGAAGCAAAAGGTCTGTTTTTGCCCACAGGAAGATAATATATACATGGATGAAATAATGTGTGTGAAAAGGCACGTTGTAAACTCTCAAGTGCAATGTGAATTATATGTCGTCTTATGTATGTGACACACTCTGTTTATGCACCTGAGTGGAGATACTAGAGTCATTGTGGAGAAATACACGTTCAATCATTTTCTACTCTCAATTTTTGCACAGATATTTTTCTGCTAAGTTGAGCCAGCTTGTACATAAATATCCCAAATCCTCTTTGGTCATACTTTGGAATCCCACTGAGGTACTGAGAACAGTAGCCACCTCAAAACAGCATCAGAGAAAGACAAAACCACCTGAGACTTTATCCAAAGGGACTCTCATTGCTAAAAGGGGAGAGTTTGGGATGGGAGAAGAGTTTACCTATCAAGGGCATCCAAAGTCTGGATTCCAAGGTGCGATCCAAAGCCTGGATTCCCTAAAACCATGTGGTACAGCTCAGTATATTTTGGCAAAACAGAGTCCATTTCCTTTAGTCATATAGCAAGTTTACACTGTTTCAAAGAGTGTGAGCATCATGTTAATTTATGGTTCAAAATGCATCCATGATGTAACTAAAATAATTATTATTAATCCCATTTCGCGATGTGGAAAGTGAGACAAAGCAGGCTTAAGAGAGATGCCCAAAGTCATGCTGACTGGCCATCATAAAGGAGTTCCATTTTCTTGGCATACTGCAGGATTCCTTTCACCATGTCTCTCGCTAAGGCCCTAGTGCCAAGAGCTGCCAGAGACCTCCTCCTTAGGAGATCAGCAAGCCTAGGGTTGACCTCCTCTGAGATGACCAGAATTGTTTGATGAGTAAACACACACCATTTATTTGCCCATCAGACTTTTCCTGTAACATGCACTTGTCTAATTGCCCAAGAAATTCTTCCCTAGACCCTCCCTTCTGTCCCCCAAAATACACACCTAAAATACAAACACACCCACGCACATAACAATGTGGATCCATTCAAAATCCATTTCTCAAGTGCTTACCTTCTAAGGCTGCCAGACTTAGTAAATAAAAATATAAGATACCTAGTTAAATTTGAATTTCGTGTAAACAACAAAAAATTGTTTGGCATAAGTATATCCCAGGCAATATTTGGGAAATACTTACACTGAAATAAGACTTCATTATTTATTGCATTGCACTAAACTGTTTACCCAAATGGAATCAGACTCATAATCTAAAAATCAAATAGAATTTCTTGGAAATCAAATGGAAAGAATTTCTTGCATAATTAGACAAGTGCATGTTACAGGAAAAGTTTGATTAGCAAATTAATGGTGGGCATTTACTCATAAAACAATTCTGGTCATCTCAGAAGAGGTCAACCTTAGGTTGGTGATCTTCTGAAAAGGAGGTCTCTGGTAGCTTTTGGCACTTCCAGGCCTAAACATATCTTGGTCCTACTTGCAGTCAGCTGCGAAGGTGAGGAGTCTGAACCTATTTGTTTAATTGTTAGAGAATCTAAGAGTGATGGAAAAGTTAAAAATACTTTTGTCCCTGACTCCCATGAGATTACACCTAAAGTAATCAAGACTAGAGGAAACTTAACCTATGTATACATACCGAACCCAGAACCCTCACTGGAAACAGTACAACTGTCATACCCAAGAGGCAGTTTACACCCAGTATGAATCCCAGCGACTGTGAATACAGTCATTTCTCTGCATCCTTCCTCAGCCATACCAAAACCCCCTGCTGCTCTGCCACAGTAAACTCTCTCATAACAAGCCTGGTACACTTGTTGGCAAATGATAGGTTCAATTCTTATTTGTGAGAAGAAAATGCAATGCATGTTGACAGCCATATTTTCAACAGTTTAGCTCAAGTTAGATAAAACTGCAGACTCTGAGAAAGAAAGATCTGGGGAAAGGCATCACTGATTCCTTTGGGGGACGGAATCTGGAACCAAAAAGAAAGAGGTCCTGGAACCCAAAAAGGAACAAGCAAACAAAACATTGGCAAGGCAAATGCAAGCTTTCTCCTCGTAATACTGAGTGAATAAATACTCATAATACCTCTCAACAGTATAGAGAAAAATAGCTAGTCCAACGGAGGGGAGTGATCCTCCAAGAACTGAAGAGCTCATGGGCTCATTTGTATTTTCAGCTTCAAGTTTGAGGGAACGCTCAGGAAAGATGTTTCCGAAACTTCAGCTCAACCTCCACCCAATTAGAAAGATGGCTCTCTTGGTGTGTTTTTAATCCTATAGTATTTGTTTTAGAATGGGGTGGTCCTTAGAGCAAGGATAGTGACAGAGAAACTTTATTTCTTTATTATTTGTATTACAAATAATATTACAACGTATTTACAACACAGCTTCTACCAACTTTCACTGAAGAGACAGTTTTTGAGGGTGTGTGGACAACTGTGAAGAAAGACAGGAAACTCCCAGGGAACTGGTTGCAGGAGTACAGGACGGGAGAGGGAAGCTTCTAGTGCTTATGCCATCCTCACCTCAGCCCACCCTGTTGCTGACCACTGGCAAGGTTAGCTGAACCTGGCCAGGGAGGTAACAAACAGGAAACCAGAGTGAACTTGGGGAAGCGGGGAGGTGTGATCAGGAAACAGGGATATCACCATACTGTGGAAACCCACACTGGCCTGCATGCTTGGGCAACCCTCTCTCCATGGGTCACACAGACACAGACACAGGACCTGCCCTCAGGGATTAGAGTCCAGAGGGGAAGATAGATGTCTTCTGTCTTGCAAAGGCAACTGTGCCATGCAGTAAGCAGCGTGGCTTGGTCAGTTGGCAAGAAGCACATGCGCAGAGTCTCAGCAAAGCAGTTGTCAACAACAGAAGAGCAAGACAGAAAGATTCTTGGAACGATTTTACGCTGGATATTTCTTCAAAACATGTAAAATAGCAAACATTCTGAATTTTGTTGAGCTTCCTTACAGTATATGGTTGAGGACATAGACCCTGGAACAGAATGCCTATATTTGAAGCTAAGTTCTGTCACTTACTAGCTCGGTGATCTGGGACAAGTTACTTTACCATTCTGGGCCTCAGTTTTCTCATCCGCAAAATGGGGATAGCAGGTTATGCAATTATTGTGAGAATTAAATGAGTTTTAACATCTGTAAAGTGAGTGCCAGAGCCTGATCCATAACAAGCAGTGTTAGTGATAATTACAATGACACATATAGTTTACTATTTTCTTTTATTTTAGATTACATACAGAGAAGAGAATATCTTATTTTTTTAATTTTATTTTATTTCCAGCAACACCTCATTCTGTGCCATAGGATGGGTATGCCCCGAAGACATTGTAATTTATGATTTATTGTCTCTAAAAATCTTAACATGGCCCGATGATAAACACTGAGGCAGAGGTATGCCCAAGGCAATGTAGTAAAGATGCCCCTAGAAGGCACTCATCCTTCAGGCCTCAGGAGGGTGCTCAAGGAGAGTTTCCTGTAGGAACACTCTAAGCTGAGTCCTGAAAGGGCTGCCCAGGTGAGAGGAAGAGGAGAAGTTTGTGTAGAAGCCAGAGGCAAGAATGGGAGGAACACAAACCTGCTAAGAATGTAGACAGCAGAGCTGGAGAGTAGGGCCACAGAGACACAGCTGCCCAAACCTAGGTGAGAGGCTGTGGCTTAAAACCAAATAGCAGAATGTGGAGGGAGAAGCACATCCAGCTTTTGGGGAGGGTCCCCCTAATCAAGGGCATTGACAGGACTTGGTAATTGAGTAGTTATGAAGGTGAGGTGGAATTTTACTTCTTCTGGTCTGTTGGCTTAGACAACTGTAAAGATGTTGACACCATTTGCTGAAGCAGGAAACACAGGAAGAGGAGATGAGATGGGGGCAGGAAGAGTGAGGGAGGTGGGAGAACACCAGGAAGGAGTTAAGGTCATGGCTTTCATTTGGAACCATTTATCTCTGATATTTGTGTAAAACAGAGCTAAGTGTGAATGCTAGTAGAGAATTGGATACACAGTGAAAATAATTAAAAATACAATACCCATCCCTTACATTATATAGAATTCTTCTTCTATAGAATGAATCACTTCCCATGGTTTTTATAATTCCTGTGAGATGAGAACAAGTATGACAACAACACATATTGAACACTTACTACGCTGGGTATTTTATATGTATTTACTCTCACAATGCTTACATGAACCCTGAGCAGTACATTCTGTTAATAACCCATTTCACAGTTAAGGACACTGAGGCTTAAACCCAAAGATTACAAAACTCGACCAATGACACACAGCCGGTATGCAGCAAATCCACATGGTATGTTTTCCCTTTTGACACCTACAGAAACTAGAGATTAAATAGGACAAGGGTCAAGCATGAGGTTACATAACCAGGAAGTTGTGAAACCAACTCTAGCACCCAAATCTGCTACTTCAAGAGTCCAGTGTTCTTTGCCCCACCTCATGAATTCAGGCTGTAGGAGTATATAATTTGCACAGGGCAAGAGTAAGAAGATTGATGGAGTAGGACCAACCAGTAGCCATGTTCAAACAAGGCAAAAACTGCTTCTTTCCTTGTGCAGGCTCATGAGAGTAAGGTACTTCATCTCTATCTGCTGCTGCTACCGTGATGCTGATGCTGATGCTGACATGGAGGCTGGGTGCCACTGAGGGTGGAGCTCTATCAATCCCGGCTCATTCTGCAATTAAGACAAAAGACCTCTGTGGTCCTAGAGTTCTTGAGGACAAGCTTGGGATGGAGCATTATCTTTTGTTTCCAGATTACTCAAGAGAGGAGAACTTGGGCTGGAGTTGTGTTTTTGTTCATTTATTCAATAAGCATTACAATAACTGAGCAGTTACTGAAGTGCCAGGCCATGTGGTATGCACACAGTACACGGTGATGAACAAAACAGACATAATCCTGCTCCTGTAGAGCTCACGGTTCCAAATGCCCCAGCTGTTCATGCCCAGCACTGGCTGAATGGTGAGTGGGGAATGGGTCTTAATATCCAAAAGCTGGCCTTGAAAAGCTGGCTTCTGTGGTTTTAATTGGGTCCCACTGATGGAGGGGACACTAGTCTGGCTGTTAGGGGACACTGGTTAGGCCTGGGTATTGGTTAGGCCTAGTGACTGGCTAGGAGACCCTGGGAAACTCATCCAGCTTCTCTGGCCTTGATGTAAAATGGGTGGTAGGGAGGACAAAAAGACTGGATCATGATTGTCAAACTCCTTTGAAGCTACATTATTTCTTCTGTGTTCAGTTCACAGATAGTTACCTAGAGCCAACTTTGTGCAATTAACATGAATAAAGTGAACATGGCCCAGGCCTCACTGAGCTTGAGGTCTGGTGGAAATCTTGTGCCAGACTCCACCATATGAAACACATAAAAGTGAAGCTAATCCTGGAACTCCAGAAAACAGTTTAAATAAATAAGTAAGTAGGTAAATAAATAAATAAAAAGACTAGCTAATCCCTCAGGTTCCTTCCTACTCTAAGCTTCTTGAGTTTTTTCTCCAAGTCTGGGGCAACACAGCAGGAGAAATGCAACTTCTGCACACCTATCTTCAGTTGTACATCAACTGAATCTGTCTGAAATTTTGTCCCAGCCGCAAGCACTCAAGCTTTTCCAGGTACTGCTGTTTTGCTCCATTGGTTTATTTTGAGGAATCCAGCCATTTGGGTGAGGCTCTCAAAGTGTCTCCTTCAAACCAGGCAAAGAAGAGAAGACCATATTTTCTTCTGGAGGCAGAAGGATTTTCATGCATTACTCCCCAAGCACAGAGAGAGCCCTGGAGAGGCTACAGTGGATGTTAGCAAAAGCAAGAAAAAGAGGCACAGTTGAGAGCTGTTGCTCATTCCCTGAGAATTCTCTTTTTTTTTTTTCTTTTTTGAGAATGGCAATGAAAGCCCAGCTCCCCTATTCCCTTGCTAGTTTTGTAAAACAAACAGGAGCAAATAATTTTCATTCATTGACTTTGTTCTTCCCTTCCAAAGAAATCTCTGCATCCTCTAAGGAAGGCCCAGTTGAGGCTTACTGCACACTGTCTGTCCACTTGGTGAGAAGGGATTTGACTTTGAATTTTTTTCTTTCTCACACCATTCTGTGCCAATGTGCGCCTGACCATTTCCAGATGAAATGCTGCCTTTACCAGAACGAGATGTTTGCGAAAAGGTCTTTAATGAACTGAAAACGTTAATTTGAAAAGTCTCCTCTGTGGAAAGAGTGAGGCTTGGAGAAGGAAATGACACACGGGCTGTGGACTGGCAGACGGCTGGTTTCTCTCAAGTTTTTCAGAGGGGAGATGGAGAATGGCTACACGAGGGTGGGACCCAAAATGGATCCTCACTCGGAGGGCAGGACCAAAATGGCAACTCTGAGCTTCGTTCACATGCTCAGTTTTATTTGGTATTTTAAATGTCTACAGGCACAGGATTCCCCCTAGTGAAAAACAACACACAGTCCCCCAAGCCTCTTAAGAGCCCCTTTCCCACCACCAGAAATTCCAGCAAATGCCCCACTGGAATTATTTCAAAGGTAACCTCAATAAGAGTGATGTTCATATAAACAGCCATAACCACCACTAACACCACCACCTTTTTTTTTAACCAAGGTGTTATTCTGCTCCCTGCCCCCACCATCGGTGCCACCCATATTGCACACACGAGGAGAAAACATGAAAGGGACAGGCTCTGCTAAGAATGCTGATTATAAGCCATTGAGCAGATATAATTACAGGAATTGCTCTCCCTAGCTGAGCTGATATTTATTTCAGCAGTTCTGACCCTTCATGGGGATCTCACTGCTGCCCCATCCCCCAGCCCCACCTTCCTCCCTCCACTCCCACCCTCTAACTGAAAGCAAACCCAAGCCAAGTCCTGCTCATACTCTCGGCCAGTTGCCAGGAAAAGTGTAAATTTTCGTGAGCTCAGGCTGCTTTGCCAGAAGTCTGCAATGTGTCTGGACATGAACGGTTGTTCCCTTTTGTGAGGCCAGGCCTGAGCACCAGGAAGTTCTAGAAGCAGCACATGGAGAGAGATGGAGTGAACCAAAAAAGGGGCAAAAACAGCCTGTCTGCAGTAGACAAGGCTTGCCCAGGTGTCCCGTCTGAGCCCAGAGCCAATCTCCTTATTGCCCTTAAAAAAAGGTTGTCTTAAGACTCAGTATTCCAATTGTGTGCTGTTAACTTTGTTCCCAAGGGTAATTCCCTACTAGGACTTCACCCTTCATAATGAAAATTAAACAAGTTAAGTCTGAGTGTGAGTGTGCGTGTGTGTGTGTGTTTTAAAAAAAAGAGAGAGAGGTAATCTTTAAGCACAGGCACAGCTAACTAGATGTAACCCTTCCTGGTCCTATAGGCTTGGCAGAGAAGAAAATAAAAAGACATTCTGAGACAATTTGAAAGAAAAGATTTTTAAAATGCAAAACAGCAAAGATCACCAAACAAGGATGGGACAATATTAACCCATCTTCCAAGCTGGATCATTCTTGCTGTGCCAGGATGGGTGAGCTTCATACATTCAGAAACTGCCAAGACCCCGAAGGTAAGTGAGGGTGCTGTCCAGCCCCATTCAAGTTTTCTCTGTGTTGATGCTTTGCATCCACACAATGTTATACTTGGGTGAATTTCACTGCATGGTCAAAGCCTGTGGTCTGTCTCTAAATTCTCTAGTTTTCATTTTATTTCTATTGAAAGGGGCAGTAAACTTTAATGTGGAGTATGCAATTATTTGGAGGCCAGGTGTGACTTCTTAACAAGGTTAAAAACCCCTGAACAAAAGCAAAGCCAGAGAGAAGGGTACGTTTCTAAGTGATTAAAAAGCAGTGTTACTCCCTTCACACCCAGCCTGCCCCCATCTTGCCCTGACAGAGCAAGGGAAGGGTACAAATCAAAGATCCAAACTTTACTCACCAGATGAATATATGAAAGAAAGTACACTTGCTGCTAAGTTTGCACTGAACTGGCAAGGGCTGGGATGGGGCAAGGAAGAGCTTGCGTGAATACAAGGTGGGATGAACAAGCCATAAGATAACACAGGCTTGCCTCAAGCTGCTCAATAGACATATATCATAAAAAATAAAATAGAAATCATTTTAACAAATGGATTCAGTGTCAGTGTACCAGCTGTTATTCCTAGAGGGAAACCTTTTGCCATTTGAAACATTAAAAAACAGCTGCTATTTATCATTCAGGCCAACTTGGGTTGCCAGGAATGACAGAATAAAGGACACAAAAATCAACAAATTTTCTAAATTTTTTAAAAATATGGAATTCCAGCTAGAAATGCAGTTGCAAGGTACATGGACTAAAACAAACTAAAAGAGGGAAAGAGAAGGAAGAAGAGAGAAGGAAGAGGAGAGGGACGAACAATACCCCCTTGGGTTCAACCAACCCAATTCAATGAATTAAGGTGCCCATGCTGTATCTTAAAAGGGACAGAAATTAGCAGATAATGCGGAGGGAGAGGAGCTGCCACTGGAGAACCAAGGAAAGAGAGGGTTTGCTGCACCAAGACAAGGAGGAGAAAGGAAGTGAGATGAGGAAAACTGCAGGTTAGGAGTAATAGGAAAAGTCAGAGACTCCAGCCAAGTGCTTAAAATTGTTCTAGGGTGGGCAGGAGCAGTGTATGTGAAGAATAGTAAAGGTGGATTAGTGATACACAATCCTCTGTTATTCTCTAGCAAAGAAGATTCCAGAATAAATGGTGCCCCTGCTATTTAGGAATTTCATAGGCCATACGCAATTATTAGAGCCTCAGTGCCCTTTTCTTCTTCTTCTTCTTCTTCTTCTTCTTCTTCTTCTTCTTGTGTGTGTTTTTTTTTTTTTTTTTTTTTTTTTTTGAGATGGAGTTTCACTCTTGTCACCCAGGCTGGAGTGCAGTGGCGTGATCTCAGCTCACTGCAACCTCTGCCTCCTGGATTCAAGCAATTCTCCTGCCTCAGCCTCCCGCGTAGCTGGGATTACAGGCACCTGCCACCAAGACCAGCTAATTTTAGTATTTTTAGTAGAGATGGAGTTTCGCCATGTCGGCCAGGCTGGTCTCAAACCCCTGATGGCAGGTGATCCGCCTGCTTCAGCCTCCTGAAGTGCTGGGATTACAGGCATGAGCCACTGTACCCGGCCCCTTTTCTAATGGATAAGGGTCAAATCCATTTCTAGCCTCAAAACATACCCAAGTCCTCTCAACCTTCTGGGAGAGTAATTCCATAGATAGAAGGTGGAAAAGACAGAAAGGTTTTCAAAGAGATGCAAGAATTGACAGCAGAATAGGAAAACTTTCAAGTCATTAATTACTAATGAAATAGAGTTAATTACAGATTTGTGGAGTTTTAAAAATTTGTTTTATTTTTCTGTGTTTTGCCTAATTTGTTTAAAAAGGATGTTCAGGGTTTCTTTCTTAGTTTATTTTAAGAAACCTGCCTGAATGATTCTGTTATTCTTGGTTACTTGTTCAGTCCACGGGTATCATCAGGGCCCAGGAGGCCTCTCAGGTGTGCAAAGCCCAGCCCTACTCGATGGAAGATTATGGTCTGCCTGCACACAGAGCCTCACAGGTGGGGAAGATCAGGCCACAAGAATAGCCAGCATCATTTCAAAAGGGCCAGACATTGTGCCAAGAACTTTCCTTAACTCATCTCCAAGAATCCTACAAAAACTCATGGAGGTAGACAAGAATCTGCCCATTTACAAAGAAGAAACTGAGGCCCCAGGAGGAAAGTGTCTGAGTGTGCATTATGCCTGGGAGACTCGAAGGAGGTGGAGGGCGGCTGGACTCCTCTTGCCTGCTCTCTAAAGGGCTCGGTGAGGCTCTGGTCAGTCACACAGGCAACCCTCAAAATAAAACCGAGCTTTAAAAGGCACATAAAAGAAACTTGTTTTTCTATCTTTAGGTCATTCTGTGCCTCCATCTGCAGGGATGGAACTTGGTTTCATTAAACATGATATTTCTGTCGCTCTCTTATGTTTTTATTGTTTTGTTTTCTCTTGCTTTCAATTAAAGGATTTTTTCCCCTCCCAGAAATTCTTTGGGAATTTGAAACCCACTTCAAGGAAGGAAAAAAAAAAAAGGAAATCCATCTTACAGTATTAGTCACCAAGATGGGTGTGAAGACAACGGGCTATAAACCAAACTCGGCTCCATCTCCAAGACCAAAGAACAGTCTCTAACAAACTGCTTTGAATTTTAAGAATTAGCAATAATGCTGGCAAACCGGTTTCCTTTTCTTAAAAAATGAAATAATAATAATTTGTTTAAAACCTCCAAATTGACTCCTAATGTTACCACCAAATAAAGAACATGGGCTGAGACTTCAAGCAAAAGCCAGGATGTTCAAAAGCCAGAGAAAAACACTTAGCTATGAAAAAATAAAAATATGAGTTGGAAATAAAATCCCAGGGAAGCAAATTTGGTGTGCACTAGAGGTCTTGCATTCTACCAGCAAAAGCAGGCAGTGGTGGGAGGCAGCAGGGGCGGGAGGGTTGGGGAGTCAGGAGTGGGAGCAGGTTGTGTGGAATCTGGTGGAGTGTTTCACACTTTGAAATCAAAGAAATGGGCATGTGTAAGTGCCTGCTCTTCCTATATGACTGTCCCTCTTTGTGGCAGAGTTGTGATTAAATAATCTCCCTCTTATCATGGCCTTTGATCTCATAATCCCCTTTTCCCACACTATTAAGATACCCCATGTGTCAGCAATTCAACTTTGCGTGCTGGAACTTTATTTTTTATTTTTTTTTTTTTGCCCACACCTGCCCACACATCAGTGTCTCTGCTTTGCTTTATGCTTTGTCCATCTTGCAATGTTTTCATTAGGTGGGAGCCGTGGCGAAGGCCAGCTGCCACCCCCACATGGGGAACTCAAGCCAGCATCCCTCCTCCATGGGGCTGGAGAGGGATCACAGAAGCAAGAGGCTCCCAAGGGCTCCAGGCCTCCCTGAGAGGGAAAGTGCTGACCCAAGGGAAGGGGAAGTTCACTTGCTTAGCAGTTCTCAGGAACAGACTTTGTGTGTGTTTCACTCCTGAGCAAATGCTACTGATAGCAGCTTACTGGGGAGTTTGGCCCAAGAAGACACCGCCTACTTGTCTTTTGTGTTTAGCAACCATTTCCACTGGGTTTGCACCACTGCCCCTTTCAATCCCACCTTCTGAGTCCCATCTAAGACATCTGAACTGGCAGTCTACAATGCAAGGCCCTGGCCTGGAAATCACCTGGCAATTTCCCACCAGCCGCCTAAGGAGAAAAGAGCAGGATTCTGGAATCCAGGTTCAAATCAGCCTCACCAGGATTCTTCACAACCTTGAGCCTCAGTTTCCTCCTCTCTAAAATGAAGACTCAGTGTCTTCCTCACATGTCTTTTGTGCTAGGCTTGAATGAGAGAATAACGATACCTTTCTTAGCAAGCACTATGTGTTGAGCCTGTATGTGCATTATCTCATGAAGTTCTCACAGCACAGCCTGGCACACAATGCGTGATAGACACACAAGAAAATTATGGTTGCAAGGGAAAAAAAAAAAGAAGAAGAAGAAGCCTGGGCTCAGTGGCTCACACCTATAATCCCAGCACTTTGGGAGGCCAAGGCGGGTGGATCACTTGAGGTGAGGAGTTTGAGACCAGCCTGGCCAACATGTTGAAACCCCATCTCTACTAAAAATACAAAAATCACTCGGGCGTGGTGGCAGGCACCTGTAATCTCAGCTACTCTGGAGGCTGAGGCAAGAGAATCACTTGAACCCTGGAGGCAGAGGTTGCAGTGAGCTAAGATCACGCCATTGCACTATAGCCTGGGCAATAAGAGCAAGACTCCAACTCAAAAGAAAAGAAATCTTCCCCAAAGACACCAAGTTAATAAGCTGCAGAGCTTGAAGTACTAACCACTTCTATGTTAGCAGTGTTTGTGCTTTAACCACAATTCTAGTCTTCTGCCTGGAGATAATATTGCCAGATTTAACAACAATAACAACAACAACAACAAAAAATACCGGATGCCCAACTACGTTTGAGATTCAGATAAACAACAAAATTTTTTGGTCTAGGTATGAACCATGCAATATTTAAAAATTATTTGTTGTTTATCTGAAATGCAAATGTAGTTGAGTGTCCTGTACTTTATCTTGCAACTCTACCTGGAGATCAACTTTACAAATGCAGTTTGAAAACAGTGAAGTGCTCACTTATATGAGGAATCTAAAATAGTCTTACTAGGGGCTGGGAGGAGGGGGAACTGGAGAAGTGTTGATCAAAAGATACATGGTTTCAGTTATGCAAGATGAGTAAATCCTAGAGAGCTACTGTACGACACAGTGCATATAGTTAACAATACTATATTATACACTTAAACATTTGTTAAGAGGGTAGATCTTATGTTAAATATCCTTATTGTAGAAAAAAGGAGAGAGGAAACTTTTAGAGGCAGTGGTTAAGTTTATGGCATTGTTTGTGGTGGTGGTTTCGGGGGTATATACTTATCTTCAAGCTCATCAAGGCATTGAGTCAGCCCTCCATATCCACGGGTTCCACATCCTCAGATTCATCCAACCACCTGCCAAAAATTTTTGGGAAAAAAAGCAATAAAAAATAACAATACAGCAATTTTAAAATACAAATTTAAAAATATGCTATATTTATATCTATTTACATAGCATTTACATTGTAATAGGTATTATATGTAATCTAGAGATGATTTAAAGTATGCAGGAGGATGTGAATAGGTGATATGCAAATACCACATTGTTTTATATAGGGGACTTGGGCATCCCCAGATTTTGGTCTCTGTAGTGGTCCTGGAACCAATCCCCCAAGGATACCGAGGGATAACTGTGTACATTAAATATTTATAGCTTTTTTGTATGTTAGTCATACCTTAATTTAAAAACTATTTTAAAAGAAAGTAAGAAAATAAAAATGGTGGGCCAGGTGCAGTGGCTCATGCCTGTAATCCCAGCACTTTGGGAGGCTGAGGCCAGTGGATCACCTGAGGTCAGGAGTTCAAGACCAGCCCGACCAACATGATGAAACCCCATCCCTATTAAAAATACAAAAATTACCCAGGCGTGGTAGCCCTTGCCTGTAATCCCAGCTACTCAGGAGGCTGAGACAGGAGAATCGCTTAAACCCAGGAAGCAGAGGTTGCAGTGAGCCAAGATCACACCATTGCACTCCAGCCTGGGCAACAAGAGTGAAACTCCATCTCAAAAAAAAAAAAAAGAAAAAGAAAAGAAAAGAAAAGAAAATGAAAATGAAAATGGTGGAGTGCTACACAAAGTAAAGCTCTTTTGTTTTTAGTCATAACCCCAGTTCTAATTGGTAATGGGCAGGAGTTCCCAGCCCCAGTAGCTTTCATGGCCCATGTGGAGATCAGATAAGCTCTAAGCATATGAAACACTTGGATAAAGTTAATCAGGGTAACAAGCTAACCAAGTTAATCAGGGTAATAAGCTTAACCACCCACAAGTCCTCTCCCCACCACCACGAACACCTCCCTTCCCAATGGCTGGGAGATTTTTTTCTGGGACCTCTTCTCCTTCCCTCACCACTTAAATAGCTAAACAACAAAGTTTCACCGGCTACATTTCTGGCTACTGCATGCCAGTTTAGTAAGAGATCCTGAGGAATTTTAATGTGCAGATATGGGGCCTACCCTCAAGGCTTCACTTTGTCATTGAAGAGACAGTGTACAATTAAGTGTCGAAGCACAATGAGACAGCTCCATTTTACCAACACCTCATTCTCATCAGGCACTACCCTAGGTGATCTTGTAGAATGCTCCCAGCACCTGGTCCAGGAATCACCCACAGCCAGCCGCCATCGAGGCAGCTGGAAACCTCCAGAGAGCTCCCATCCTACTGCTGTCAGAGATGCCAGGCGAGGCCCTGATTTCTTATCTGATGGATAATTAATGTTACCAATTTGAGTATATTAGGATAAGAGGCCCTACCCTTTCCCATCTCACTTCCTCATAGAAATCTCCTACGACTGATCAAGATGGTCATGCCTCAGTTCAAACTGGACAGGGTCTTAGAATGTGACCTCTCTTGGGACACACCCTATCCCCAGAATAAGAACAGAAAATGGCTCTATTATTCCTCATTTGTGGACAGAGAGGAGAAAACAGTGTCCGAGTTTCCTTTCCCTAATGCAGGTTTGAGCTTCTACCAGCAGGGTCAGCCTCCACCTCCCAGACCACTTGCACCTAGACTTTCACTTCCACCTGGCTAGCAGCTGCCCTGCCCTACAGACTCATGCTCTGCCTTTTTCTTGTTATAGATGCCTAATCTTTTCTCATTTTTCTCCACAATTCCAGTTGATAACTGTAATCAACCTTCTCTCACTGTAGAAGAGGTCTGAGGTAATGTAATCCCCTGCTTTCATAAGCAGTGGAAGGACAGGATTCAAGGAGAGTTTTCCAACATCTAAGAAAAACAGAGCAGAATATAGCAAGGACAAAGGAGCCACGCTATTTCCAATTTCCCACGTGGCTTCTTCCAACTCAGCCTCTGGGAACACTGGGAGCATTATGCCTACACACTTAACTGTATTAGGACAGCCAGCCTTTCTAAGAATGGTTTCTGCTCATGCAATTCCAAGAAGTTTCTCTCCCTTTTCCTGTTTCTCAACCTGGCCTCAATTCATCTCTTACTTAGGGAGTGCAAAGGAACCCTTTGCAAGATGAGCTGAACCAAGGGACCAGAAAGATGCCCACCTCAGGTGCTGCTTGTATTGGGTAAGGCTTTGGAACCATCTCACTTATGGTCCAGATTTGACATCTTGGATAACTGAATCCAAGAAACACGTAAACAAGATCTGACTGGACCTGCATGTCTTTGTCTATCATCCTTTCTTCATTTTCTGGAATGTGTCATTCATTACCTCCATGCTAAGAATTATATCTACTTTTAGTCTCAAAGTCTTCTGTGTTTCTTAAGGGATGCTCGATATAACCTTTTTTTTTTTTTTTTTAGCTTGCTATTTCAAGGCTTCATTCTACACCACTAACTTGTGGTTAAAAGAACTGTTTTTGTGGTTGTTTCTGTATTATCTGTTTGGGTTTTTTTGTTTGTTTGTTTTTTGTTTGTTTCTTGTTTTTTGTTGCTATCATTAAAGGAATTCTAGCATCCTAACTTTGATTCCAATATCTGATATGTGACCTCATTCTTATCTTTCTGCCTCTAATATTTCCTTTTCCTCACCTAGAATACTCCATGTTGCCTCGGGTCTCTCTGAAATTCCTACCTTTGCTCACATTACTTCCCAAATCCCCCATTACTGTTCCCTTAGTTGTGAGTTCCCAAATAAAAAGGTCAGTAAGATTGTTTCCCTCAAAATGAGATACACTCAACCCATTCCTTTTCACAATTTTCATGGTGAAACTCAACTTCAAACTCAACTTAAAAATCAAACTGTTTTGGGAATTTTTCTTTCAGTCGTCAGCCCATGCCAATCACGTCTGTGCTCTTTACAAATGGATGGCTAGCCTCGCCTCACAGTAACTTCCCTTTCAAATCCTGCTCCCAAAAACATTTTCTCCCTGTCAGCTTGCCACTGACTCTCTGCAAATCATCCTGTGATCTCATGTAGAAAGGACATGATACACAAATAAATTTTAGTATCCTATGCTTGGGGGTTATAACTGAAAATAGCTTGGTAGTCAGGAAAAAAATGATGTGTGCATAGCACAAATATATATTTCTATGTGTGTATACATATATATGATGCTACATATATATGATGCACATGTCAATCATCTTAAATCCAATATGACAATTTGCAAAATAAAACACAACTTCTCCTCAAACGTCCAGGATCTTTAAGTTGAAACAAGTGCTTCATGGATGATAAAGCTATTTAAAACCTGAATTATCCTTCATCTATCTGTAGACAACAACATCCTGTTTAGTACCCAACCTCAATAATCATCACTTATGATATTATTACCAGGGCTGCCGCTTATGGAAGGTAACTACATGCCAGCACTCTGCCAAGCAGTGCAAGCATCTGAACTCTTCATTCTCACAAAAACCCCATACGGTAAATATGCCTTATCCCCATTTCATAGATGAGGAAACCAAGGCTTAAAGAGGTCGGTAACTTGCCGAAGTTCTCATAATCTGATAAGTGATAGAGCAAGGATTAGAACTCAAGCTCACCCCACTCTGAAGCCACCGTAAGTCATTGCTGCAGTTCTGAAAGGTTCCTTGGAGGGCTTCATGTTAAACCTGTGCAGGGGTCAGGAATCTGTGGTCTTCCCACCAGACTGTTCACCCAGAGACTAATCAGTCAGCCTTTCTTTGGTAAGTCAAACTTTGCTCCCCATCTTTTGTGAAGTATAAAGATGATTCATTGCTTACACGGAAATTGATCTAACCACTGTTTTATGAAAAATGCAGGAGTTCCATATCTTTAGAAGGACTTCTTGAAGAAATTTGAATTAGGGAACAAAGTAGTTAAATTTTTCTGTCTTTTCTGGTCTTTTTAGCTACTGATTAATGCACAGTCGTGGATGTTGGAAAGACTTAAGGAAATCAATAATAATATTAACCCTTATGAAAAGGTTTGCTATGAGATGGGATTGTAGCTCAAGGTCTTTAATGGTAAATAGTCAAAAGTTAGAGTTCATGGGTGCCAGCTCCGTTGGCAGGTGTGAACCTTCTTGCTACTATGACCTTCAACATTTCCTTAGGACCTGACACTCTCTTGGTCCAAAAGAGATAGTGATCCCTTCCTGTAACAATACCTAGACCCAGAAGAGAGAAAAAACAGTAGGGTTGGCTTCTACAGCCAGGCAACAATATTGAAAGTGAATGGTGCCCTCCCCCAACACCCTCCCAGCCAGGCAGATCATCCACCCCCCAGCTTTGTCCTCTTAAGAAGAATGCCCCTTGTCTCTCAGGCCACAGTTGGTCATGAGGATTAACCCCTCCCACCCTTTCACCCCCTCCCCAGCATGGCCCCCCTTTCCAACTGTCCTTTGGGCAGACATGACTGACAAGAGTACCACAGGCGATGATGTCACAAAGAGAGGAGGCAGTGTGCCCTGTTAGACCATCTTTCACTCCAGTGGACTCGCCTTCACAGACAAATTGATTTGCAAAGGTTCAGGCTGCCAGCCCAGCCTGCTTTGCATACAGAATGCTCCCTGGTGACACAATAAAAAGTGGCCAGGCTAACAGAGGAGCGCAGCGGGGTCTGGCCGGTTCAAAGTCCAAACTCCACACCCCCTCACCTCAGTCTGGTTTGAAAGGTCACTGTGTGTCTGGGAAAATAGTCACAGGATACAATCCTTTATTAAAGGTCACTATTTTTCACCAGCACTTAACACACACTTACACACAAATTGAGACTGGAGATGGAAAAAAAAAACTGGGGGCTGCATCGCATTGTATATTGTGCTTGCAAGATTTATGTCTTGTGGTCACCAGCAATAAACACACACTGCTTCGGTATTAAAGTTCACATTAATCCACTGATTCCCCCTCCCCTTGAAACCAGCCTCTTCTTTGCCAGGCAAACCTGGGCAAATGGAGACTTTTGTTCATCTCTTTTGTTCCTTTCCCATCTTTCCCTTCCCTTGTTGCAAGTTGTTTTTGTATTGCTTTGTTTTTTTAATTATTTTTGGTGTTGGTGTTGTTGACATGCTGCCAGGAACTTTACTCCTAGTTCCCTCTCTTGCCCAGTGAATGATGTGTACCCAGCATTTGGGTCCAAGGCCATGTGCTGTCACCATGCCCGAGATGCAGTGTCCATGGATCTGTATGAGTCTCAGACCTTGAAAAGCAAAAGTCAAGTTCTTTTATGAGCTGCTGGTGAAAATCCAGGGGAGCACCTTGGTTAAGCCAGTAACTATAAAGCCACCAACGAGAGTACCAGTCCTGCCTATCCATTATGGCATATATTTTATTTTAGTAAATGCTTCCAATACACCCAAAAATAGCAATTGTATTTTCCTCCAGTAACAGACAGTTCACATTGGGTTACCAAAGAACGTTAACAATAACAATCCCTGCATTCATAACAAAAGAGATTATCAAAGATGTCAGCCCGAGCTGTTAGATTAATTTAGGCAAGAATTGCAAAAGAAAATATTTAGGGGAAATTCTATGAATTTCAAATAGCCAGTAAAATGTATGATGTTGAGGATTCCACTCTGCTCCATAGCACATCTTTGCAAAGCTTTTGCCAGTGATAGATTTCTGAGCTATCAAAAGCACATTAATTTTTTCTGATTAAAACAGCTGTGAAAATATACAAGTGTAACTGTGAAAAATCCAGGGCTTATTGTAATACTTTAAGCAAAACAAGGATAAAAGATTTTTAAATACGGACTTGCCAAAAGTAAAATATCTAACACGAAGGGAGCTAATTCTGCGTGTGCTTCTGATATTTTGGCATAAATACTTTAATCCTCTTGTCCATCCCGTTGGCACCTCGTCTACAGTTGACTTGTTAAGGGCGAGTTCCTTTGTAATGTCGTCAGCACCTCTCCATAGTTATTGACTGTGCTCTCATTAAAACGGCAAGATCACAAAACAGCAGAAGTGAGAAGAGGTGGGGAGGCAGCCGGCTCCTCACTACAAAGGTATTCAAAAAGGCACGAGAACCTAAAGGAGAAATGAAAAAACATGGCAGAAGTGAAACTGTCTGACAAGGAGGAGGAGAAGGAGGAGGAGGACCTTTCTGGAGGTGGGGCCAGGGTTTAGAAATTCTGTTTTTGTGTTTTTGTTTATTAGAAAAATACACAGGGCGTCACCAAAGCCAAGTTCAAGTTGCTTGTAGTCTTCGTGCAGAGTTATGCCATGCTTGGCACGTGAATGTAGCACACACACACAGACACACACGCCTTGTCTTCTTCTCATTGCTTAAAAATAAATCCTTTTTGGAGGAAGATGTCGACTTCTCTTGCTAGCATCCCTGCTTTGGGTTTAGCTAGTGATGATTTCACTGTGGGCCCAGACTCCTCATTCCTCATCTATTGCCTTGAAAGGAGCGACCTTATGAATAAAGTCACTGTGTGATTCAAAAGCATGGTTGGGGTGGGCATGCTTATTCAAAACAAGCTGCCTTTTGAGGGGAAGCATCCAAAATGTAACCCCCTAACTCTGAAGACAGCGTAAAGATGAAGAAAAGAAGAGAAGAGAAAAAAGAAAAGAAGCTCTCCCTCCCCGCCCTGCTGCAGGCTGGACACACAGGATGGGGCTGCGTGCTGCGTGAGCCCTCTGCCGGCTCCCATTCAGATGGGCGTTCTGAGATTGGAGGCTTCGGGTCTGACAGTGAAGTTGCCAAGTGCTACCCATTCCCAACATAGAGCCCAGACCCAGCATTCTCCTGCCTCCGAAACAACGACTCTCCTGCATGCAAATGCCACTGCTCCTCCAATCTGTTAACAGAGAAATCTGCAGTCCCACTGTAAACATAAGTGTCTGGGATTCCAACCCTCCAGCTCCCAAAATGTGCAAAGGCAATGCACTAATGCACAAAACGTCTGGGGCTCAGCCGAGGCGTTACATCAGTCTCTACAAAAGGATACTTTCAGGACAGCCAAGGATGAAGAGCTGGATTCTGAGGGAGTCTGAGAATTGCTGAGCCAAAAAGATCCCTCTCTTTCCTCCCCTCTGTCAAACTTTTCGTGCTCTTGCCCCTCTCTTCCTCTCAACTTCCACCCCCACCCTCCTTCAGCCAGGTGATTAATTCCTGGCCCCTACAAGTCTCTAAAGGGATCCACCCTCCCTGCAGTGACACCCAGTGCTAAGGGCAGAGAGGAACAACCAGAAGCTCATCTGTTGTCACATGTGGCCAAAAGCCCCCTCAGGCAGGCTGAATGTGCCCTGGTCCTTAGACACCTGGGCACTCTGCTGTGCCCTGAATAGGATGCTCCGTGGTATAACCCAGCCGGGACCACAAGCCTGGCCACCATCTGGGGGTTCATGATGCCCTGCATCCCAGAAGGGTCCCCAAGATCCTTTGCAAAATACAGTTTTGCTCTGAAGGCCAGTCCTCTCACTCTGTAGCCTCCTGTCCAGGACCACACCACTCACATCTCTGTATTCTAAACCTGCTCTCCCTGCAGCATCCCAGGAAACCTGTGGGCAGGTACCCACGGGAACTGCCCATTCTACAGCCTGTGGAGGACCACCACCTCTCTCTTACTGTAAGAAATACTTAGATTTTTCCATGCACTGCAAGCCCTTGTAATCGTCCTTCCAGGTGGGTAAAATCTAGCTAACAAAAACACCTCTCAGGACACAGTGCATCATCAGGCTGAAAACCAGTGTCACTTTTCTTTGAGGTTCATGGTTTGGGACATTTTAGTTTTTCCTGTTTTTGCAGACTCCAAAGAGAAATATTTCAGATATTTTCTTACTCTTTTACTATTAAAGTCTGTAAGTATTATATGTGAGTGTGTATGTGTATTTGTGCAAATTGCACTAGCGGAAAATACTGATCCAGTCATGATGTAGTCACAGGGGAGGCCTCAGTCACTCACAGACTTTGAAGACAGGCGGCCTCGTATCAGTGCATCCAGACTAATAGCTCCATGAGGACAGGGATTTTTGTCTGTCTTATATCCTGCTTAGCTGCAGCATCTAGAATAGTGCTGGCTCCACAGTCCACACTCAAAATACATTTATTGAGAGATGTTACATGTCAGAATGCAAGTATATGACTCAGTAGTTTCTACCATCTCTTTTTTTTTCCACTGATTCAAAGAAAAATCACCTGGATAGGAGATCAACAAGATCCCTTCTGCTTATTGAACCTTTCTTTTGTGGTCCTCCAAGGGGAAGATGAGGCAAGCATGTGCGTGTCTGTGAATAGGCACACGCATGGGGTGTTGGTAGCTATATGTGGGTTTTTTCCCTTTGCTATGTCTCATCCAATCCCATCTCTTCTTAGCTGCCTGGGTCATGCACCTGAGCTTTGTTATAATAGTAATTACAATGGTTTTGACAGCCTTATGAATGTAGTTCAGAAAGCAGCTGTCACAGGAATTAGCAAGTTTTGCAAACAGCTCAGCTCTGAGGTGGTAGGAGCCCAGGCCAGGACAGGAGGAGTTAACCGAGATGAGTGGGGTGTTATGCAAAGCACCAAATCCCTAAACTCCTGCGAAGATCTTTGATGGCCGTGATCAATAGATTCTCAGACCACACTGACATAACCTTGTCATGCCTCAGCAAGGGTACAGTGGCTAAAAAGGCATGGGGAAGTGGAGAGGTGGGAGGAGAGGGGGAGAGTGAGAGGACAGGGAGGGGATAAAGATATCATGCCCTCCCCTTGCTGGCTCCCCCAGCACCCCCCCTTTCCATACCCACCCCCTCTTCAACAGGCATCACACAGCAAGTGACTGGTAATGGTTCTTTGGCCTTGTATAGCTTTTAAAATCCTTCAGCTGAAGCATCTCAGCTCCAATCGCCAGCAAAGCCTGAGCACCCTTGAGACCCTGGTGCAGATAATCATCATCCACTCAGTGACAAGAAGCTGAGCGCCGCTTCGGTACCAAGGAGACCGAATGTGGCAGGGCACCAAGGTGCCATCTTAGATGCATCCAGGCAGCAGCAGCACACAGGGAGGTGTATGTGTTTGCAAGTTGTTGGGTTTTTTTTCCTCCTTCTCCTTCTTCTTCTTCATCTTCTCCCTCTGTTCTCTCACCCTGCTCAGAGAATCCTCTTTCTTGAGAGGGATGCCGTTAACTCAGCTGCTCTTAGCATGCTTCCTTTTCCCTGTGCCTGCCGGGCCAAATTCAGCCCTGCAGTCAATACTGTTGGAAAAGAAAATGACATTAATTTGTGTAAAAGTGTAATCCAAAGGTGGGTGAGTGATTTTTCTTGCTTTCAGAGAGATGCAGGTTTGAGTTTATGATTACATAAACGAGAGCCAGCTGGTCAGCAGCTTCCTACCTTCCACCCAGCACTTCCCCAGTGCTCTTTCTGCCGAGTGACAGCATTACAGTTAATGGTGTTGCATTATGTATACAATCCACTGTGGATGGTACAGCTGGCTGGGATGGTCCTGCGGACCAGGGTGCTGATGGGTATTTACATGCCCACTGAAAGGTGGGAGAGAGAATGTCTAGAAATAGAAGAAAAGCCTTCCCTAATACACACAGAGCCCACACCCCCAGCTGCTCGGAACAGCGGGTACATGTCCAGGTCGTTTAGATTCCCCTTCTACCTCAGGCCTTGCGCTCACATTTTCCATGCACAGAGCTCCCTGGCAAACTGAAGATGTTCTAAACAAGGACTACTACAGCCCTTGCACATATTAAAAACAGCTCTCCAAACAGCCCAAAATATTTTAATTCCATTGTCAACTTTCCATCTCACACCTTAACAAGGGGCAGTCCTCAGAGAGGGACAGCTCTGAGCAATTGTCCTTTGCAGGCGTGACTTTGTTTAAGGCCAAGTCACCAGGCCTGAAGCCCCTGCCTAGAAGCAGATCGATTTTACTATTAAGCAGTCAGTCGTGCAAAGGAGACGCAGGCATGGAGGTTTGCGAAAGGAAAGACTGTTCTATTCCCGTCGCCGTGAGGACAGAGGTGGGCATTGCATATGCAGCTTTGGGATCCCCCGGGGGCGAATGAACATTAGGCACTGACCACCATGCTGAAAGAGGTCACCATAATGAAGCCGGGGGCCTGGGAGAGTGGGAAAGGAAACCATCTTTGCCATGTAAGAATGGAAAGTTTGCCAGAAACCGAAGCAGGGATTTTAGTATCCCAGAGAGTCTGACGAAACAAAGTTGCGTCTTTAAAAAGTTATTTAAGGGATTGGCCTTCTGTGGGGACGGAGGAGGTGGTAGCCTGTATGTGAAACCCTGGAGAGAGTAGGGGCAGTTTCAGTGTCTGTCTCTCTCCAGCTGCTCCCCCCACAGGGAAGAGCTGTCCTTATGTGCTGACCAAAACCTGAATTCACTTAGTTGACTCATTCATTCAATTAAGTTTATTGATCATCTGCCATATGCTGGGCACTGTCCTAGGTCCTGGGGTTACGACAGCAAACAAAACTAACAAAAATATCTATCCCCGTGGAACTTGCATTCATTCCTCCCATAAAGGACAAAGCCTTTTAGAACATAATGAGAGATGCAAACATTCTTGGGAAAGCTAAGATGTGAGTTACTAAGATCTGTGTTTTCTATGGAATTTTTAATAGGGCAGAGAGAAAGGAGCCCAGAACACCAGGTTGAGAGGGAAGATAGGAGCTGAGGAAGTGAGTGAGGGTGGGCCAGCCAGGGGATAGGGGAGGAGATAAAAAAGCTGAAGCCACTGAGGCAGGATTCACCTGACTTTGCAGTTTTGCTGAGGATTAGTGCTGGTCATGAGAAGGTAATTGTGCAAATAGCCATGGGATTAAAGGCCAAGATTCTGAGTTACCATTATATTTATGAGACAAGTGACTGGTGCACGTCTTCCTCCACTCAGCTATCAGTAAGCCTGGGTCCCAAAACCCAGTCAAGATGCAGAACTCCAGGGCTCTCAGACACTCAGACCAGCAGAGAAACTGTTCCTAATTGCTAGACACCTTCCTGCCCTGTGTTTCCTACAAATCTCTGAAATGCCTGGGACCCCAAGCATGTAGACCAGCACCCCCATTCACTGAGAAAGATCCAGGAATTTGTAAATAACAATTCTTTCCCTAAAATTCTGGTGTGCTGTTCAAACTCACTGAAAACCTAACCTTCATTCTCACCCACCACAACACCCAAGAAAGCCTCAGATTTCATGTCAACACGCCATGCTTTCCCCTTGTCTTCAGAATCATTTGGAGTCCTTGAGTCACAAAAAAAAAAAAAACCTGTCTGCACCTGAATCATCCTGCAGCTAGTGCCCGGTTGCAAAGCAGGAGAGTCCAGCAGCCTCCCTGCCATATGCAATTTCTAGCCCTCTCTTCTCCCAGCCCTGATTCCTTTACCTGAAAGACCACACTCTTTGCTGAGGCCCCTGCCTGCATCATAACATGACAGCTTTGGCTGGAGGTATCACCCATTTCCTTCTCTCACTAAAAAAAAATAACAATAAGGAAAATGGGAAATAAAAGTTTTCAAATTACTTCATAGGAATCAAATACCACCCCAAAAATAAATCAGTTTCTCTGCAATGCCGTGTGTGTGTGTGTGTGTGTGTGTGTGTGTGTGTGTGGGCACGTGCACGTGCAGCCATCCCAAAACTATTGGCCTGAAAACCTGGCTATCCCACAGATGCCCCTTTCGACATAGCTACATAAAAAGAGGTCAGGTCTCCGTCAGCAGACTGAGCTCGGTTTGTGTTCTGCCCAGGGTCACTAAAATAAAAGATCATCCAGACAGCTAAAAGAACCAAAGTTTCTCAGCGTGTACACCGCCTAGGGGTGCTGAAACGAGGTTGAAAATACAACCGGGAATGTGACTGCTGTGCAGGCTGTGAGATTGTGGCTGGCCCAGGATGCTGAATGCCTCGCTGATATATTGGGTGTGGGTCTGGTTATGTAGAGACTGTAGCCAAAGAGAAAGACCAGAATACCCAGAGAGAAGAAGAGACAAAAAGAAAGATCTGGAATGTGACCGACTGATTAAGAGACACAGAACAAGAGGAATGAAACAAAGAGGAGGGGAAGACAGAGAGTGCCCCCTTTCCCTCAATATCCCTAGGGATTAGAAATGAAACCAAAAGGAATAAATTGCCATCCTGCTTGGTGATATTGGAAACTTCTTTTTTCCCTTAAAGGGAGGAAAAGTGGATGATGCCTTCTCTTTATCCAATTTTTAAGTAGTTTTCAGGAAGCTAAAAAAAAATGCAGACAGGGAAAATACAACAGCAGCAACAGGAGGGAAAAAAAGAACCATGAATGAACTCTGAACTGACTGTGAAAGTTCATGTGGTAGATCGAATTATTGTGGTTTTAAGACTCTGATTTCTCCTTGCCAATATTTTTTCCTTCCTGCCCCAAAACTTGTTCCCTCAGACCCGCTTTATTGAACCTTAGACAATAGTGACCTCAGCATAGAGACATATATCCAGAGAGCCTCCGCCTGAGGCAGGAGATCAGGACGCAAAGGGCAAAGGTTTGGTCTTAAGAAAAATTTCTCATGGGGTTGGATCACACTGCCTGGTCAAAGATATTTTTCCCCAACAATGTTTTCTCTCTTAAGATGACTGATTTTCCCAGCCAAAGCTTTTGCTCCCGTTCGGTGGTGTTCGTCTCTTGTGAGTTTGGGTGTAGTTAGCTGCCTTCTGCCACTTCCCATCAAGGCCTTCACTTTTGTAAAGCTGTCACTTCTCCAGGTCTTGGCCTTGTGGTGTCAGCAAGATAGCCCCGGCCGGACTGCATCAGCTCCTGCCTCCCTGCACCCTCCCCACCTACCTTCCACCCCACCCTGTGCCTTCCTTAGGGGCTTCATCATCTCTCAAAACTGCTGGGTTATGTGTGGGCCAATGGGAAGGTATTTGTTAGTTGCAAATGTTCAAATTAACACTTATTCCTGTCTCTGAGTCTGCAGGGAAAATCAAGCCTGACTACTAATTACAGCTTTTGGGGGTGAAAATAAACAGGAATGTGGCAAGTCTAGGCCTTAGTGCAGAAGAAAATTATCTTTATTTGCTTAGAGCATTTTGACATTTGAGGCCCAAAATCTGGAGAGAGGAGCCTGAAGCAGAAAGGGACCTTATCTTGCCCCATTGAGGGGTGGAGGGGTAGAAAGCATGGTGTATTCAGGCCTTGCCACTACACTTAGGGTATCAGAGTTCCAGGGCAGCCTCACTCTTCTTTGCCAGACTTTTTATAGTGGCAAAGGTGAGGCAGAGGTGGGGAGGAAGTTGTCCCAGGAGCCAATGGAAGGTCAGTTGAAGATGCGTGAGCACCATCATCACTGCCCAACAAGCTGGTCCCTTTCTACTGAGCACAGTCAGCCTTCTGTGCCTGAAACAGACCTAGCCTTCCCACTACCACCTACAAAGAGTTTTCTGACTATTCCATCCCTAGAAATCTCTTGCCCTTCATTTTTTGAAGCAGTATCTTCTGCCACCCTTTTGCCAATGTGATTGCTTTGTAGAGTTGGCTAACTTTTATTTATACTTTTCAGCCCTGATGAGATTTTTTTCAATCTGGGAAATATTATCTTCAGTCTCGGGAAATTCTCAGCCCCTATACCCTCAAATATTTTGTCTGCATCTTCTTCTCTGTTTCCTTCTCTTGGGACCACTATTAAATTTATATTGGGGCATTTTGATCTGTCCTCCAGATCTCTTCACTTCTTTTGCATGTTTTTCATCCCTTTAGCTCCTTATGTCACATCTTGAAACATTTCTTCAGCTCAGTCTTCCGGTTTCCTAATTCATTTTTTGCTGTGTACAATAGGCTATTTATCCCACTGTATGTTTTTAAATGTACCTGCAAAGTCTTTCCTCTAGGAAGTGGAATCTAATTCTTCTCGAGTTAGGTCTAGTTTTGATGACGGATCTAATTAATAGAATATGGTGGAAGAGACAGTGTGTAAATTCCAAGACTTCATCATAAAAAACCTTATGCTTTCTTAATCCTTGCTGTCTCTACGATCACATACTCTAGAAGAAGCCGCTGCCATGTTGTATGACTACATCAAGCAGCACTATGGGAACTGAGGCCTTTGGCCAACAACTACATGAATGAACCATCCTAGAAGCAGGTTCTTCGGCCCCAGTCAAGACTTCAGATGACTGCAGAGTTTGGCTCATGTATTAACTATAACCTCATGAGAGATCCTGTACTAAAATCAACCAGCTAAACTATGCCTGAATGATGACACAAAGAAACTATGAAATAATAAGTGTTTACTGTTTTAAGCTACTAATTTTTAGCATGATTTGTTAACTAAAACACCCATGGACTAAATTATTTTATTCTAATAACTATTTCTTCATTTATGAAGTTTCTAATCTTTTCCTAACCACCTGTTCTTTTTTCACTGTGTTCTGTTCTTATTTCATCATATCTGTGTCCTCACTTATCTTTGAAAACATTTAGCTAATTTTTTGTTTTCTTTTTCTTTTTTTTTTAGATTGCTCTATTATCTCTTTTCCTTGGATGTTGGTTCCTCCATTTTCTGAATTTGTTACTCATCTTTCATGGTGTTGAACTTCCTGGGCATTTTGTAATTTTTGTTTGTGAACTTATCTTTTAGGAAAATTGACTGATACGTGTGTGTGTGTATATATCAACATATACTCAGTATATGTTGATGCCTAGTACATAGCAGGTACTGTTCTCAACACTGAAAACACAAAAATGACCAAGGCCCCACAGGGTTCACTGGCTAATGGAATGACAGACATGTAGACACATAACTGTAATAATATACAGTATGTATATTGTTTGTTTATATTACATATACATTCTAAAAACCCAAGGCAGTTTTAAGGAGGATTTGATACTAAGGCTCAGGCTTCTCACCTCAAAGTAATCTGCTCACTGGCCCTGGCCCTGAACACACAGGATGATGCCAAGATCTTGTCATGCTGGGTGGCATTCCTCAGACCCTTAGCCATAAGCCTAGGCACAAAAGCAAGGTGTTTCTGCTGCCCCCTCCCACCTTTAATGGGGAGTGTGTTTTCAGGCCTTAGCTCTACACAGGTTGTATAATTACAGCCCCAGGTTCTCCAGCTAATGGGATTCCAGTTGGAGTCCGTTGATTAGTCCACTTTGATTCCCACTCCCCACAAGCCTAACAGCTAAGGCCTCCAAATTCCAGTATGACCTTTGTGTTAAATTACTTTAGAGAAACCTCTCCATATCTGATAATGGAAATTTACTCTTGTTTAAGAATGGCTATGTGCTTGTAAAACTTTTCTCTTATCATTTGTGAGTATTCAAGGTAGAAAGGGGAGGCTGCAGCCTGTGGCCAATGTATTTGCCTTATACCAGAAGTCGTATTTGCTAACTTTCCACATTTATTTTTCCTCTCTCCCCAATCCCACCTTAAGCTTCTAAAAGTCAGGGACAAGCTCATGCTCCTTTTTCTTATTCTTCTTCTAACTGGAAGAGAATAATGCGTTAAACATGGAAGCTGCTCTAAATATTTTTGATTGACTGACAGTTAAGGGGATGACATGATGGGGCAATCTGGGAAGAAAAAGAAATAATATTTTATCAGGCCTTGTGACCCTTAGGTCTCAAGTTTGGAACCCTCTAAGTAGGTTGTTCTTAAGCTTTTCTGGATCATATACACTTTGAAAACCTAATTAGATCTCTGCAGAATAAAAAAAAATGTGCAACACACAAATTCATAAAATTCTGCATTCTATTTCAGGAATCTAAGCAGTTTAAAAAAAATCTTAAAAAATAAAAATGTTTCTTCTTTTGGTGGTGTGAGTTATTTTTTTCCTGCTGCTTACCAAGGATGCTTTTTTAAATCATTAGGAATAACCCTGTCCAGTGTCTTCTCTGACAGTTGCGGAAGCTGAGGGCTTGCAAGCCTGTGTGGGGGCAGCCAGAGCAAATATTGGACTGACTGCTTGCTACATGTAGCTTCAGGTCCAACTGCTTTCCATGATCTAGACTGCTTCTCCTCCTAATGTTAAGAACAGGTACACCACTATGTGGTAGCATCACAAAAAAAAGTTAGAATTGACTTTAATCTTGTCAACAAAGGATGATAATTTGTTACAAATATGGAACACATACTTCACTTGTTCTACAAATAATCTTTGTACCTGATCTTTTGTTGTGGATCAATAAAGTCAACTGGTAAAAAAGGGACCTGCCTCAGGCCCCTTAGCCAGCTGAGCTCATGCCATGCTCCCATCTGTTCAAGGTCAATCCAACCAACATTTATTGATGCCTAGTATATACCAGGCACTGCTCTCAACACTGAAAACACAAAAATGACCAAGGCCCCACAGGGTTCGCTGGCTAATGGGATGGCAGGTGTGTAGACACATAGCTGTAATAAAAGAGAAGTGCTGAACTAGAGGTCTGCACAAAATAGAGGCCCAAAGCAGGGGCTTTTAACTCAGTGCGTTTGTGATGGGGAGGCAGGAGGGGTTGACTAGTGCTGCGGAGAAGGGAGTCAGTGGCAAAAGATAAGGCTAGAATAATTGATAGAGGCTAAATTCTAGAAAATTTGTTTTGCCATGTCAAGGACTTAAGATTGTATCCTGAAGGTAATGGAGGAGTACTGAAGAATTTTACATAGGAAAGGAACACACTCAGATTTCAATTTAAAAAGACTCTTCCAGAAAAGAAAATTACAGTTAGTTTGAAACAAGTAGAAATTGTTTCAATCACATCCTCAATGCACCCTAGAACAAATCTAGAGATTAACAAAAATTACAACACTCCTTCCAAAAAATAGTCCCAGCTCCTTAAAAATGTCAAAATTCACTTATGAATAATTTTCAGTTAAAGAGGAAATAACAGTTCAATTCAGACTACGCAGAAAATTTTATACATGAATTTAGGAGATGCTCTCAAATCCAGAGTCAGAGAAAAAACATACAGCCTTAAATGGTTTCATCAGTAATTTTAAAAAGATAAGAATAAACTAAAATTTCAAATCAAATAATTTAGAAAAAGTAAATAAGATGCAATTAACAAAAATAAAATGGAAGTGAATGTATTTTTAAAAGAAAAAGAATAGAACATAATTTTAAGACAAAAAATAAAAATTCAAAATTAGGAGTAAAAATGTACATAAATCTACAGACATGAAAATATTTTTACTTAAACCAGAATTTCATGTGCCACACTACAACAAATCTAAAACATCAAATCTCTGTAAAATAGATAATTTTCTAAGAAAATGTAGACTACCAAAATTATATCCAAAAGTTGAACAAGCAAATGCTATGGAAGAAATTGGAAAAGTTTGCCAAGAGATTAGAATCGGAAGGTTTTACGGGCAAATTCTTTCAAAATTTTAAGAAATCAACTATTCTTTTGTTACATAAAATGTTCCAGACCATATAATTTCTTTAAAGGCTCTCGTTTAATTTGCCAAGTTAGCATAATGCCAATACAAAAATCTGACAGAGACAATAGGCAATACAATGTCAATACAAAAATCAGACAAAGCACAATAAAGTCTTACAAAACTTCAGCCAATCTTATATTAGAATAGATAAAAAGATCAAAGTATATCAAGGGCAGGTTAAGTATGTTCATCATCCCCAATATAGCTGAATTTTTTTCCTGATATTTAGCCAATGCAGTAAGACAAGAAATATGAAATGCCAACATTGACAATAAGACCAAATGAACACTGTTTGCATAATCAACAACCCAGAAAACTAAAATTAATAAACCATTGAAACTAATTACCCAGTAAACTAGACAATTACAAAATAAATATATCTAAAACAATAGCTTCTTAAATAACAACAATAGCCACCTAGTAAATATAATGGTTAAAGGGGTCCATTTCAAATAGCAACAAAAATATAAAGTACCTTAAAATAAATTTAACATATGGGACTGCTATAAAGAAAACAACATGCTTTACAAAGATCCATAAAGAATATTTGAAACTAGAAATGCTATATCATGAGCATGGAAGATAAGATGTAATACTGAAAGCTATAAATTCTCCCCAAGTTAATGGAGTTTTACTCAAAACCACAATGGGAATTTTTAGAATCTGAAAGAAACAAAAGATTCTGACTTTCAAAAATTCTTTTGAAAAATTTAAAATGAGAAGAACTTGAACTTCATCTGCCAGAACAAATTAGAAATCTAGCAAATAAAACGATGCAGAGTAAAACAGAACAGAAAGCACCAAAACAGACCCAATCAGATAAGGATTTCATCTAAGAAAATGTGACATTTCAAATCAACAGGAAAAGATAAAATTATTAAGAAGTTGTTTCAGGACAACTATGTAACTATTTGGAAGAAAATGTAAATTCAATCCTTACTTCACATGGCATGCCAAAATTTCAAATAAATTTAGAAAATCAAATGTCCAAAATATAATAATAAAAGAACAAAAACATAGGTGAATATTGATCTGATGGTGAATATGAAAAAGTTTTCTATAAATAAAATTAGGAAGGATGGTAAGCAGAGAGAAAGGGAAAGAGAGAAGAAATATTAATAGACTTAACTATAACAAAGTTACTTCTAGAAATAAACATGACATATACAAATGCCAAAGACAAATACTAACTTGATTTAAAAAATTTGCAACATATAACAGTTAATATGCTGATAACCAGCTTTAGCAAATATATATATGAAAAATTAAAATATTGTTAAAAATAGACAAATGGCATGAACAAGCAACTCAAAAATGAAAACTGCAAATAATGTATAGTATTTGAAAAAAAAGTTTAGCTTCAATTATAAGCAAAGAAATTCAAATTAAAACAAGGCACTACATTTTGTTTAATTTCAAAAATTGAAATACCCAAGGCTGGTGAAGACATAGGGCAATGACTTTTGATACAGTTGACCCTTGAACAACACAGGTTTGAAGTGCATGTATCCACTTATGCATGGATTTTTTCCAATATATATTGAAAATCCTTGGAAGATTTTTCAACTATTTAAAAGACTTGCAGAACTGCATAGACTAGAAATACCGAAAAAATTAAGAAAAAGGTATGTCATGAATATATAAACCATATGTAGATACTAGTCTATTTTATCATTTACTACCATAAAGTATACATAAATCTATTATAAAAAGTTAGAATTTATCAAGACATATGCACACAAATACAGAACATACATGGTATCATTCATAGTCAAGAGATATGTAAACAAATGTGAAGATATAGTATTAAATCAGAGCTGCAAAAAATGAACTGCAGTACATACTGTACTACTGTAGTCGTTTCATAGATACCTCCTGTTGCTATTGTGGTGACTCAAGTGTTACAAGTATCCACTTAAATCGCCACTGTGTGATTCTAATCATCTTCGGGTGAGCAGTTCCTCTCTCCAGTAAATTGTGTATCATAGTGAAAAGTGATCTCTTGTGGTTCTCTCATACTTTTCATCGTGTTTAGTGCAATGCCATAAACCTCGAATAACACCATGGGATACACACGAAGTGCTGCTAGTGATGCTGGAAGTACTCCCAAGAAGCAGAGAAAAGTCGTGACATTACAGGAAAAAGTTGGATTGCTTGATATGTGCCATAGACAAGGTCTGCAGCTGTATTTGCCTATTTCAGACAAACAATTCATCTTGTAAACAGATGATGTCATCTTACATTATCAGTAAATACAGCACAGTACTGCAAATGTCTTTTCCTTCTGATCTTTTTAATAACATTTTCTTTTCCCTAGCTTACTTTATTGTAAGAATATAGTATATATACATATAACATAAAAATATGTGTTAATCAATCATTTATGTTATCAGTGGGGCTTCTGGTCAACAGCAGGCTGTTAATAGTTAAGTTTTCAAGGAGTCAAAAGTTATACCTGAATTTTTCAAGTGCACAGGCCATCAGTGCCCCTAACCCCCATATTTTTCAAGAATCAACTGTATATTCTGTTAGCAGAGCTTTATATTAATACAACACTTCTGAGGGGCAATTTAGTAATATGTATCAAAAGCCACACAAATATCCACCCTTTTGACCCAGGTTTTCTACCTCTCAAATTTTACGCTAAGAAAATGATCAAAGCTGCTTACAAAGATATGCAAACAAGAATATTCTTTGCAGTATTACGTCCATAAAGGAGAGTTTGAACCCTCTAAAATATATAATAGGGCCTCGATTATGTGACTTGCAGCACATTCAACTATACACTCATGAAAATTTTTATTGCAGATTCTCTAACAGCATAAGAAAATGTTCAAGATACTTAAAGAGAATGTTACAAAAGAGTATGCATAATATAATCTTAATCGTGCTTTAAAATTTTAATCACAAAATTTGTTATTTAATGTCTGTCGTGTTCACTCTAATGGTCCTAGAAGGTTCTCATCTCTGGCTGCAAGTTAGAATAGTCAGGAATGCTTTTGCGAAATATCCCTGCCTGGGTCTCACCCAAAATTAAATTAAATCAGAATCTCTGTGGGTGGTTTGGTTTTAATTTCTCCAAGTGATTCTAATGTGCAGTCACTGTCAGAAACTTTCTGTTGTATAGAGCTGCGATTCTCACCGTGGTCCATTTTGCCCCCAGGGAACATCTGGCAGTATCTGGGGACACTATTCGTTGTCTCAACTTGGAGTAAGGGATGCTACTGGCATCTAGTGGGTAGAGACCAGTTTTATGGACTGAATTTGCCCCTCCTAAAATCCTTATGTTGAAGTCCTAATCCCCAGTAACTAAGAATGTAAATGTACTTGGAGATAAGGTCTTTAAAGAGGTGATTAAGTTAAAGTGAGGCCTTTAGAGTGGGGCCCTAATCCAATAAGGCCAGCACCCTTATAAGAAGAAGAAAGGAACCAGGGATGTGGTCGCACAGAGGAAAGGCCACATGAGGACACAGCAATAAGGCTGCAGCCCACAAGCCAAGGAGAAAGGCCTCAGGAGAAATCAACCCTACTGGCACCTTGATCTTGGACTTACAGCCTTCAGAGCTTTGAGAAAATAAGTTTCCATGGCTTATGCCTCTCAGCCTGTGGCATTGTTAGGGCAGCCCTAGCAACTAATACAACAGGAATGCTGCTAAACATCATACAGTGCACAGAACATTCCCCACAACAAAGAATTATCTGACCCAAAATGTCCATAGTGCCAAGATTAAGAACTCCCTAGAGCCTAGGTCTGTGCTGTGTGTAGATAACCAATAAATATTTTCTTACCTAGGTGAATGACATATTTAATAGGTAGAAATCATCAGGACTTGGTCACCCATTGAATGTGACAAGAGAGGGAGAGGGAAGAGTCAGGAATGGCAGCCAGATTTCTGGTTGGGGTGACCAAGTGAAGGGAAAGAGCAGAATCCCGGAAAGTGGACAGGAGGGAGTGGGGGATAAGGTGGGAGCTGAGGGAGTGGGGGCATCCCGTGCAGGTGCTCAGTGGCTGAGCAGAAATAGGTTTCCGGAAATGAGAACTAGGCAATTGCTAGCATACAAGCCATAGTTCAGCAACCGCGGGGAGACAAGGCTGCCTGGAGGAGCATCTAGAATGAGCAAAGTGCCAGCTATGGAACCTTGATGACTGTAAATACTTAAAGAGTGGGCAGAGGAAAAGGAGGACAGAGGCACTACGGGGGCTTTAGTGCAAGGGCAGTTCATGGAAGCTGCAACGGTGAGTCCTACGGACCTATGTCACTGAGCTATCCTACCCAATTATCCAACCAAACACGAAGGTAGGTGTTGGGGAGATGTTTGTACATGTGGTTGGCCTCTATAATCAGATAACTTTAAGTAATGGAAATTAGTCTCAATAATGTGGGTAGGCCTCATCCAATCAGTTGAAAGGCCTTAAAAACTAAACTGAGGTTCCCCTGAGAAAGAAGAAATACCACCTGTCAAGGGCAGCTTTAGCTCCTGCCTGAGAGTTTCCAACCCACCAGCCTGCCCCCCAGGGTTCTGACTTGCCAGCCCCTTGTTCTGTTTCTCTGAAGAACCCTGATGGATACAGAAGCCAAAGAGGGGCTCCAGGAGAAGGGAAGCTGATGGCTCCGTTCTGCACCCTCACACATTGGCTGTGGCACATATGACTGAAAAATAAAGGGTATTCCATACCCATGGCAAGAGCTCAGAAGAGAAATCAAGAAAAAAGAGGAGAGGTCTAGGAGAGAGGGCAGAGGAAAGCTTCAAAACTGTGTGCCCACTGGACACAGTGGCTCACACCTGTAATCCCAACACCTTAGGAGGCCAAGGCAGGAAGATCACTTGAACCCAGGAATTCGCGACCAGCCTGGGCAATAAAGTAAGACCTTGTCTCTACAAAAAAATAGACAAAACTAGCCAGGTGTGGTGGTGAACACCTGTGGTCCCAGCTACTGGGGAGGCTGAGGTGGGAGGATTGCTTGAGCCCAGGAGATTCAAGGCCGCAGTGAGCCATGATCGCACCACTATGCCCCAGCCTGGGTGATAGAACAAGACCCTTTCTCAAAAATAAGTAAAGGAAACTGTGTGCCTACCTGTGGAAATGAGAAAGACAGGACAGGGCAACATGTAGAGACCAAGTCAGGAAACAAGCGCCCAGCTGTCCCTCCCTACACCCATCACTACTTGAGCGCTCACCACACCCTGAGAGCTGTCAGCAGTTTACACGCACTAATTCTCATTACAGTCCTTCCAGGGGGGAGTTTTCATCTTTATTTTATACAGGTGGCAACTGGACCACTGTGAGAGACCGAAGAATTACCCTAGACCTTTTGCTAGCATGTAGAAGAACCCAGAACCAAACTCAGGCCTCTCGGATTCCACACTTCTGCTATTCACCACAAAGCTGTTATTGTGCAAGCTGCTTGGTCTGGTGGAAACGTTAGGAGTGGAGAAATGGAGTTCTAAGGCCAACTCTGCCCTGATGGGCTGCCGGGTGTCCACAGGCAGGTAGCAGGTGGTAGGAGTCATCTGCTGTCATGGAACAGCCCAGGCTTCAGGGTCATACACCTAGAGCTGCATCTCAAGTCTACCATTTACCAATTGGGTGCTCTTGGGCATATCTCTTACCCTTCCCAAAATTCAGCCTCCCCATCTCCAAAAGAGCGATAAATTATATCTTTAAAAGATGGTATTTTTTGAGACAGCATGCGCAAGGCACAAAGCACATAGAAAGTGCCCAAGAATTGGGAATTCCAGTCCATTTTCAGTGTTCACTGGTCCTTGGTTTTCTCACACATTCCACCTCCTGCAGGGTTGTTGGGCTGCTCCAATGAGATGATAAATGCAAATGTACTTGACAAATTCAAGGCATCATCACCATGGAAAGACAGGATACACACACTATATTTTATACAAAATTTAGCCACCAGTTGTACAACCCCGAGCAAGTCATAGAAACTTCCTGTGCCTCAGTTTCCCCGTGTGAAAACCAGGCAAAGTGAAAGCTGCTCCACCCACCCCCACACTTAGCCTTACGAGGACACATAAGTGCAATTTGTAATAATTATACATTGAATTTCAGGCCATACGGTTATACTGGATTTCTAAACAGCCAGATGACATTCCTAGCCCCCTTCCCCAAAATCGTATCATGGAATATCATCCCCGTCACTAGCTCTAACTTTGTGGAATTCTCTTTTGCTGTTTCAACCCCTGATTTGATTCACATCTCCTATCTTGCTCCCGCTGTCATTTTCTCTCCCAGACTCAACACGTGGCTGCACCGATATCCTCCCTCTGTTTCCTTTCTTGTTACTACATGTCCAGTAGCATTGCATAAAAGTGCTCAAAGGGAAGGGTCAAGCTCCGTTTCAAGTCTGAGGTCTGGGATTACATCAAATCCGTAACGTTTATCTGACCTCGCCATCAGCCAAATACTTCCCAATTTAAGTCTCAGTCACATCAAGAGAAGACTGAATAGTACAGGCTGCAGAGTGCCCTGCTTTCGCCTCCATTTTTCTTACTTAATTCCAAGCGTATGGCTCCCAAACCCACTTAGGCCCTGTAATGGTCACAAGCAGTGTGGCCATTGGCAACCAGGCAGCATTTCACCTGAGGCAGCTCAGGGACTGCGGGGCTGCTGTCAGAGCAAACAGACCGCCTCCATGGACTGGAGGGAGCAAGGCTCACACAAAGGGCTTTTTGTTTCAGTTAAATAAGAAGTCATTTTGAGCCCAATTTCCAAAGTGCCTCACTCTCCACGTGCCTTGGGCACACAGTGAACATTACTATTGTATGGCAGAACTCCCCTGTTCTACCTCACACAGCCCAAACTTAGAGGCAGGGGATATTGGCTTAGGAGGTGCCCCCTGGCAGCAGATGGGGTGTGCATCTGTTATCTTGTCCCTTGTGCAGAAATTTATCTTATTGCCACTAAATCAACAATGCATAAACAATAGGGTGCATCCCTAGTGCCTAGGACAGTGCCTGAAACCCCGGGGAAACATGATGAATATTTGTGCAGTGAATAAGCAAATGAATAAAAATAAAAGGAATAAAAAGTTCACGTGGGGGTTAGAAGGAAAAATAGTTTCAGATTTTGTTTTGTTTTGCTTTGTATTTAAATGAAAGAGGAGAAGAAAGAACTATAATTTGAGTTCCAAATTAGAAGGCAACTAGACCCAGGAAAGAGTAAGTCATTTGTTTGACCATTTGGGGGCATAGCAGTCAGCCAGCAGGTACCCAAAACAGACAGTGCAAGGCACAACTCCAGAAATACTTCCAGGTTCGAGAAGTCTCTGTGACTTCTGCCCCCTCAGCCTCCACTCTTCACTTCTGCCTTGTTTTGCTCTCCCTGCTCTGCGTACACAACCTGAATGAGGTTACTTAGCCCTGACAGCTTTCTCTGGGGAGCAATTAGAGCCTTTAAGATCTTACCTATGCTTCACCAGAAGTCTTCTCATTAAATAGTTACTTCAAATGTTCCCAGGGCTGAAAACATTAAGATTTAAAGGGAACAATTGACTGCTTTTTTTCCATGCCAAATCAGACCGTTGTTTAACATGGTGAGAGCTACCACTGAGGTTACTGAAGTAGAAAAAGGGGGTTATATGTTGCTGGAGAACAGAAACTTAGCAGGGAAATTAAAAACAAGACAGGCTCTGGGACCAAGTAAGTCAAAGTGATGTCTTCAAGGAATCAGGCTTTGCAGAGGTCCTGCGGCCCAAAAGTCAGACCCTCAATACCCTCCAGGGCTTCCAAAGCAACTCTGTTCTGCATCCCATCTCACAAAATAATTGGGAGCTACCAGCAAGATGCCTGCCACGAGAGGGCAGCTTCCTGGAGGGGGGCCCTTGAAGGATGGCGAGCCCAGCAAGGACAAAGCGTGGCAGGGTGAAGAGCAGTGTTTGAGACAGCAGGGCCCATCTGAGCCTGGAAGCTTGTTTTGAAGCAGAAGCTGAAGTTCTCCTTTCTGACCATGCCCCACCCTGCCGAGAGAACCTTGCCCTTCATGGGAAAGTGATTTGGGGAGCACCAAAGTCATCTGTGTCTTAGTTGTGTGGGGCATTGAGCTGTCTTGGAATTGTGACTCATCCACTCATGCATTGTGGTTTAACATAGGGTTCCAATGTATTAAAATTTATTCATAATTTCTAAATGGTATCAGGTCAGATTCGAAGATGAAAATAAACATCATCTCCTTCAAAGTTGAAGTCAATTAACCCAGGACAGGAAGAAGACTTCTAAGTGAGCAAAGAAAGAGGAACACATTTGTTTGGTGTCCAGCTCAGGATACATGGAAAACATTCCTTGGTTCCTTTTAGTGCGCATGGGCTTCTGTTTCCCAGAACTGTCCCAGAAAGATGTCTTCACTTTTCTAAGCTGCAAGTATACATAAGCATCAGGATAAGTCAGTAATTAAATCCCTACACAAAGCAAACTCAGATTTTTTTTTGCGTGTGTGTGTTCTTCATAATTTCCCATGTAGGCCTTGTTCTCTTGGCAGGGTGGAGCCCTGTTAAAAAGACCAAGCTGACATAAGCTTGCCTTCTAGCTTCCTGGGCTCCTTCTAGTTTCCTGGGAGCTGGACCCTATGCCCAGCACTCCCCCTTGCCATTCCCCAGTTGACATTGCCATGGTTGGTGATCACTTCATGACAGAAGCCACCTTCCTAGGCATCATTCTTTCCAGGGTCCCTGGAAGGTTATCTAGGCCTTTTGTTCTGAATAAGACTTCGAATTTTCATCAGACCTTCTGTACACATCTCCTACAGGGAACTTTGGCTCTATCTTTGCCAATCCTTTCTATAATGGGGGAAAATCTCATGATAGCATTCTTGCCTCCCCATTGTAGTCACAACTCAAACTGCCAGCCTCTCTTGCAGTTAGAATGCAGGCCTGTGACATAGTTCTGTCTTTGTACACACCTGCATAAGATTTTGCTTTAGAAATGAAGTGAGCAGTGTAAGGAACTGGGCTCAGCAAGGGAATCCCTTCGCTGACACGGTAGCATCAGTTCTTGGGAAGCAGCAGTGCACAGGGTAGAAATGACAAGTTCTTATCATTGAGTTCTCAGTAGCTGCAATGGTGGTTTCATCTTCAGGCCAGTTCTACAGTGCGGTTGGGGCACTTTTTCTGGAAACTTAACCTGGAATTTGCTTTCCCTGCCCCTCAACTCCTAATGATCCCAAATATTCAATAGATCCATTTTATTCTTGAAACAGGTGTTGCCGTTGTCTGTAACCAAGAATGTTGACAGTGGGCATTTCAGGAGCTGAGGGCATTTCGGGGGATCACTCTTCTCCTGGTCTTCAGTGACAGGGTGGGAGGCAAGGATCATCCCTTCCTGGGGATATAGAAAATTCATTCATTCACTCAATATATAGCAAACTTGTGAGTTAGGAGCAATCCTTTCTGAGAATCAGTGATGTCTGCAGATGTAAATTCCTTTGACACCCACATAAAGCTATAGCATAGAGGAGCTTCAAAACACACAGGCTTAAGCTTCCACACACACCCCTTTGCCCTCCTTCCCTGGCCCTCTCTTGATCTTTACTTCAATCCTCTCCAGGCAACCAGATCTCTCAGACCCTTCTCCTCCACTAACCTCAACCAAATTTGAAATCAACCTCTTTAAGGTTTAATGACCAAAATGGCTTGGAATGTTATCCTTTGCCAGAAGTATTTGTATGATACAGGAACTAGAGCCTTGGACTAAAAGGACAATGTCTCCTAGTGAAATTTCAGGCATCAGCCAGTCAATAAAGAAAATTTGTGTTTGATTTGCTTCAATTTTCATCTATTTGTTTGTTTTTACCAATGAGGATTTCCCTGGGAGACTACAAAGCTGTCATCTAGGAAGAAAGGACTCAACATTTGTGGGCCATCTACATATATGCAGGTGGTGTGAAGGATGCTTTTTCCAACATGACCACACTTACCCTGGCCCTCACCATTCCAGCCACACTGGCCACCTCGCTGCTCCTCCAACATGACACATGCTCTCTGGCCTGGGCCTTTGCACTGACCAGTCCCTCTGCCTGCAGCACCCTTTCCCCAAAGATCTCCATGGCCCACTTCTTTATCTTCAGGTATCTGCTCAAATGTCTGCAAGTAGACACACCTTCCCTGACCACCTGCCCTCCACCCATCATGCTTGGTATTCTCACTCCCCCAACTCTGCTTTATTAGTTCCCCACATCACTAATCGCCACATGGCATACTTACTTAGTAATTCACTGTCCAGCTGCTCCCAGCCCCAACCACCACCACTAGAAGATCAGTTCTAAACAGGCAGGGATTTTGTGTTTGCTCACTGCTCCTCTCCCCAGCACCTAGATCAATTATCAACACAGAGTAAGTGCTCAACAAAATCTGTTGACTAAATTAAACTCATACAGAATGATGCAAATATCATTCTAACTTTCAGAAAAATAGCGATGTTTAGAAAAATTAAATTGTTCAAGGTTCATTAATCCATTAAGCCTTGCACCCAAACCTGAATCTGTGCAGCAAGAAAGACCGAGCTTCCTCACCCCTTCCTCCCTAGGCAAGTTAATCAGAGGGAGTATTCAGGGTCATGCCCTCAGCTCCTCAGTGGCCATCCAACCCCTTCCTGATGGGTAACACTTGCATAGCTTAAGGTAACATCAGTTTCTACAACTGGTAAACCTTCATATATAAGTGGGTTAACCCAATAAAAGAGTGTGATACAGGTATGCTTGGTAGGAACATTCTCCTCCAAGTGGTGAATCAGGGACCCAGGCTCTTTCTGATTTATGGATCAACTACCTTCAACACATGGCTCTCAAGGTGGTCCTGGAAATCACTTCCATTCTAGCCATGGAATGAGCATGAAGATCACCTAAGGGGGTAGAGGAGAAACACTTCTACTCACATGACATTGGCCAGCTCTCAGTCACATGGCTACACCCAACTGCAAGGGAGTCTGGGAAATATAGTGTGGCCATGAGCCCAAGAAGAGGAGAAAAGAGGTGTGGTGATAAATAACCAGTCTCAGAGGATCCCCTGTCATCTTCTATTAGTAACCTAGGTTTTAGAGTAGGCCAACTGCTGAATGGAAAGGTACCAGGAAAGTGTTTAACCACCTAGACCTGGAATTCAAGCAATCTTGGGCTCATGTTCCAGGCTCACCATTGACTAGATACTTAACCTTAGTCTAGGTACTTACCTGTCTGAGTCTCAGTTTCCTCAGCTATAAAATAGGGACAGTACTAGTAACTACCTCATTGGGTTGTGGTGAGGAACAGCTGAGATCATGCCTGTTGGGTATGTAGCAGTCCTGACCAGAACTGTTATGAGGGAAAAGATGCTCCAAAAAGGGGTCCCAGCTTCCTCCCCCAGTGCTCTTACATCCCAGCAGGCCAGCAATTCAGAGAGCCACTCTGGGTCTCAAAGCTTAAATGAGACAAGGTTTGTCCCCATTTGACAAATGACCTGTGAGTCCTCTCTGTTGCATCCTATTGATGGTTTCTGACAAATCCCACAGTATCAGTTTGCATAAGTAAGTTTGAAATGCCCTTTCCATTAACAGAGGAGCTCTGCTATTAACTAATTACACTTTGGCTTTTCCTGTGTAAGCCACCGTGCCAGGGAGAAGAGGCCAAGCGTGAGGTGGCCTCTGGTGTGGCAAGAAGGTTTGTGCAGACTGGGATGGGCAGGGGCTGGGGTGAACGTGGGGGCTGCTCCTTTCTGTCCTTTCCTTTCTATAAATCCAGTTATTGGGACAGTGACCTTTGGAGGAGTGGCTCCCAATTTCCCACACGAATGTTTTCAAAGGATTTGGGACAACTCCAGTTTTCAGAAAACTGCTGATATTCAGAAAAAGACTAAATGCACTGCTCAAGGTTACGAGAGTACCTGAATCCATTGTGAGGTGGGGTCCTGACAGAAGAGCACTGTTCTCAGAAGCTACAGCCTCCAACGTGGTTCTGACCCCAGGGCCGACACCTGCCAGGTCAGTCCCAGGCCTGACCGGGGAGCAGTGGTCTGCCTATTCTGTCTTCTGCCATGCCTTCCTCCATGTTGGTCAAGAAAAAATTTTAAAAGCCTAGGTTTTAGAGTGAGTCAGATGTGGGTTCAAATCCCAGCTCTGCCACTTACCTCCAGCAAGTTATACCCCGACTTGGAGTCTCAGCATGCTTGTGCGTTAAATGAGACCTAGCTCAAGGAGTTACCACAGGATTAACTGTGGAAAAGGGTAGCTCCGAGAAGAAACCAAGGAAACATTAGTAGGTAGGTGTTCCTACCCTACTCTCACCCTGAAATCACTCCCTTTTCTGTAAGCCTTGATGTCACCAAGCTGAAAATGCTTTTGAGGGATTGCCCCTCTCCAGTGTATTCTTACTGTAACAATAGATGCATTGGGTAGCTGACGGGTGAGGAGTTTGCCATGCCTTGAATATTGAGATTTAGACATCTCTGTAACACTGACGGGTGGGCCCGACAGAAATCCATTTAATTGGTTCTGAAGAGCCTCTTGGGGGGCAACTGCAAGTGAGAGAAGGAGTCACAGATTATGAGCTTTATCCAATAGAAAGCTTTTGACATAGGAAAGGAATTGGGATTTTGAGTTAGGATCACTCAAATCTATTCCTATCCCAGCTGCATAGATCGGCATCTAGTTACTGGAAATAGAAAGTAAATAAATAAAAACAAAAAGAACGAGCTCCACTTCCATTTAGGTTGCCAAAAATTGCTGAAGACTTGCTCCCATCCTAACAATGAGAATGAACCAGGTAAGCTACAATATCACAATTGTTTAAAACCTATCAGAGAGCTTCAGATGCAAAGAAGTGAAATGAACTAAATTTCAGAAAGTGAAGATTCCTTCCTAGCAAGAAGAGAGACATTTTCATCACTGGGAAGGAGCAGAGAAAGATGAATCTGCCATGGATAGGGGTAAGGAGAAACCACCAAACTTTTTTTTTAATTAATTTTGTTTTTTTAAATTTATTTATTTTATTTATTTATTTTTTTATTTTTTGAGACAGAGTCCTGCTCTGTCGCCCAGACCGGAGTGTAGTGGCACAATCTCGGCTCACTGCAACCTCTGCCTCCGGGTTCAAGCGATTATCTTTCTCAGCCTCCCGAGTAGCTGGGATTACAGGTGCCTGCCACCATGCCCAGCTAATTTTTGTATTTTTAGCAGAGACAGGGTTTCACCATGTTGTCCAGGCTGTTCTCAAACTCCTGGCCTCAGGTGATCTGCCTGCCTCGGCCTCCCAAAGTGCTGAGATTATAGACATGAGCCACCGCACCCAGCCCCACCAAACTTTTAATAGAATTGCAGCAGTGAGTGGGTTGGCATGGCAGATTAAGACCCTGGGGAGTGTGTGTCTGTACCAGTCCACAACCCTCTGCTATTGTTCTTATCTAGTGCACAGGGCCAGTATGCTGTAGGGCTAGGGATGGTAGATTACCCTGAGATATCCAGGGCCTTCTCCAAGTGCAACGCCGAAGCTGGGGTAGGGCAGGAGGTCCAAGAGAAATCCCTCTGAGGCACCCGTGGCCTCCACTGAGCGCACTGCTACCGTCCTCCAAAGACGCAAGCAGGACCACTGGGTGGAGAACTCTCAAGAGGCAGACATTTGGGGGCAACGCTGGAGGGCAAAGAGAACACTCCAGTGGGAAAAAGAAGAATAAAAGCTGGCAGCTATGTTGTAAAGCATAAAGAATTTTCTAGAATCTCACCAGTGTTCAGATCCCAAACTCTGCTGAAGGGAAAGCCATGACCCTTTCTTCAAATTGTTTGAAGCCAGTTGCAAAATAAGTCTAAGAAAAAAAGTGGAATGTTAACAAGGAAAATGTATTTTTTCTTCTTTTTTTTGAGATAGCAGCCAAGTACTTTCCAAAATCAACCCATGGATCCAGGAAGCTCAGTGAACCCAAATAGATAAATACAAGGAAAACCATACCTAGACATCACACACACACACACACACACACACACACAGACACACACACAATATGTATATTTCCAACTTCTGTAGAAAAAAAAGACTCACTGTTAAAAGCAAAAATGATAATATATTATGGAGTTTATAGCATAAATAGAAGTAAAATATATGAAAACAATAGCATAAAGGGCAAGAAGCAGGTGAATGTAATTATATTGCTGTTTCTTGCATTGCCATTCATTAGGAATGTATTTGAAAGTAAACTGTGATAACTTAAAATACACAGTCTAATTTCTAAAGAGCAAACACTATAAAAATAATACAAAAAGTATAGCTACAAAGTCAATAAAGAAGACAAAATAGAGTAATAAAAAAATACTTGATTTACCCTAAAAGAATACAGGAAAAAAATGAAGCAACGTACAATGAATAGATATGACAAATACCGGAATGATAAACTTAAACCCAATCATAAATGTTATTGTAGTAAATGTAAATAGATTAAATACATCAACTGTTTAAGGCAGAAATTGTCAGATTGAATAGAAAAGCAAGACTTACCTATATGCAATTTAAAAGTAACATGTTAATTATTAATATAAAAACAGAGATAAAAGAAGATAGATTGGGCTGGGCATGGTGACTCATGCCTGTAATCCCAGAACTTTGGGAGGCTGAGGCAGGTGGATCACTTGAGGTGAGGAGTTTGAGACCAGCCTGGCCAACATGATGAAACCCCATCTCTACTAAAAATACAAAAAAATTAGCTGGGCATGGTGGCGTGCACCTGTAGTCTCAGCTACTTGGGAAGGTGAGACAGGAGAATCACTTGAACTCAGCAGGCAGAAGTTGCGGTAAGCTGAGATCGCACCACTACACTCCTGCCTGGGCAACAGAGTGAAACTCTGTCTCAACAAAAAAAGATGAAGAAGAAGACGAAGAAGAAGCAGAAGAAGCAGAAGGAGGAGAAGGAGGAGAAGGAGGAGGAAGAAGAGAAGGAGGAGGAGAAAGATTGATTGAAAGGAAAATATTAGAAAAAGATGTTCCATGCAAACAATAAACATGAGAAAACTGGGGGCTATATTAAAATCAGACAAAGTGGATTTTAAGACAACAAATATTACCAGAGATAAGGTGAGTATTTTGTCATTTTTTAAAGATCAATTTATGTAGAAGACCTAATCATTATAAATGTATATATATATATTCATAACAAAGTTTCCAAATTCGAAAAGAAGAAATTGACAGAACTAAAGAGAAAAATAGAGAAATTCACATTCATACTTGGAGACTATAACACCTCTCTCTCTCAGCAAATGATATAACAAATAAACCCCAAAAAAATCAGTAAGGATATAAAAGGATTGAAATACCACTTTTAACCAATTTGACATTTATAAAAAACTATAGCCAAAATCTGCAAATACTCATTATTTTCAATTGCACCTAAAATATTCACCAAGACAGATTACATGCTGAGCCACAAAACAAATCTAAAAAAAACAAAGGTTCAAAATCATATCAAAGGATCAAAATAATATTCTCTGATTGCAATAGAAATTAGATATCAATTATAATTAGATATCTAGAAAATCTTGTAATATTTCAAAATTTAAGTAACCACTTCTATATAACCCATCAGTCAAAGAAGAAAAAAAAAAAAGGGAAATTAGAAAATATTTCCAACTGAAGAATAAAAAACATACAACATAAGAAAATTTGTAGGATGCAGATAAATCTGGACTTAGAGGAAAATTAGGGCTTTAAATGTCTATATTAGAAAAAAGGACTGAATCAAAGACCTAAATTTTCACCTTAAGAAGCAAAAAAAGGTCAGGCACGATGGCTCATGCCTGTAATTCCAGCACTCTGGGAGGCTGAAGAGGGAGAATTTTTTGAGGCCAGGAGTTCGAGACCAGCCTAGCCAGCATAGTAAGACCCCATCTCAACTGAAAAATAAAAAATTATCTGGGTGTGATGGCACACACTTTTAGTCCTAGCTACTTGGGAGGTTAAGGCAGGAGGATCACTTGAGCTCAGGAGGTAGAGGCTGCAGTGAGCTGTGCTCATGCCCCTGCACTCTAATCTGAGTAACAGAGCAACAACTCAATTCAAAAAAAAAAATGAAGCAAGAAAAAAATAACAAATTCAAGGCAACATTAAGTAGAAGAAAACAAATAATAAAATTTAATAGCAGAAATAAATACATCAGAAAATAGACAAAAAAGTTAAAAGTTGGATACTTGAAAAAATTAATAGAACTGATCAATTTTTGGCAAAATCGAGCAAGAGGAAAAAACACAAATCACCAAAAGCAGGAGTAAAAGAAGAGACATCACTGCAAATTTTAAAGATATTAAAAGAATAATAAGAAGATTTTATAAACAAGTGGATGCCAAAATATCAACAATTTATACAAGATGGAAACATTTGTTGAAAAATAAAATGTACCGGAACTGAAGTAAGAAGAAATAAATCTAAATGGTCCTATGTCTGTTAAGAAATTAAACTCATAATAAACTACCTACCAAGAAAAACTATCCAGGCTCAGACAGCTTCACCAATAAATTATGTAAATATTTAAGGAAGAATTTATACCAATCTTAGATAAGCACTTTCAAAAGTTAGAAGAGGGAACATGTCACCAGTTGTTACATGACATTCATATAACTCTGATACCAAAACCTAACAAAAACATTGTGTAAGGAAATTATATCCATTCTTACCCCTTTTATTCAGTATTATACTAGAAGTCATAGCCAGTGAAATAAGCCCAAAAAAAAAAAAGAGAGAAAGAAATATAACACATGAATACCAGAAAATAATTTAAACCATTGTTATTTGCAGATAATATGATCACATATGTAGAAAACCTTACGGAATCAATTTAGCAAGACCAAAATTTTAAAAGTAATTTAATTTTTATGCAGTACCAATAAAAAAATGGACAATAATTTTTGTATCCCATTTACAATATCATCAAAAAACATTCAACATTTAGAAATAAAAATACTGAAAACTGTACAGGGCATAAAAATATTGCAGAAAAAAATTAAAGGTAAATAAATGTAGAGATGTCATGCTCATGAAGTGGAAGACAAAATATTGTCAAATGCACATTCTCTCAAAATGAATCTACATATTCAATATCATTAAGATCAACATTTCATGTGCCTTTTTGAAAAATTCACAAGCTGATTCTAACACTCATATGGGCAAAAAATATCAAAAACAATTTGAAAAAGAATAACAAAGTTGGAGGACTTATACTACATGATTTTAAGGCTTACCATAAAGTTGTTGACACCAAAGGGAACAAAAGCAGTCTATCCCTACTGATTCTTACCAAAAATATAGATTAATGAGCAAAATAAATGTTTTCATTATTTTAAGCCAAATATGTGGGATAGTTTGTTATGCACCCATAGTTACTGGAACATTATCAAAAAAAAAAAAAAAAACCATTCTGTGCAACAAAAGACACCCTTAAGAAATTGAATTGGCAGTCCACAGACTGGAAACAAATATTTACAATACAAATATCTGACAAAGGACATGTATTCACCATACATAAAGAATGCCTACAAACCAAAAATTTCAAAACCAACACCATTAAAAAAATAGGGAAAAGACTTTTTTAAAATATCACAAGATATACAGAGTCAATTAAATACGAAAAGGTGCTCAAAATAATCATGAAAGTGCAAATCAAAATCATAATTTCAAACCTACTCGCATAATTAAAATGAAAATCACTGACAATGCCAAATGTTGAAGTTAATACAGAGGACATAAAACCCTCTTATACTGCTTGGCGCAAATATAAAATGGTACAACCACTTTGGAGAACTGTTTGGCTGTTTCCTGTGAAGTTAAATAGACATCTACCCTATGACCCAGCAATTTCACTACTATTTACACATGAGAAATGAAAGCAGGCTTCCAAAAAAGACTTGTAAGAGAATGTTCATAACAGCTTTATTCATGATAGTCAAAAACTGGAAACTACCCAGCTATGCAAATATAGGAGAACAGAAAAACAAATTATGGCACATCCATACTATGGAATACAATTTAACTGTATGTATTAAGAATAAACTATTGATTCATGCAAAAACTTGGACGCATTTTGAAAACATATTTCCAAGTTAAAGAAGCCAGACATTAAAAAGTATGTATGGTATGACTCCATTTAGGAGAAGTTAGAGAAAACTAAGATGATAAAAATTAGAAAGTGATTGACTCTGGGGAACAAAGGAATTGACTCTAAAGGGATATAAAAGAAATTTCTGGGATATTCTATAACTTTTTTGATCACATGGGCATATACAATCATCAAAATTTATTGAACTAAACACTAAAGATCTGTGCATTGTATTGAATATAAGTTATACTCAATTAAAAACTGGAAAGAGCTGTTTTTTTTCTAAGCTGTGTAACTCATTGGTGCTCCAGCAGCCCTGCTGTGGGACCCCCTTTAACAAATACCTCTAACAAAGATTACTAAGGCCTCCCTGTCCATCCCTCCCTCTGCTTTTCCACAGACCACCAGCCTCCGGTACAGCAGTACATGCGAGCACATGGACATGGGGCAGGGCACCAGGGAGAATGGCAAGACACACGATGAATAGACAGAGCCCAGCAGCAGGTCCAAGTTTGTTTACATGTGATGCTACTCTGTGCATTCCAGAAGTACTAGTAAACATTGCAGTGGGGCTGAGGTCATGAATTCTGCAGGTAGGAGTAACAAGCCAGTGAAATGTGTGACTTCATTCATACCCTTACACCGGTGGGTCAGGTTATATGAGAAACCTGAAAAGGTTTAGAAACTCACTCCAATGAGATGACCCCTTACTGTATGTACTTCGTAAGCAACCATCCTCCCCACCTTACCTACTACCTCCTCTACCCAACTGAAAGTTCTAAAACTCATTTCCATCATGTCTTGCATGAATTCACAACATTATTTTCCAAAAGTATATATTCCATAACATTTATAGATACTGATTATTAAAATACAAGTTCACCTAAATGCATTACTGAGTTCATTATATATTTACTCACATAGTAAATGTTTTAAAAGTAGAACTTCTATTGGAGATGTCACAATTTCTTTTTTAATTTTTTTTTTTTTTTTTTTTTTTTTTTTGTGATGGAGTCTCCCTCTGTGGCCCAGGCTGGAATGCAGTGGCATGATCTCAGCTCACTGTAGCCTCTCCCTCCCAGGTTCAAGCAATTCTCCTGCCTCAGCCTCACAAGTATCTGGGACTACACACCACCACACCTGGCTAATTTTTGTATTTTTAGTAGAGCTGTGGTTTCATCATGTTGGCCAGGCTGGTCTCGAACTCCTGGCCTCAAGTGATCCACTTGCTTTGGCCTCCCAAAGTTCTGGAATTACAGTCGTGAGCCACCACACTCGGCTGGAGATGTCAGAGTTATTTTTAATAAGTAATTTTCAGGGGGTTCCTTATACTTGGACAGATACATGGTGTCTGATAGACCTGGATTCAAATTCTGACTCTGCAACTTCCTAGTTACATGACCTTGGGAAAATTACTCAATTTCTTTGACCTTCAGCTTGTCATCTGAAGAAATAGAGATAATGATAGTCCCTACCTATAGCAACTTAAGAGGATTAAATGAAATTAATGAAGGCTTTAACACAGTGTATGACACATAGTATGTGGTCAGTAAATACTAGCATTATTCAATAAAAACTGCAAGGTATACTTAAAAAAAAAGTCCAAGACCTAAGGACTAAATTCTGCTCCTGTGTCCCCACTTCTCCCCACATGATTTGAACATGTTCTTTAACTCTCCGGACCTCCATTTTCTCATATGCAAGATGAGAAGGTTGAGGCCAGCTGTATCAGTGGCTTCAACACCGTTGAGTACCTTTCCTCTGGCATGGAACAAGATGCCCAAGGATGGAAATGTTTATCCTACCATCAACACAATCTAAACTGCAGCAAAATGCCAAAAAACACCAGGGCCAGGGTGACCACAGCTGCCACCCCCTGCCAGTGGCACAGGAAATAAAGAAATGACCCAGGAAAATATCTAGTAAACAGAGATCTTGGACTGTTGAGCTAAGGATAGTCTCTTCCCTTGAGACTGGCAAGTGAGTCAGAAGTTTGTTGGTTGTTTTGTCTTGTTTTGTTTTGTTCTAATCCAAGCAAAGAGGACCTCAGGGATAGGAGAGGAATGAGTCTTTCCAGTGTGCCTTTCCACTCCCATTACTACCTCCTAAGTCAGGCTTTCAGAATCTCTTCTTAGGACAATTGTGAGGGACTCCTAACTTGTCATGCTGCTTCAAGCAACCCTTCCTCCAGCCTATCCTAGATAGCACAGCCAGAGCTGTCTACCCAACGCACAGCATGGATATGCTCTCTCATGCTCAAAATCCTTTCCCAGTGCGCATTAACACTAGACTCGTTCTTCCCTCCACCCAGAGTACCTTCGACATTCTGATCCTTGAAGCCCCAGATCAATTCCTACTGCTTCCAAGAAGCTCATCCTCATGAGTTCTTGGATGAAATAGGGAGTTCCCACTCACTGGAGAATTTCAAGAAGAATGACTCAAGCACATGCTCAGGAATCTTTATTGGTTCTCCATGTTCTATTGAATTAAAAAAAAAAAAAAAAGCTCAAACTGACAGTCAATACAATCTACAACATATACTCACCCAGATTCCCACCCTACTATTCCACCCTACCTGGCCTAGTCCCCTGCTAATCCTGAGAACATGCCTCTATCTCTATCTTTATCCATATCCCTACCACCTGGTACTCCTGTCCTCCGATTGTCAAAACTTGACCCCTCCTTTGAGATTTATTTCAAATCCTAACTAAACTCTGCTGCTTTCCCTAATTCTATCCTCCTTCCAAGCCCTTTAACTCCTGTGTTTCTTGTTTTTCCCTAGGAATCAGAATCTCCTTGGCACTTCAGTCAAGGGTACACTTGGAGAACATAAGGCCATTGAGACAGGGACCGACCTATCTGTGCATTGTGACCCCTAGGTTAGCACTGTCATGCCATAGCATTTAGGAATTATTGAGTGAGGGACTCTCGAAGGTCCATGTCTTGGCTGTTGTACAAAACACACGAGCATTGAATGGGAAGTTGGACAAAATAACGCCAACAGTCTCTTCCAGTTCTGGCCTTCCAGAAACCTGGATCAGCTCTATGACATCTTCTGAACTCTGCTTTTCCCAAATCCCTTTGGCCCCTTGCCACCCAATTCACATTTAGTTGTCTGGGTTTTTTGTTATTGTTTGTATTTAATGTTTTGCAAAGAAAATGCATTCACATAGTTCAAAATAATTTTGTAATTAAAAGGTACAAAGGACAAAAATCTCACCCCCACCCCATCACGTAACTGTTTAGTTAACACTTTTATTATCTTTTTATATCCTTCCAGATTTCCTTTACGCAAATACAAATATATGTTCTTACATTTTATTACACAAACAGTAGCTTGCATGAGGTTGTTTTTGTAATTGATTTGTGAGTTAAATTTGCTCACCAGCTGCAGTGAAATTGCTGTGTTGGGAGGGTCCTTCAAAGCTCCTTTATGCCCTACTATGCCTAGCTCAGGGCTAGGCACATAAAAATGCTTAAATAAGTGCTTCTTGGTTGGCTGCCCTTCCATAACCTTCTCCAGTCCTGCCTGGAGCTGAAAGCACGTGCCCTACTTACAGCTCCAACGTGTGAGGAGAGGCCCTGCACTCTCACTTCCTCAGACACATTTTTAGAGAATCATCTGAGCCCCGGGGGCAACGATGCAAGTTTCCATCTGTGGTATGCCAGGCCTCCCATCACCTCAGCCTTTCAACTTGGTGGGAGAGAAAATATCATGGGCTAGGAATCAGGAGACTTGGATTTCCTGCAGCTGTGTCCCCAACTTGCTGTGCAACCCTCAACAAGACACTCATCCTCTCCAAGCCTCGTTCTTCTCATCTTTAGAATGAGGAGATGGCCCAGGTGATCTTCCAGGGATCTGCCCACACCAGCACGGCCCTCAGCCAGTCCCTTCCAGCCTCAGCTGTGCAGACATTGTGTGCTATGGGGATGAGGGCCACTTTGCACCCAGGAAGGCACCTGCACTCCCCCTGGACCTGTGCCCATTAGCGTGTTGATCCCAGCTAAAATGGCACAGCCTTGCCACAGTCACACAACATTGCATGAGCATCTTGGGGCAACAATTCTTTCCCCTGGGGCCACAGGCCCGGGCCCCAGAGGCAGCTGCCTGCCCGAAGCAAGACTTAGCCTTTCCTGGTAAGTCAAGAGAAGCCTAAGTGAGGTCTCCTTGATGATCCAGATATGGATCCCATGACACCTAAGGACACATCTAGGGAGGCTAGACTACCCACCGATGTAGGCTTCAAGGCCAGCACTGCTCTCACTCACATCCTTGAAGCAGGTGGCACCAGAATGGGGAATTGTGTGGTTCCCAAGAGCCTCTGTGGGGGAATTCCTCTCCATTCCTCTCTGCCCGACTGCCCTCCTCACCTGCTTCCACCTGCTGTTAGAAACAGGAGAGATGTGACCTGGAAGGCACCTCCAAGACCATCTGGTCCACCCTCTTTGTCTACAGATTCAGAAACTGAGTCCAGAGAGAGGAAGTCACTCACTTGGGGCATGCAGCTGCCTGAGTGAGGAAACAGTCTTCAATGGCAAGCCACTCAACACGTCTCAGAGAAGCCAGCCAGGGCTCCCTTCCCCCTTCTGGAGGCCGCGTCCGCACGTCCACAGTGCAGCAGGTGCCCAGCCAAGACTCTCGACTCAGGGAACAGGGTGGGAAAGCTTCTCAGGGGGAGCAGCCAGGAACACCGGGTGGTTGACTCAGTTCTCTGCACCAGTGGCGAAGGCTGGCTGCCAGCCTGCCTCTGGGGGCTTAATGTGGGTATAAACTTCTTGCAACTGTTGTAAGCAGGACAGGCAGGGAAGAGATGAAGGTGGCAGCGTTGTCTTCAGCTGACCAGTGTTCAGGCTGGAACTGGGAGTCGGGCCTGAATTCAGACCACAAAAAAAAGCTATTGTTAGGAGCCCCGTTCCCTATTAGGGATAGAGATCAGAGCTTGTGGAATTTACTTCTATTGAGTGATCCCCACTTCTCTCTGCCTGTCTAAATCCTCTCTTCTTTGAAAAGCAGCTCAGAGCTGCCTCTTTCTTGAAGCCTTCCTTGCCTACGAACACCCCCATGCAGTCTCCATCCTCTGAACAGCTTGCAGCATTTCCTTCAGGAGGCATCAAGGAACTGGGCACCCGTCATGAGTTCTGGGCTGCCGCTTAGATTACGCATGTGCCTGAGGTCATGGGACCAAAGGCTGGGCGTCTTCAAGAGGAGCAGGATGTTCTACCCCTTTAGTGCCCTCCGCAGCCCACGGCCCAGCAGAATACATAAAAGGTGTGCAATAACAACTTACTTGCCTGTTGACTGATTCCAGTTCCTCCCCCCAAAGGACAGCGAAGCCAACCACACACTCTTGAAATGCTTGTTTCTCCTGTCAGACATCCCTCATGTCCCCATGCCAGCACCCCCAGGCAGTTCCACGGGGAGAGGAGTGTAAGGTGGCAGAGTTGCCGACTGGGCTTCTGGAACTGGCATCAGGCTTGAGGGTCGTTTCGGTGGACTCCACACTGCCTCACGGACCAGGTGCAGCACAGCTGGCTAGGACCCGTAAGTCCTGCCTTGCATCCTCCCTCCCATCATTACAGCAACACACACACACACACACACACACACACAATGTCCTCATGTTTTTCCCTCTTTGGCTGCCCCTGAAGCCTATTTCCACTCAACTCCTCCTCTATGGATATGTTCGGACATGTGTAATTTATCCCAGGGCCCTTTCGGACTGGAGTTAATCTCACATCCTAGTCTACACGCATCACCTGCCACCCAACTCGTCCCCCAGGGACTCCCTCCAGCTCTGGGAAAGGCCAGGTGACAGCAGCTCTCACACCGGCTCTGGTGTGGAGAGGGGTCAGAGTAAGTAAAACCAGAAACAGAGAAATAGCAGCAGTAAAAGCAAATGCCACTGTGTTGCTGGACCTCACGGAAGCCCCTGCCCACATTTAGAAAGATCCTATAATTTCCAGACCGTCCTGGTCAATAATAATCCGAGAGAAACCTTAATGTTTGATTTCTTCCTCGTTGTGATTTGTGGCTTGTGGAGCTCAAGATCTTTGAGGCCAAAATGGTGTTTTTGTTCATTAGGCAAAGTTGCAGGCCCAGGCAGCAGCGGCTTTCTCCAGTCTGCCCCCGCCTGGCCCCAGCTGAGGCTCAGGAAACCTCCTTGGCAACGGCTAAGGGTCTCACAGTGACATTAACCCAGCCACATTCCACACATGTAATATTCCCGAGTAGTACTTAAGCTTGTAAATCCATTTTTTATGATGCAGAATTGTACAGCATGTGCAACGCGATGCGGATGTGTTAACATCACCGTGAGAAACTTAACTTTTGAATATCCTTGTTTTGGGAGGTACACATTTTACAACTTCAGCAACATGTTACCAAACATTTCTTACACAGTTACTTCCATACAAGGTTCAAGGTGGTTGGTTATATTTAAATATAGAATTTCCCCCTACCTGATCACACTGAACAAATTAAAAATGGCTCAATTATTTGCATCAAGTTCTGGGTTTCTTACTGACGCCCTTGCTTCCCTATTGTAGCTTTGAAATTAGACTTTTAATTGTGCTTGTGAAACAAAAACACAGGAGGCCATTTTCATTGCAGAACAGAAAGTTACAGGCAAAGTTAAATGCACCTGCATTTCTTTCTTTGTTGGCTGGGGGTAGGGTAAGGAGGGAGGAGGAAGAGAAAGATTTCTATTTCAATGTCTCACTTCAGGTCAGAGATTAGAACTTCCAAGCTCTGTGTGAACAGGGCACCTGCTCACCTTCTCTGGGCTGTGATTTCCTGCTCCAGCACCAGCGTGCTTCAGCATTGACAGAGGAGAAAAACTTATCCAAGTGATTTGGGCAAATATATCTGATTATCACAAGCCCTATTCTCTTTCTGTTGGCACTGATCGGGAAATGTAATTCACCACCCTCCAGTGCCATAGTCCATGGAGTGGAAAATTCTAAATTCAAACCTGTTCCAGGTCAAAGATTCTTATGTCAAGGCAGAAGAATAGAGCACAGTTTAGCAACTGATTAGCTTCATTTATAAAGCTAATTGATTAGCTTTATTTGTTAATTGATTAGCTTTTATTTGGGTTAAACAATTTAGTCATGTGACAGGTGGATGTCCATTTCTACTCTTATTCTACTCTTCTCTTGATGGTCGGCTGGCTGACCAGTTCCCAAAACACACTCTTTGCTTCAGTCAGGATGGCAATCCCACAGACTCACTGTCTCATTCTTCAACTACACCACCTCCCGCCTAAGCCTCGTTCTTCTTGGCCCTTCCCCAGGATTGCTCTCCAACCCCTTCCCTCCATCTTTCCATCCTTCCAAGCCTCATTCAGCCCCAGTTCCTCTCTGAAGCTCCCCCTGATACCTTCCACCCCTCACAGACCTCCCTGCTCTCTACACACCTGTAGTGCTCCCAGCATATGCCACCAGCTTTGCCTTGTGGAATGACTGTTTTCATCACCTGGCGACTTGTACCAGCTTGTCTCTCCACTCTTGTAAACCTGTGGGAGGGCCCCTATCTCATGTGTCTGTGCATTCCAAAGAATGCCTAAGAGGGTGTTGCACTTAGAGCTGACACTTAATAAATACTTGCCTGTTTGGGGAGGAAAATTGCAATCAAAATTTTAAATGCACTTGGCCTCTAACCTACCAGTCCCTCTTCCAGGCATCTAGCCTATGGAAACACTAGCCCACTTATATAAAGATGTATGTTTAAATGAGTTTATACATGGAAAAGGTTTAGAATAGGACCCCACCCACAGTAAGCACATTATTCAGGATTAATGGTAGTTGTTGCTACTGCTATTGTTGAGAGGTTCACTGTAATATTGTTTATAATAGCAAAAATCTGGAGCAAACCCAAATGGCCAGAAGGAAGAGTATCGTTTTTGAAAATGATGCTACATCAGTATAATTGTAGGTACATTTTAAAAAGAATTAAATTTATATATACTGAAATGGGGAAATGTCCCCAGTATTAATGTTTATCAAAAAAGCAAACCACAGAACAACACTTATAGTATGATTTCATCTTTTTAAGAACTAGGTAGTAATATGTATATGCACTATACATATTCATGGCAGCAGCATAAAGTCATAACTAAGAGCACAGATTTAGGACTCAAAACACTTGGATATTGATCCTGGCTTCACTGCCTACTACCTACGTGAGCTCCAGAAAATTACTTAACATCTCAGTTTCCTTATCTCTCAAATGGGGAAAACAGTCATATTGCCTCAGAGGACTGGCACAGGGACTAAATGAGTTCATATATGTAAAGCACTTAGAATTGTGTCTGGCATGTCCAGATTCCCCAGTAAAGGTTAGTTCTTACCACTGTTATTATCTGAAAAGGAAAAAAGACTGAAAGGATATAAACCAAACTGTTAACAGTGGTTTCCTCTGGAGAGACAAATTAGGAGAAAAGGAAACCTTCTGGTTTGGTTTTGTTTTACCACAAGCAGGTATAACTTACATCATATAAAAATACCTCCTATTTGTCAGTAGCATGGCAGGTTTGATTCATAAGGACAAACTGCTACCTGAGATGTAATGTAAGACGTCAGGATGCAGGCCACAAGCCACGGCTTCCCCATTTCTAAATCCTGATTCTAATTCCAATCCACAGCCAGAAAATTAAAAAATAAAAGATGTTATCACCAGCTGCTGCCCCACGCATACTCTGCAACCCCACAACATGCTGAAAAATGGAGAACATCTGTTTTAAAAAATGAAAGCATCAATTACTATTTTAAACGGGAAGAAAGGGAACAGGAAGTAAATATGGTGACAAGTGTATTTTTATTCATGCATCTTGACAGCCAAGGTAGGGTCTAGTGCTGCTTTAATAATCATCTTCCTGTAGTAGAAGATGGTTCAAAATACCATAACTTTCCTACTACTCCCTTTCACCTGGCAAAATCCTCGTCTTCCAAGACACCTTCCCAGACAACTCCAGTCTGCAGCATTCTCTCCCTACTCCCAACTCAGAGAGATTCTCTGCCCTCCCGCATCTGGGTGGCTCTCCTTCTGGTGACTCATGTCATGATTTAACATAAGCACCACCCAAGGCCCCAGAGTGTGGAGAACAGGAGCCTCTCTGCCTCAGGTTTCTGTGTCCTCCACCACATCTCATGACAATCCCGTCCCACTGGCTACAACAAAAAATCTAAAGTCCTTGGCCCGACACTCCAGGCCTCCCCACCATAGCCCCACACTCTCCACCAGGTCCTCTCTCTTTCTGGGGATGCAGTCAGACTGGCCGAGTCCCTGTCCACCACCTCCACCTTTTGCTCTCCATTGCTTACTTTTTTTTTTTTTTTCCTTTTTGAGATGGAGTCTTACTCTGTCACCAGGCTGGAGTGCAGTGGCGTAATCTCGGCTCACTGCAACTCTCACCTCCCAGGATCAAGTGATTCTCCTGCCTCAGCCTCCCAAGTAGCTGGGACTACAGGTGCGTGCCACCACGCTCAGCTAATTTTTGTATTTTTTTAGTAGAGACGGGATTTCACCATGTTGGCCAGGATGATCTCAATCTCTTGACCTTGTGATCCACCCGCCTCAGCCTCCCAAAGTACTGGGATTACAGGCGTGAGCCACTGCACCTGGCATTCCATTGCTCACTTTTGTGGCCACTTTCCCCTTATATTTGCCATCTCTATGCTGTTATCAGCTTGCTTTTCACATACCCACCTCTCGCTATTCCTTCAGGCCAACTTATTATAATACCCCCAAGTCCTGGTCCCCAGCCAATACATAAGGATCTATTTCCCCCACTCCCCTCTGCACCCCTCATCCTGTGCCTAGCAGAAAACCCAAATCACACAAGCCACCCTCTGAATGGGTAGAGCTTGTCTCTTCAACTGGATCGCAAATTCCTGGAAGGCAGGATACGTGTCAAACTTGCTTCTTTTCCTTTCTCAGATTGGGCATGAGTGGAGTGGAGCAAAGGCTTGGAGTTGAGGGAAGGCGGAGTGAGAATCTTGCCCCAAAAGTTTAATGTGGACTTTCATTTAGTAGTTATATCTATCTGACAGCTCGCTAACTTTGTATGGCAACACTTTCTTATTTGTCTTTTCATTCATTTTTCTTGCTGGGAAAGAAAAAAAAAAAGATAGTTAAAAATTAAATCCAAAACTTTCAGCTCTGATAAGATGAATTTTCTCAAAAGCCAATAATTCCACATGGCTCATCTAAAATTAGAGAGAAGTGACCAGGATTTTTAGTTGACTGGCTTTATAGTAGATGCAAGATAGTCAAAATCTATTTAAATGACTTTCTTAGGGAATTGGAGCAGCAGGCAATGTATCAGATGCCAGAAGTCCATTTAAATATTACACTAAGGGAAGGGAATTAGTTTGGTCAAGCTGCTAAAATGAATAGGCAGGGACAGAAATGCCCTGGAGAAGTGCTGGGTATTTCATCTTGAATCTATTTGAAAGATAAACACATTTATTTACTAAGTTTAGTACTTCAACTATTTTCTGGAATCGGTATTTGTACAAATCCAGGCCGAGCTGGCCAACTGGAATTAAAAAATGACCAGGACTAAAAAATTAATTTGACACTCCTCAATTTCCTTGTTTAGAAACACAAAACAAAGTCCTATTGAAATTGGAGATATATACAATATTTCAGTCTACAACTGGAAACTGCTGCTGTGCACCGGCAAACAGCAGCTCTCAGCTCCTCCAGCCCCAACGTGCTTGCCATGGCGGTCCAGGCTGCAGCTGTTTATGAGCTTAAAATGCAAACATGCTAACTTTTTTCTTCTGCAGGAAAAACATGTATTCCCACTGACACCTACTGCTGTCTTACAGATGGGCCTAACGCTGAGATTTCAAACATTTTACAGGAAATACACGGACCCACACTCCCTGAGCAGGCCCCGTGCTACCCAGGCACTTTTTAAATTGCTTTTCCAGTAGGATCCCAGGAAAAGGTTCAGTTTTGCCACCACCTGCACAAGGCCAGGATATGACTGGTTTGACAATCTCTAACCTCTGCATTCCTGCAGGGGTCCTCCGGGTAACTCTGCCCCCCACCCAGTTAGTGACCCCTTATGGACTCTGGATTGGGTGTTTGGTAGCCTGAGTTTCCTATGGCCAGCAGAGGCAGGAAGACCACACAGTATCAGACATAACATCTCACAAGATGAGGTGTGGCACAACATCCCAACTGTGCTGGAAACTGGGGCTGGCTGGTGAGGATGTCATTTAATGGATGAGCAACTCACCAGCCGGTTTCATTATTGAATGCCTCCCTCTGGCCCCTGAGTAACGGAGCTCTCGCTGGCAGGCCTGGCTCTTCCCCATAGTTCTCAAAGGTTATAGAACCCCCTTCTTCCCTTGTAAACTCTTTCAGCAATAGTCTTCCCTGCTCCCCCTATATTGTCAACACATCATAGCTGAAGCCTCAGTGGAATACCCCATCCAATTTCCCATAAAATGGGACATGAAAATAAACACACATATTGTATGTTGGTTTACATTTCCTGCACAGACCCAGCAGGGGCGACAGGAAAGACATTAAGGAAACTATTTCTAAAGCAATGGGCTACATTTTAGCCAGAATACTCTCACTGACCCTAAAAAGAAAGCCATTCAGATGGCTAAAATCCCATATAATTCTTTGAAAACGCTCTTCAACATTCCCATTTTAATTTCCAAAATCAATATGGCTTGCTAGTGCCCCATGCTCCAAGACAACAATTCATATTGATGGGGAGGAAGGGATGAACATTTTTCTATTGAATGGAAAATTTGGTTATTTTTAAGGACATTATTCCAAGAGAGAAAAAGGTCTTAAGTCCACTGCACCTGACAGAGTATTCTTTTGTTCCTAGAAGGCTGGTTTCTCTTGACATCTCTGCCCTCATTAAAAAAGCATATCACAGTTGTCACCTTTATGTTTTCAGTCATGCAGTTTCAAGCCCCAAAACAGAATGTTGTCATTTATTTTTCTTCTGAAGAAATGGCACCCTGCTCACATGCATGCATGCTCAACGCCAAAAATCCGAGAGGACATTCCTGTAGCACCTCTCTAATTCAGAGCACCTGGCAAGTCTGAGTTAGCGAGTTGTCTCAACCAGGGGATAGTAAAGGCTATTTTATGTCTTCCACGTATATTCACTAACTAGGTAATAATCACTTGCCATTAGCACATGAAAATTGTGCGTAAGTGGTGCTGCTGAAGAGCTAGAAAACAGTTTGTTCTCAGGTAGGTAAATGGTCCCTCCTGCAGTCTTGTTCACACTGTTAATTTGCTGAGCAAACCCTTTCCTCAAGGACTGTGCAAACACCGGTTTCGGGCTCCATGTTAAGGAAGCTCACAGGCAGTCCTCTGCCCCCTTGAGACGACAATTCATCTTCCACCACAACAAAGCCATTTTGCCACACCTAAGAACCAAAAAAAAAAAAAGAAAAGAAAGAAGCATTGCATGTAATATCATTGTCTCTATCAGCCATGGCCTTCCTTTGGTAGGGGCAAAATATTAGTCTCACACTCCAGCCACAAGGAGAAACTTGACACATCCGAACATTAAACTTCCTTCCAACCCTGCCCCCAACATGCCTGCCTTGCTACCCTAATTCTTCCCCCTCTCCCACCCCCAAGTTTCTGCCTATGAGGAGAGAAGGGTGAGGAAGTGCGGATGTCTGCTTCAGGGTGCTATTTGGGGTTTCATCTATTCATGCTTCTCACTTAGCACCCACTTGCCATGGAGGGGCAAGATGAGCCTGGGACCACTACCTTTGAGGGTTGGCCAAGAGTGGGCACCCTGGATCAACTCTTCTCTGGCCTCAAAGAGAAATTTCCTCTTTGCCTGCTCTTCCCTGAGGATCTGTGCTTACTCTTGTTCCAAGAGAGAAACTTGACAGACCAAGATCAGAGTGTGGGGCTAAGGACTAAGAGGACTATTAGACTGCTTTGAGGCTGGCTTTGAACCGGAGGGTTAAGGGAATCCTGAGACCCATGCTGGTGCAGCAGATTCAGCGGGAAAAGGAGTTTCACATCGAGCATGGGGTCAAAGCCCTGTGGAAATCAGGAGGCCTTTGCCAAGAGCACATACTCTGCATGTCTTTCTTGAGCCTGATCTGGGATTGTGTATTTGGGATTTGACTCATCACAAATAACCTAATGAGTGAAGAAATGTCCAAAAGCAGGTAAGTGGAAATGTGGAACATAAGAAGCTGAGATAATCCACACACAAACGACAAGTCCCCAAATGACTATGGGTTGCCTATATGTACTCCAGACATTTTCGTAAACTAAGAAGAGTTAAAATTGACCCAAGACTTTTGCCCTTCCTACATTGCAGATAACACAACTGCAAATATCTAATGCCTTTAGTAGGGATGACTGAAGTTGACATTATAGATGTAGTAAGATCCATGCCCCAAGGATGTTAAGATTCACTGTCAGACAAATAATCTGTGTTAGCTCTGATAAGAAATCCACTAGAGTAATTGGTTCCAGGGTCATGCACCTCCCCACCCCTTTGAAGAGCAGAATCCTACTTCTGGAGACCGTGAGATGGGGGCTGAACTGGAGAACCTCAAACAGAAGTTTGAAGCTTCCTGGCCAGGCGCCGTGGTTCACGCCTGTAATCCCAGCACTTTGGCAGGCCGAGGTGGGCAGATCACCTGAGGTCAGGAGTTCGAGACCAGCCTGGCCAACATGGCAAAAGCCCGTCTCTACTAAAAATACAAAACTTAGCCATGCATGGCGGTGGGTGCCTGTAATCCAAGCTACTCAGGAGGCTGAGGCAGGAGAATCCCCTGAACCCAGGAAATGGAGGTTGCAGTGAACGAAGATAGCACCACTGCACTCCATGCACTCCAGCCTGGGTGACAGCATGAGACTCTGGCTCAAAAAAACAAGAAACAGCAATAACAACAACAACAACAAAGTTTGAAGTTTCCTGCTTTATTTAACATTAATGCCAATTTTGCATTTGACTCCATCATGTAATGATGATCTTTCCATTAATTACATTTTCCTCAAAAATTCATAAGTAAAATAAATGCTCCATGAAAGTTGCCATGTTTATCCTACAGCCCAGGGTTCACCCAGGATACCACCACCTCACTCGACACTCCCCAGTTTGAGAAGAAAAGCAACAAGGGAATGAAAGTACAATTCTGAATCTTGGAAGGAGAAGTGAAAAGAATGCTTATCAAAGTAGGGGAAGACAGAAAAGAAGAATTTTTTGGTATTTTTCCCATAGTCATTTTCCATAACTGCTGAGTCACTGCTAGAAAATGGTTAAAGTATTATGTTGGCTTGTCATGAACTTTTCCATCAAACTGTGTTCATTTGGCAAAAAGTTTTCTCTCCTAGGGACCATCAGAACTTGGCTTAGGAACAGGCTCTCCAAACACCTTGAGAACTTCATGCACATAAGTGCAACTCCTTGATCCCTTAATACATCTAAATTCTGATGAAGTCAATGAAGGTGTCAGAGCAAGACACAAAATCCTCAAGGGACTACCACCAACTTAGCTTTTCCAGTTCACATGGAGATGTTAACTCCACTTATCAAAGAGAAGTACAAAAAGGCACTCAATTATGAAAAGTAGAAACCAAAATGAATGATATTGTGAGTTGGCCTCAGCTGGGGTTTCCTGAATTTATTACCTTAGAAAGTTAAAAATTGGATCTGCCTCTTCCACCCAATATGGTAGTTGGTGGAAAGTAGCGTCTCAGAGCAAATCGCCAGAGTCATGGTGGCCTCCTCAAAGAGGAACAGCTACGCAAACCCCACCAACGCAAAAGGAGAAAGAATAATCACTTGGAGAAGCAAGTTAATGAAATCATGTGTGTAAAGACAAGTAAAATTTTAATACTATTATTAGATAGTTTGATATATGATGAAATCAAGAGGGAAAGACTTAGAGATATGAAAGAAAGGGGAAGTCAGGAGGCCAGGGAGGACCTGGGAGGCCAGGGAGGAGGAGTAGGGAACGGTAGAAAGAATGCAAAGCCCAGAAGAAAGAGAACAGAAAACACAGGAAGAGAAGTAGATAGCGGCTGAGCACGGTGGCTCACGCCTGTAATCCCAGCACTTTGGGAGGCCCAGGTGGGCCGATCACGAGGTCAGGAGATCGAAACCATCCTGGTTAACAGGGTGAAACCCCGTCTGTACTAAAAATACAAAAAATTAGCCAGGCATGGTGGCATGCACCTATAGTCCCAGCTACTTGGGAGGCTGATGCAGGAGAATCACTTGAACCCGGGAGGCAGAGGTTGCAGTGAGCCGAGATTGTGCCACTGGGCAACAGAGCAAGACTCTGTCTCACCAAAACAAAAAAAAATTAACCATTTTGGGGGAAAAAAAAAAACTAGTACTAGTATAAGCCAGAAACTTCAGAAGATGGACCTTCCACTTGAATTGTGGTTCAGTCCACCTTCTTGAAACAAAACAGTAATGATTTTGTTTCCATGGCCACATCTTCTGTCATGATTTGATTTGCGGGAAGAGTTTACAAAGATGTGATTGTACCTAGCAAAAAGTATTGTCAACAGATTTACTTATTAGAGTAAGGAGCATCATTTTCTCTATTTCATGCCAAAGTTAGGCATTGAAGCAAACCTCTCTCTCTCAAAAATACACACACGGACACACACACACAGGAGCACCTACACATACATCACTCTCTCTCACACCAGCCGGATATTCATGTCGATACCAAGTCCCAAAGCCTCTCTCACCTGAGTTTCCACCATCTTTCTTCCTTATAAGCTTCAAAGCTGCATACGTGATGTAGGAAACCAACTCTCACTTGCCATATCAAAACACAGCCAAGGCCAGGCACAGTGGCTCATGCCTGTAATACCAGCACTTTGGGAGGCCAAGGCAGGAGGATCAGGAGTTGAGGAGTTCAAGACCAGCCTGGGTAACATAGGGAAACCCAGTCTGTTCAAAATTTTTTAAATTAGCCAGTTATGGTGGCATATGCCTGTAGTCTTAGATACTTGGGAGGCTGAGGTGGGAGGATCGTTTGAGCCTGTGAGGTCAAGGCTGCAGTGAGCCATGATTGCACTACTGCACTCCAGCTTGGGCAACAGAGCGAGACCCTGGATCAAAAAAAAAAAAAGTTTAATGGGGCCAATACATAGGCTTCTTTTAAAGAGCTTCTGGGCTGTCAGAATTTTAGGGTTCAAACAAAAACTACATTTGACTTACAGGGTCCTTCTTCTCCAGCGTCCTGGTAAAGGAGACAACAAAACAGCCAAAAGGTAGACAGACCCTGGAGAAGAGGTGTAAAGAGCTGGGAAATCCTCTAGTCCTGACTAATTGAAAGTAGACCAGGGATCCCTGTGTTCTATGAACCCTCCACTGCAATTGGACAGTAGGCTCCCTGAAAAGGCTCAAGCACTGCTCAGATCATTCCAAATTACAAGGGGGAAAATCCCTTGAATGAAGAGCTCAGTGAGCAATCCCCACCTATTTTAAAGTGTAAGGACACCACCAGAAACATGAAAATCTTCCTCCCACTCTTGTTCTTAGTCACTTGAGCCCACTACACTCATGTGCGTGGATGCAGAAAATAAAAATGGCCTGCAGTCCCTTGAAAAACTTTCCTTAATCTTGATGTTACTTTAAAGCCATCATAAATCATGCAACCTGCCAATCTTGTTGTGTTTTATAAACTGTGGGAGCAGTAGAGCATTTCTGGCCCAACGATCTCCTAGTAACAAATGCCAGTTCTAATGCCACTGCATTTTCTCAATACCACTTGACCTCTTAAACAAGGCCCTACAAATATATTAACTGTCATATTCTCAATTTCTTTTTTTACAATGGGAAGTGATATTCTCTTATGACTAGCCTGATGGAGCCAAAGGCAGCTTCTTTCTGGACATTGAAAAAATACCCAATTGTGGTACGTAGGCCTTTCCTGCCTGATAGCTACCACCCCTAACACTCCTGAGTTATCTCTTCCCTATAAACCCCTAGGGTCACACCCCACAGGCTCTCCAGGTTCCTGCTGAATCCCAGCCTGCCCATGCTCCTTGATGGCATCCAAATCAGTGCCAAAACCAAGCCCTGAAGGGGGACACTCTGCATGGCCTTCAGGATCAATGGAAAAGGCAGAACCCAGGCGAGCCGAGGGCCTGGCTTGCCTTCAGGAAATTCCGGGCCGTCTGCAGCAGCTGTGCTTCGAGTAGTACAACAAATTCACTTACTGAATGACAACAGCTTTATTGGCAAGCCAATTCAATTAAAGCCCCTGCATCCAACAAAGTCTCCGGCAGCCCTCTCTGCATAAAGAACATGGAATCGTGCCTACATTTCCCTGAGTGCCCTCAGCCCTAGCTGTCCCTCTACATGAGAGGGAGAGGGATGAATGAATTAGACACGGATGATGGTAATTAATGGCTGGCTGTCAGAGAGTCATTTTGGAGGCTCAGCCGTTGAAGGCTCCATATTAAAGGCCGGATCCCAGCACAAACTGACCAGGACAGGCTAGAACTCCCTCTCTAAATGGTAGGAGTGACGTGGGCACCTGGGGCAAGAAGGGAGGGGGAAGCAGGAGATGGCGAAGGAGGTTTAGAGGGGAAGTAGAGAAGCAAAACAACAGGCTGCTTGCGTTGATCAATGCTTTTTACACTATTGATATATAAATAATATGTTCATTTTTCGTTTTTACAAAATATGTCCTTTAGGCTACCATTACGGCAAACTGACTTCAGAGTTCTGACATGAGCTTATTAGGGGGCGGAAAGGGAGGGCTGCCTGTAGAACTAGAAACAAAACACATTTTCTCATAAAATATACATAGCAGATCATTTTCGCCTTCAGTAACAAAGATAAAATCAGGGAGTTTTTTGATCCCTGGCACAGTCTCGCCAGCCATTCTTTTGGTACTTGGAGAGGCCTTAAGGAAGAGGGGATGGAGGATGGATGGAGAGGGATGGAGGAGGGGCACCAAAGGGAAGGACATGGATAACAAGTGGGCTCCAGCTGGCTCATTTCCATGAAGGTGGGCAGCCCTCACTCTGCCTGCCGCCAGTGCCACCAACAGAGCCAAGTGCAGGTTAACTACCTAGCGGGAGATAACTTGGGTATATTGTGGTTTAATTATTCCTGATAGTAACAGGTTACCATATGCACCATTTGGAGCATAAACATAGGCCACATCCTAAGGGCCAACCTGATCCTTCTCCAACAATTCAAGTCGGGTGAAAAGCTAGGCTCCCGGCTCGTTCTATTTGTGCAAGTCCTAGTCTTAGAGGCCACAGGGCCTGAGCTTCCACCCATGAAATGTGGGGAATTCTGTGACTATACTAGAATGAACTTCTTATCTCACTCCCATAGAGGACAAATTCCAGAAATTCCATTCAGAAAATCTGCCTCTCTGCTCATGGCGATCCTCCAGAATGTTTGCCTAGAATCGAACTTCAGAATTAACAATTCAGAGCAAATGCCAACTCCACCAGGAAGCTTTCCCAGATTCTCTCAATAGGAATAAATTACTTCCCTGTTACATTCCTACAGAACCCTGCATGTGCCTGTATCGTGGTCTTTAATTCATTTCTTTTACACCATAGTCTCCTCATGTGCCTTCCCTAATAGATAAGAGGCTTCCTGGAGCCGGGGTGTGGGCTTTCTATAGAGCTAGTGCTCAATAAATCTAAGCAGAATTGAACTGAATGGCCCTTAGGAAATGGAAATAATTTGGCAATGCCTTAGTCTTGGAAAGTTGTATAGGGCCTTATTATGACCCTGCAGCCATCAAGATTTCACTGCCGCTTTCTTCATTGCAGCCACCAAATTAGTTGCCCACTTTAATTAGAACAGAGGCCAGATGTCTGGCCAGCCCTACTAGAACCGGAAGAGCTAGCAAGCTGGTGGAGTTTCCCAGCTGGGGGCCCAAGTGGCTGGCTTCATGTGGTTGGGTCACCTTCCCTTGCATACTTCCTTCCCTCTTGACTCCTTTCTCCCCCACCCCCATCCTGAGGACAGCTGTCCCTTTTATCACCAAAGCCCTTTCCTGACAACACATCTGTCCAGCACAATGTTTCACACTGTCCCATGATTCGGCTACCCAAGGCATTTGCATCTTTGATCACTGCAAGGGCATGAAACACTTGTGTCCATAAAGAGCCAGCAGAGACAGGGTATCCCCTTTCTGAAGCCTACCATCCACTAAGTAATGAAATCTAATATTTAAAGGGCATGACACCCGTTTATACTAGATTTCATTAATCAATGTTTCATGGAAGGGATAAATCCTTTATGCATGCCTTTTTCCTGATTTTTCCCCCATTTAAAAAATGCAGTGCTGATTTTTCTTCCCTGCTATTAGCTCACATAGACCCACTACTGTGCACCCTTGTTCCCAGCCTCCCAAAACTCACCCTTTCACATTCACTCTGAGGTCATGAAGTTCAATGGAGAAAACAAAGGGGTAGAATGAGGGACAGAAAGGTGTTCTAGTTAGTCTTAAGCATGTTTCATTAAATAAAACCTTCATAAACCCTAAAAAAGAATGTCATTGTAATTACAAGCTCATATTTGGCATGCCAGTGGCCAATACATCCAGTGCCTCCAAAATATTAAGTAGAGGGTCACAGCTTTCATTTGTACACTCACTAAGTGCTATATTACTGACATTAAAGAAGACAAGAATGGGCCGGGCGCGGTAGTTCATGCTTGTAATCCCAGCACTTTGGGAGGCTGAGGTGGGCGGATCACTAGGTCAGGAGTTCGAGACCAGCCTGGCCAACACGGTGAAATCCCGTCTCTACTGAAAATACAAAAAATTAGCCAGGCATGGTGGCGCGTGCCTGTAATCCCAGCTACTCAGGAGGCTGAAGCAGGGGAATCACTTGAAACTGGGAGGTGGAGGTTCCAGTGAGCCTAGATCATGCCATTGTACTCCAGCCTGGGTGACAGAGCAAGACTCCATCTTGAGGAAAAAAAAACAAAAAAACAAAAACAAAAAAAGACAAGAATGGTATTCTTATTACCACCACAAAAACCCACACCTTAGGTGAAGTTCAGGTAAATAGGATATCACAGATATCTTTCCTGGAGGATGTTGACCAAAGAATATTCCGATTGCCTTGTTTAACACCTTTGCACATAGGCTCTTGTGTACCTGCATATGGCAGTGAAATTGCAATAAAGCAATAACAACCAGCACCAAAGCAAGTAAGTATGTTGCAAAGGACAGAAGAGTCCTAACACCACCACAAGACCTCTGAATGAATCACAGGTACTTTTAAGGTGTCTGAATGCCTATGACTGTGGTAATACTCATAATGCTACATGTTCTCCTCAACTTATGGAATAGTGAAGACCCAATAAATTGTTAAATAATGCCCCATTTTCCCACTGTAATTGTTCTATAAAGCCCCTTTTCCCCATTAGTTTCAAATGCAATGTCTACTGTTGAGCAAATATCCTGGTTCCTGAATGACACTTTTTAAAAAATGCAACAAATAATACAAATATGGAAAAACAATATGCACATATATGCCCATTGCAATATGACTTATAACAGTGGGAAACTGAAAGCAATCAAAATGATTACAGTAGGTAAATGGTTAAGTAAATTATGATACACAGCCATGGACCTTCATGTAGCCATTAGGAGGACAAAGACTACACAGTAACATGGAAAAATGCAAAATGACACATGCTAAGTGGGAAAAGAAACTGGAAATAGTATGACACTGTGGTTACAACTAGATAAAAGCATACTTATTTTTTAAAAAGGCTGGAATGAAATAAACAAAAATAATAACCGTGTGAGGGATCATGAGTGATATTATCCCTTATCTTTACTTCTCGAAATATCCATAATGCTCTGTCTTTATGATGCAAAAGAAATGGAAACCTAGCAACTCTTTAAAGAACTATTATTTTTTAAGTAGGCATAATTTTGAAATAAAGAACAGTAATATGCAAAATATTCTAACTATAGTAAACCCAAATTAAGATGTTTCATGTGGAGACAGCTACCCTGGCAGGATGAGTATCTCCCCACACTACTGCTTGCAGAGCTAATGCACATCCCAGGTAGCTTTCCATTGACACAGAGTTATAGGCCTCTTTCTAGATATTTTCATTTCACCTGAACAGTTTATTTCAGTATCACTGGATGGGAGAAAGCAGCAGTGGCAGCAGGGAAACAGGGCTGGAATGTCAAGTGCCTGCTTCAATATAAAGGCCAGTTGTCCAATAGGCTGGCTGGTGACTTGGCAGCTGCAATGAGGCTGTTCATGGGTGGACCCTGGAATGGCCACAGGGAGAGAGATACGGAGCCAGGAAGAATGAGCCTACCAGTTTAGAAAAACTCAAATCTTGGCTCTGCTACAGAAGATCCCAGGATACTAAAACAACTTGCAGCTTTGACCTGAGATCCGCTGTGTATGATCTTTGAAGAGTTAAGAAGAATGAGAACAGAAGACGCAGGACATTGGTGGGGGTCCATTTTATTTTCTTTTTTCTTTTTCTTTTTTTTTTTTTTTTTTTTGAGATGGAGTCTCACTCTGTTGCCAGGCTGGAGTGCAGTGGCATGATCTTGGCTCACTGCAAGCTCTGCCTCCCGGGTTTAAGCGATTCTCCTGCCTCAGCCTCCTGAGTAGTTGGGACTACAGGCACCCGCCACCACGCCCAGCTAATTTTTTGTATTTTTAGTACAGACGGGGTTTCACCATTTTGGCCAGGATTGTCTCGATTTCTTGTCCTCATGATCTGACCACTTTAGCCCTCCAAAGTGCTGGGATTACAGGCGTGAGCCACCCCGCCCAGCCAATTTTATTTTCTTCTTCCAAATGTTACCTCCCATTGTTCCAGTGGATCATGCATACTTCTTGGCCAGAATCCATTCCCAAATGAGCACCTCTGCGTCTCACAGAAAAGAGTGTACCTAAAATTTAGTTCATGGCAGCTGGAAATAATTTACAAGTATTTGCTGACAATAAATAACTTCCTAAATTATACAAGGAGACCTTGAATAACCAAAAGTTATCTGCATGATATCCCACTCACATAGGTACACTATTTTCACTTCACATTAAATTTGTACAGGTAGCACATTTCTTGTATCACGAAACCACCTCTTCTATAGTCTTCGGTGAGTAGAACTTATGTTCCCACATAAGCTATAAATGCTAATAATTTTTTAAGACAATGGTCTCCTCCTAGGAATTGGCTTTTTACCATAACACTTTTGATGACTTTATCAACCCTGGTGTATTAAAATATTCAAATTCAAATTCATAAGCATAAACTATCTAACACTGGTCTGTGAGTCTACTCCTAAGACTAGCTCTTTAAGCTGTTACAGCCACTTTTATATGCAACCTGAGTACAAGACAATATCATATTCAGCTTGGAAGCCAGACCTTATAAAGTGTGAAATCTTTTAACACACCATAGGAGTGCGCAGAACAATTATAATAAGTATTGCACATATTTTAAAATATGACTCTTTTGCTGACCTCTTCCTCATCTCAGTGTTTTTGGTCTCACTTCTGTGGTCTGTACAGTAAGTTGTTTCAGCCATGTTCTTCCCAGGGAAACGATAGGAAGAATGAGCTCTTCTCCCAGGTGAAAGTCCTCGTCAGCACCTGAATCATGGAGAAGTAGACATAGGATAGCAAGAAAAGGCAAGAAGTGTCTCCTTGGAACAGTGATTTATTTTGTCTTTAATAAGCAGCAACACAGTACCCATACTTTTCTTGGCATGAGCAGAGTTTAGGAAGTTACTTTCATTTCTGAAACAGGCACACAGGTGCCTTCTCACTCTGCACTCACTCCTGCATCCCCTACTCTGTAACTTCCCCCTTGGACTCTCAGGTTTTTGCAAGTCTGCCTGAAACAGCTTTTTAAACCTACTGTTAAATCAAGTCCTACCCTTCGCTACAGAAATCTCAGCCCACCCAGAGTCAAGGAAGAGGGTTATTGCAGAAAGGAGGCATTAAGTTGGAAGGATACTTGGGGAGCCTCTAGCCTAGTGGTCGTCAAACCTGAGTGTGTCTCTGAATCAACGAAGGAGAAGATGCCCCAGCCCAGAGACTCTGATTCAGCGGATCTGGGGAGCAGCCTGGGAATATATATACACACACAGGACATTCACACACACACACACACACACACACACACACACACACACACACTCTCTCTCTCACGTAACTTTGTCACAGGTGGCCCAAGCACAGCACTTTGAGAAACACTGCTGTAGTTCAATATCCTCTGAGGGTCAACGCAGTTGCCCAAGACACATGAACCATTGGCAGTAGAGTTAGGAGTAGCATTCAAGTCTGTAGACTCTTGCCACATCCTGCTGCCCCAGGGAGCTACAGGAAAAGCAATTACAATGGGAGCCTGGGCAGGAGTGGGGGTGGGCACTACTCTCCCCAGTGGATCCCAAAATGTTCAGTGGCATTTGAAGCCTAGAGGAGCTACTTAGTGGAGTTGGTAAGAAGTCTTAATTCCACCTTTAACCATGCCCGTGGCTGATCTTGCTCACAGAAGCCACAGCAACAAAACTCTTTTCTAACCACCTGCATTTGATCCGCTATCTACACAGAATTGGGAAGCTGGGGCTGGCTTGGAGAATCGAAAATGCAGTCCCAGCTTCACAGGTGCCAGCCATGTGTGAGCACGCCACTCACCCTCCCTTAGGCTTCTGTCTGTTCATCTGCAAATGAGTCTAATACCTACCCTGCCTGTTTTTCTGATTTGTTGTGAGGATCAAATGAGATCATAGGATGTTCTTTGAAAATTAAAACCTTCCAGAAGTGTCAGTTCTTGTCTAGTATGCACAGACTCCTTATGAATCTTGGGCAAACATAGAATGAATCCTCTTCTAAAACAAGAATTACACAGAACAGAGTGTCTCAAAACTACCATCCTAGCTCATATTTTCTAGGAAGCCTATAGCCATTCTACACAGTGTTAATGCGGACCTGTGCTAAGCAGACCAGAAACAATGAAGGCTTTAGGAGGCATTTCAGGACACGTTCAGACTTGGACCCAGCGGCTCCGTTGACTCCCCACACCCAAGACCCACAGCCACAGGACACGGGCTTCTCTGGTCCACTTAGCCCTCGTCAGCGCCAACAGTTCTAATGATTCCAGGGTCCTTCGATGGCCCTCCCGCCCAGCCATCTAAACACATGATGCTGAAGGCACTTCCTGTGCCTCCTCACCAGCCCTCACAAGCGCATTCCACGCAGGATTCCAAATAATCAATTTTCTGCCTGTAGTTGCATGTTTAGAATGAGAAAAACTTTTCAGACCTTTGCTTTTTATTCCAGATGGAATCTGTTTATAGAAAAACCAGAGCTCCCTTCAGGGGCCACGGAGGGGTGGAGGAAGGTTGGCAGAGGGGGCTTCTGGGAAGGCTTTGGGGCCCCAACTTCCTCTTCAAATAGAGCAGCTGCACTTCTACCTAATTGGGCTTCCACAGAAGGCCTCATTTTGCTGATTTTTTTTTTTAAATGCATGAAAACTAGTCATCTAATCCACAGCTTTGTAGGTGAAGAGATCACACTGGAGAAACGTTAACTGATTTTCCAACTTCCTCCTTCAGCCACTTGTAGAAGAAAGATGGAAGATCCTGTCTCTATAGAAGGCCTTCCTGCCAGGGTCCTCGGTCTCAGCCAAGGCGCCTACTTCGGGCAACCCCTGGGAGGGGCTTCTCCTGCCCTGTCCCCCACCTAGAAGCTCACAGTAGTGATCACGTCCTGTCCCACTTCATCAGCGCCTCCCTGGGGCCTCTCCTGGGCTCTCCAACTAATACCTGGGTCGCATCCCCAGGGTTCCTGGCCTCCTCAGGCTGCTTGTTTGGTCCTCTGGTTTCCAGATAGCATCAAGTTTACAGAATCAGCTCCACTCCAAGAGTTCTTTCAAAGGACAGTTCTCAAAAGAAACATATTAATGCCTCTGAAGTGGCACCAGGAAGCAAGTCTGAGTAATGCACCCTAGTTGTCACCCCTGGTTGCCCCTCAGGGCCCAGGCCTGCTGACTCTCCCTAGCTCAGGATGTGTTTGCAGGTCTCCAAGGCTGTCCTCCCAGAAGGTGTAAGCGGAAACTTGGTGCTCTTTCTGGACAATGTCCAAACCCATAGCTGAAGGCCCTGGCAAAGCTTCAGGTTGTTCTTCATAGGCTCCTACCATAGGGTCCAGAGATGCAGATGGAGACTGAGTTCCCAGCTATCTACAGACATGATACTGGTGTTTTAAGAGACGACACTGGGTGGACCTTAAACAATGACTTGGATGTCATACAGGGAGGAGTAGTATTTAGATATAAAAAAAACTTCCAGAAATTTCTTCTTCCTTTGCTACAGGCTGTCTCTGTGGTCTACTCTCTCCTCACCCCACCTCCCAGCCAGAAGAGGAGTACACAAGAGAAGGCCAGGGGTCTGCAGACTGAGCCTTTTTCCACAGGACAAATTGCATCTCTCAAATACCTGATAAAAAGTCTCCAGGTGTCACCAGCATCTGTGGTCTCCCTGGTACTTAAGTAGCAAGCCCAAGGACTTGGCTCACAAAGAGGGGATCCAGAGATAACAGGGTGGTGTTCACCCCACAGTGTAATGTCCCAGCATCTGTCACATGTTAATAGGTGCTTTGTTTTTGACAGGGATCCTTGAACCAGGGTTCCTTGGAGAGAATGGCTGATTCCAGCTCTGGGGGTAAAATAGAGCAATGTAATCCTAGGACATTGTGAACCAAAAAGTAAGAATGTAACCAAAGATTAATAGATAGGATGAGGCAAGGAGAGGAAATGAAGAAAAAGCAAAGGAAAGAGAGGGGGAGGAAAGGAAAGGGAGCGGTTACAAAGGACTTTTGATACCAATTAGTAAATACGCACATAGCATATGGAGTGTTTATTAGATAACATTATAATATCTATGGAAAATTTATGAGACATGAAAATAGTATTATGGCTATGTACAAAAATGTCCTCATTCCTAGAAAATATAGCCTGAACTCATGTGTATGTGTGGTGTGTGATGTGTTGGTGGGGTGCGTGTGTGTGTGTGTGTGTGTGTGTGTGTGTGTGTGTGTGTGCATAGACAGGAGAGAAGGAGAGGTAGAGATTGAGAAAGAGGTAAAGCAAATGTAGCAAAATGTTTATTGGTGAATGTTGGTGAGTGCTGTACAAGTGTCCATTGCACTAGTCTTCCAACTTTTCCTTAGGTTTGAAATTTCTCTGAATAAATACTGGAGGGGTAGGAGAAGAGGTTTTGTACGGGGGCAAATGTACCTTGATGGGAATAAAGCTTAAGTGTCACCACCCCTCTCTAGATGGGGCCCTTTCAAGGCCTGGTTAATGAGGGTCATCAGTTTAAAGAATAGGTGAGATAAATTACTGCACCAGAAAACTCAGAACATTGTGAAATCTTACAGCTCACATATGAAGGAAACTTAAGAGATGTCCCAAATTTGTCAACAATCCTAAAACTTCACATGATAGTACCAATAACAAGCAACAAAACTGACCTTTTCTTAATTATTAATAACAAAAAATAAATTTTCATCAATCATGTTAGGGAAAGACTAAATTAGGTTTCTAGCCTCTTTGTAGAAAAGATTTCCAAATTGTTGTCATATGAAGAGGTGAGCAAAGAGTGCAGAGCTATAAAATATAGAAGGAAAAGTATTATAGAAATATGTCAAGCAATTAATGAGTAAAAATATTACATTAGTTTTCTAGATTTTGTCATGTTTGTGGCATTTATCAGTGTTTTAATAACTGTATAACTTGTTATTTATTTCCTCCTCTATAAGAATTCACTTTCATAGCCTCCTTCACCCAAATGTGTATGCATTACTTCCCAAATACACTGATCACATAAATACATACACACATACATACATACATACAGCTTTTTGCTCTACAGCAACATCTTTTGTGCTTAGGGTTTTTTGGAACACATTTTGGAAAACAGTGCCCCAGGACAAAGTAGTCTCTTCTTATCCACCCATGGTAACGTGCACTTTAGCATTTGACCTCCAGGAAGATGTTTATTTGAAGACCTTATTTAAAGCAAATAAACCATATATTTGCTTTAAATTGATGACAGTCTTATATTTACAAACATTCTGCTTTATACAGCCACATTCATTAACCCAATTGAGTCTTGAACAGCCCCGTTAGGGAGACAGGCCAGATCAGAAAGGTTAGCCCCAGGTCCCACTTAGCAAACACCCACCCCCTCTAGCCTCTGTTCGGTGCTGTAACTTCAGTGTTCCACGTGAGTAAACTGAGGCACGGTGGTGGAGAGTAACTTTTCTCAGAATGAGGTATAGGATCTGGGCTTCCATTTCAGGAGTTACTGTTCAATTGTTAAGTGATTTTAAAAGATTCGATGTCTGTGGACTGCCTGTCCTTTCATATCTTGTGCTCTGAGTAATCAGCTCTACCTGGAAGAGAGAAACAGAAGCCTGGCACTCACAGAGGGGCAGGAGAGAGAATGAGTATGAAAGTTCACCCCTCTTCTTCTCCCCAAAGTGAAAACAGCTTGTCTTTGCCCCAAATGAAAAGAGTCAGACCTTGACACCTTAAATTACAGATAAGTTCCAAAACCAAAGAGGTAGCTCTAAACACTGACACCAATTTTCAGGGAGAAAGGCAGCCACCCCCGGGTCCCTCCTCCTAACTAACCATCCCTTATCAGTAGATCAGGGACCAGACATGGTCTTCCGGACCATGAAAGATCTGGAAAGACAGAGCCACATCAGAGTGCTGGCTTTGCACTAAATCCTCATGCTTCTATGTGGAATTCAGCAGGAAGAAGGGAAGCCCTTCTTATTTACTATAACAAAATAGTAAACACTTCCTCTAACACTGGGATAGGAAGGTTTCATCAATTCACCGTGGCAAGGGGTACAGATTATTGTTGTACTTTGACTCATTCCAATAAGCGAGTAGCCGAAGCTGACCCCTGACCCCTGTGGTTGGGGGTCATCCTCACTTCCCCACCTCTCATCCCACCATTACCCCAACACTCAGGACCAGCTGCACAGAGCCCCCACAGAATGAGAGGGAGGTGGGGAGGAAGAAACGACAAGGTTGGGGATAGCGAATACATGGGTTGGTGAGATGATCACCCTCAGATTCTAAAATAGGCCAAAATGTAAGAAACAATAGTAATTATACAGGCGATACATTAATTTATTTTCATTACACTATTTAAACAATATGGAAGTTTATTTAGTTAAAATCGGAGTTCGCTCTTCACTTCCTTTCCTACCATAACTGTGAATACCTCAGAGGGTGTCCTTTCAGATTTTACATCTGCATGACATGCAGATATATGCATGTAAACAATTTCGACCTAGATGGGTTTGAAAGTCCCTGCCCCCAAGATCATGGCTGGAAAAAAATGACAAGGGAACATTTCTAGAAAAGATAGAAAATGTCAGAGACCAGAGACACTGCTTCATCCCTAGTCATGGTGCCAAGGGACTTACTTTACATCAAATTCCCTGGAACCAGACTCTGTGTCAGAGATTGTGGTACAGAGCAATTTGGGAAACACTCAGGAACAACCCCTGTCAGGGAAAAGGGAAAGCAGGAGGAGGCAGGTGAGGAAGTTGAAGTGTGGTGCGGTTGTAACAGAAGCTTCCTTCTTCCCTTGGGGAGCTCTGGAGGTGGGTTGCCCTTCTGAGCTGTTCCAAGTTACAGCAAGGGAGCCCAGCTTTTCTATTCCTAAGTCAACTAATTGGCTGCAGGGTCCCCCGGAAGAATGGGAGTAAGATTGGGTAAGGCCACTGCCTTCTGCCAGGGCTGGTTCTAGAGAAAGACCAGCTGTGGACCATCAGCAGCTGATTCTCCCTGGGCAGCTAGCACAATGGATGCCTTGGTCTTGAAGCGGGGATCTGGGATGCCCACCACAGCCTCTACCACTGAATTCTCAGATGTTTCAAAACATTTTCTCAGAAAATAGCATCTCTTCCAGAAAGAATGAGGAGTAAATGGGGTAGGAAGGAAACTTGTTAAGTGAACAGATAAGAGGATGTCACCACCCCAGTGTTGACACAGCTCCTGGATCTGAATGGCAAGGCTAATACCAAATGTCCCCACAACTTCCTAGAATGTTGCACTATGCCATATCCTGGGCAACGCCAGCCTCAGAACCACAATTACAATCGCCAATAAGACAATAAGAAATGACTTTCCTTTCCCTCCTCTTTGGCCCAGGTTGTTGAGTTCTACTGGACAAATTCTACCTGTGTGTTTGGAAAGAAAAAAACAAAAACTTTCTTTTCTTTATAAACAATAATAGAGCAATGGAAAGCTTTCTTGGAAACCTCATTGTTGCATCAGGCACAAACCTCCCAAGGTGCATGCTCTCAGCCCTGTGCCACAGCCAGCAGCCACACAGACCCGGAGCTCCTGGTGCCCTGCTCACCTGGCTGTTTTCTTTCCTTCTGGACTCAGCAAGAATGCCCAGCTCCAGCCAAGAGCTGAGATCCCAAGTGTCTGGGGTCAACATTGGTAGTCTTTGGGTGACATGTTCAAAGTATCACATCGATTTTGTTTTCCTGCAAACAATCATAATGAACATCCACTGAAACCTTCCTAAACCAGGCCTAGGCCAGTGTGCTTTCCTAGGAAACCTTCCCAAGTTCCTTCACGGAGGATTTCTATCCAGCAAGAAGTGTTCAAAATTGTCCTTACTAATCTCAAAATAACACCATCATTATCAGTACTCATGGTGAAAATGGCCAATAAACGTACCTCAGGGTCTTGGGCTCCTGCTCTACAAAATGGGACGCTGCCTGTCTGCACTAAACTTTGCAGAGCAGGTCAGAGAATAGACAGTGCCTCCTGCAGCACTTGGGAACACAAACTTTGTAAACAAAAAGTAGAACTAACTGACCAACCTAGCAGCATGACCTTGTCCATCCATTCTAGAATATGAGAGATTTCAATTGTAATGGTGCAACTAGCACAGAATAAATTATTGTATGTGTTAACTCAAACACAGGGGCCTTTTTCCCGGTAGCTTCATATAAATACAAAACTGCTTTTGAGGCTCTAGGAAAAGATGGTCAGGGAAGGGTTGTTATTTAGGGGATTTATCTTTAAACACCTTTTTTCCACACTTTTTAACAAAGATTGGTAATGCTTGGCCAATTTTCCACTTGCCAGTGACTTACAGGAAAATACTACAGAAAAACAAGGACCAAAGGGTCCCAAACACCTCTGCACCTATTTCTCCTGCAGAAATCTTGCATTCAAAGTGGGGATACAGTATATGTCCTACATCACAGTAGCTAACACCTGCAGAGCACTGACCCGGACCAGGAACTATAATGAAGCCCTTCACATGATTAAGTCACTTCATCCTTACAATTACCCCAGTTTACTATTGTTATTCTCAATTTATAGATGAGAAAACTGAGGCCCAGAGTGCTAAGCGACCTGCAATCAGCAACCCAGGAGTCTGTGTACTTAATCATGATGCTATCCTGCTTCCAGAGTGGAAAAACCTGACAAGGAGTGCTTTTACTTTGAATCCTTTAGTTGTCTTTATTTTCCAAATTCTCTTTGAGACAGGTAGAACCAGAGCTGCCCAATCCATGAAAACACTGGACCTCCATGACTTAACTGAGTCACAAAATTAATCAGTGATGGAACACAGAATGGAACCTAATCCAACACGTAGCACAGATCCTTACAGTTCAGCCAAGCAGACAGAAAACTCAGACTGAAGACAGACGTCTGCTCCTGATCAGAAGGCAAGCAGACCCACATGCTGGACAAGGGTGAGAGGTGATTGCTAAGCTCAGCCAACAGTAGCCCTAAAGCATATCACATCCTCCCTCTATTTCATCCTGGGCAAGGGTTTGAACCTGTCTGGGCCTCCTTCTAGGAGCAATGACAGGAGTCAATACATTTCAAAAACAAAACAATAATGGACATTTGCACTATCCTTAATCATTTCCAAAACATTCCAAATGCATCATCTCATTTAGTTCTTCTAACAGCCCTGTGAAGAAAGTTTTATGGTATTCATTTTAGAGAGATAGAAACTGAGGCTCACAAAAGTTCTGATTGATCCAGACTCACATAGCTCAGTCTTCATGCTTGATCCCACGCTGTCTCCACTATGTCCTTTCAACTGTTTTCTGGTTCAAGATCCAGCGGTTGAAGGTCAAGTTCAAAGAGAAGGCTGGGGAAATCTAGACCTAGACCATCAAACCAGAAACTGCTCATCCCCAGTACTTCAAATATATTATTACCAAATGCAAGAGACTGTTGGTTTTTATTATTTAACCAAACAGGATCTGTTCCATGCACATTCCCACTGCTAATCAGACATGGTGAATCACAAAAAGACATTGTTTTCCACGTTTTTATCTGTTTGCCTGATTCCTGGCCCACTGGTTAAAACTCTGAGAGACCCTAAGATGCCAGTGGTCAACTTGTGCAATCCAAGTATTATGTGATCAAAACACTGAACTGCCCTAATACAGTGTTTTTGTTTGATTTTTTTACTAAAACACCACTGACCCCCAAAAGATAATGGCTTTTTCTTTTTTTTTTTTTCGAGATGTCACCCAGGCTGGAGTGCAGTGGCGCGATCTCGGCTCACTGCAACCTCCATCTCCTGGGTTCAAGCAATTCTCCTGCCTCAGCCTCCTAAGTAGCTGGGATTACAGGCGCCTGCCACCACATCCGGCAAATTTTTGTATTTTTAGTAGAGATGGGGTTTCATCATGTTGGCCAGGCTGGTCTCAAACTCCTGACCTCAAGTGATCTGCCTGCCTCGGCCTCCCAAAGTGCTAGGATTTTACAGGCGTGAGCCACCGTGCCAATATATTTTATGTTAGTAAGTCATTTATTTCTCCCAACAACCCTATGAGATAGTCACTATTGTTATTTTATTGTTTATCTTACAGATAAAAAAAATTAAGACACAGAAAGGCTCAGGGACCTGCTTATCAGTGTCAGAGCCATGATTCAGGTACGGGCATCTGATTCAGGACTCTGCTCCTAACTGCGGACTCCAGAGAGCTTAGTAAGAACTTCACAAGCAGCAGTTCTCTAGGATTTGACTGGAGGGTTTGAGGATAGGAGTTTTGTCGTTTTGTAGGGTTAATTTTTTTTTTTTTTTTAACAAGGTCTCACTCTGTCGCCCAGGCTTGAGTGCAGTGGCTCAATCTCGGCTCACTACAACTTCTGCCTCCCAGGCCCAAGCAATCCTCCCACATCAGCTTCCCAAGTAGCTAAGACAGCGGGGACCACAGGCGTGCACCACCACACCTGGCTAATTTGTGTATTTTTTGTAGAAACAGGGTCTCACCATGTTGCCCAGGCTGGTCTCAAACTCCTGACCTCAAGAGATCCTCCAGCCTCAGCCCCTCAAAGTGCTGGGATTATAGGCATGAGCCACTGCACCCAGCCTTGTGAGGTTAATGTTTTAAGTTTCACTTTCCTTTTATCAATGAAGTTTATCACCATATCTTATCACTACAGTTTTATTCTTTTGGCTCATAAAGAGACTCCTCCCTCTCATTAAAATACAAATCTTGGAAGGGCAATGTCTAGAACCATTATCAGTAAATATCTTAGTTCTCAAGTAACGAATTAGCAGAAAATGGAAATGAGCCTCTGTAGAGACTTGGCAATACCCAAAATGACAAAATGAAGGGAAAGGATAGGGAGATGGAAGGTTCCCAAAACCAAATGCCACCTTTCCTCTCTCCCCTAGCTCTTTATGGCACAGTGCACACCTGTATTAATGACCACTCTGCTTACCAAACAGAAATCTATGGAAGACATAAAGATGGATGGGTTAGTCCGGAGATGCACAGCCTGGCTCTCAACTCCTCCAGGCCAGGCCAGCTGCTGTTCTCCTCACATTTTGGCCCCTACAAGATTACCCCTACTTCTGATATAAAGACATGTCATCGTGTCTCAAGCGGCAGCTCTCCCAATCTTAGCGAGGCTCAATCTTGCAACCTTTCCCTTAGCCAGACCCAGCCTCCCAGAGACTCTGAGAGAGGACCCCCACTTCTCCCTCAGCAGCCACTGCCATTTACCCAATACTTATTTCCTACTTCTTGGTAGTTTATTGTATCAGGCTATCTTACTTCCATCTGTCTGAGTCAGTCAAGTACTATTTTGAAGAAGGCAAAGTAGTAATTCATATATCAGTAGGTAGGTAAACATGGAAATCACACCAACAACAAAGCCAGAAGCAATAATGATAACAGTAACCACAACAGTGACCATGTGTGGAATGCTCCTGTATGCCCTGTGCTTTACATAGCTGATTTCATGTCACTCTCTCAACACACCTTCGAGGTAAGTATGCTTTACAGATGGGGAACTGAGGCTCGGGAATTTAAGTAACATGCCCACCTCAACCAGAAAGTACTAAGGCCCAGCTCCATCTGTGGGGCTGTCTTTCTGCAAAGTTCAGGCTTTTAATCCACTAGACTCTAGCCTAGACTCTTTAATCCACTCTACAACCAGGCAGGCTTTGGTTAAAGGAATTGATGTATTTCTTTGTTTTCCCCAGAATACTTGCTAAATTGATGTACTGCTATTGTTAAGAGTTCAGTCAACTACAAAGATTGAAAGGAGAATCCTCACAAGGCTTCCCTCATTTCAAACACTAGCTGCAAGTTTGGGGGTATCCATGCCATCCTCATGACACATCAGCTGGCTACTAATTTGGGAGATTCACACAAATACCCTCAGGTTTGATAATTCACTAGAATGATTCAGAGAACTCTGGAAGGCGCTATGCTTGTGATTTTATTATAGGAAAAGGATACACATTTAAATCTGCAAAGAGAAGAGACACGTAGGGCGGAATCCAGGAGGGGTCTAAAGGCAAAGCTTCTGAGTTTCCTCTCCCCATAGAGTCGTGGATGGTGTTGCCTCCTCCTGGCCACAGTGTGAGACAATGCACACAGAGTATTGTGAACAAAGGATGCTCACCCAAGCCTTTAGTGTCCAGAGTTTTCCTTGGGGCTTAGTCACATAATGTCCACATGGTTGACTTTCAGTCTCCAGCCCTCAGTGGAGGCTCAGGCCAATACCTTATGCCTCTAGTTCCCATGGAGGTTAGAACTGATATGGTGTGTCCCAAAGCCCCCATTATGAAACACACTATTGGACTGTCCAGTTGCCAAAGCCCCCAGACAAACAAAGACATCGGGCTGGACACTTCAGGGGCCTAGAGATTGCCTCCCAGGAGCCAAGGGCAAAGGCCAGACCCCTCTTTTGGTCAATTCTTCAGTACACAACTGTATATATAACACCAAAGTGCCACGACACAGATAAAAATAGAAAAAGATAGACAGAGGAGCAAGAGAATTAGAGAGAGAAAAAGAGATAATATCCACAATTTGAATTTTAGAGTGGAAATAAACTTCAAAAGAGCACGTGCCCTAGTACCTGGGTTCAAGCACATAACATATGAGACTGTACTGAGAGGGTCTAGAAAGGTTGTCCAAGATCCCATAGAGGTAGACTGGAAAAAAGTCTGTGATCCTGATTTTCGTTTTGTTTTTGTTTTTGTTTTTGTTTTTGTTTTTGTTTTTTGAGATGGAGTCTCTGTCGCCCAGGCTGGAGTGCAGTGGTGCAATCTCAGCTCACTGCAACCTCCGCCTCCCAGGTTCAAGCAATTCTCCCGCCTCAGCACCCCCTAGTAGCTGGGATTACAGGCGCACGCCGCCACGCCTATTTTTTGTATTTTTAGTAGAGAGGGGGTTTCACCATGTTTGCCAAGCTGGTCTCGAACTCCTGACCTCAGATGATCCACCCGCCTTTGCCTCCCAAAGTGCTAGGATTACAGACCTGAGCCACCGCACCCAACCTGATCCTTGATTTCTACTAAAAAAATCCATTCCCCTCTATCGTGATGCCACATATTCTCCCCTCCAAATCTCACTTGCCTATCCAAAATGTCGCATCAGTAGCCTGGGGTTTGCTGACACACACATCTCTCAATACACAGCATGTTCAATAGGCCCTCCTTTCCTGTGCCCCCTTTGAAGATTCCAGGCAGGATCTTATAGTGAGTGGTCTACTATCATCCAGTTTCTCAACTACTGAAGCCTGCGGGCTCACATCAAGAGCTCTGGGGATCCAATCCACTCCAGAGCATCTGGGGAAAAGCCACCTGCTCCTGGATTCTAGGTGTGGTTCCAGAAGGGACCACCATCTCTGCTAAGACACACACCATCCCTGCCAGGAGCATCTGTGCAGGGCCAGGACAACACCATGACAAGAGGAAGACTCAAGTCCTTACTCTGCCCCAACAAGCTCTTCCAGGTCTCCGGGTTTCCCTTTTATTCTTTGTGAAATGAAAGGCTTAGCTTAGAATCTTGATGCTCCAAGTGGGGTCCAATGACCAGCACAGGGCATTACCAGGGTGCTTTCTGGAAATGCAGACTTTCCAGCCCCACCTCAAGACTACCACATTTAGATCTGCATTTTGACAAGAACTCCAAGTGATTCCTGTGAGCATGAAAGTTTAAGAGACACCAACTTACAGCATCATCTCTAGGTCCTTCCCAAGACCTACACGCTGTGATTCTTGAAAGGCTCAATTTCCAAACCTCTGGATTGAGACATCTCTTAGAACTGGGGGAAGCCAAGCTTCTAATCAGGAGTGGTCAGAACGTGGAGTCACAGAAGGCGTCTGTGAAACCCAAAGCCCTTGGACAGGCAACGCTGGGACCGGGAAGCGGGCGGAGGAGAGCGGTTCATTTTTTCCATAGGCATGCTGTGTGTGCCAGCTGAGGTCTTTAATGTAAACCCTCCTGTGCTCCGACCTAAACAATGAGCGTAATTATGGGCTGTCTTACCCCCTTCAGACACAGGGATTGGGGTCGGCCCTCCACAGGGTCCTGCAGGAGGTCTTGTTTCTGAGTCAGGGGGGCCTCTGTTTAACCAGAGCAGACCCAACTCTGCGGGGCAAAGTTGACATACCAGCATAATTACACGTAGGTTGACCATATTTACTGCAACTCTGTTGTTCTAGAATTTCAAACAAAGGCTGAACCCTAGGAAAACACACCACTAAGAAGAAGCAGATTGTCCTGAGTGATTTATTGAAGAACAAAAGTGAGGGAAAGAAAAAGAAGAGAATTATCAGAGACTCACACATACTTCCCTTTCCTCCTGTCTGGCCTAAGGAGAACAACCAGTGACCACCGTGTTCCCTCCCTCCCCAACGGAAAGGCCTCAAAACACTGACATTTTGCTTTTTCAGAGACACGTCTTTATGCAGCCACATCAGATCCCAAAAATCCATCTAGACTCACTGGAAGAAAGCAGGCGGCGGCAGGGTCAGGGGGAGAGAGCTCTCCTCTTCCCTTCTGACTCACTTCACTCACTCCCCACTGCCCCCTCCATGACATGCACCTACATTTCATACAGATATTTTCCAAATGAACAGAAACCTAACCAAGGCTGGAATTTGGCTTTAGAGAAGCCAGAAGAACAGGTCAGGTATGTTACTATTCTTTTACTTTGGGAGGTGACTGGTAGGAAGGCTCTGAGTAAGAGCCAGAACTCTTTGGCCTCAGGTTTTTCCCATGTAAATTCATCACTGTGATGGAAAGCAGTGGCATTTCCAATGCGCAGCTGAGAACTTGCATTGACCCAGCAATTACAGGAAAGGGGCAGTTAGAAATCAGCAGAGTTAGGAAACAGCCCCTCACCCAAGAATTAAAACTTGCATACATATGATTTAGGTATTCCCAATAGATCAGGGCTAGAGGGATCTCAGAGTATTTGCTTGTAGTTGCCAACCCTGTCCCCCCCCCAAAACACACACACACACACACACACACACACACACACACACACTCTTACAATTATAGCTCCCTAGCCAAGGAAGACTTATCAATGCCTACCATATGCCTAACAAAGAGAAATAGGAGATAGGCTTCCCGTCCTTAGAGAGTTTATGACATCTCCGAAGAGACAAGATCAAGTGCGAAAGACAGATTGGAACACTACAAGAAGGAACCTAGCAAAGCTCCGAATTGCTTCTTGGGCAGAACCGAGTACCTGATAGACCATTGGGTACTGGGGTCACCTGGTAGGAAGCAGAGAGAGAATCATTTACCATGGAGTTACATGGTAGTTACCAGAAATTTGTTTTGTTTTCTTTTTTAAGTTGTTGTTAAAAATATTTTTCTCAGATATACTTACTGGCAGGGGAGATACCATGACCGCAAAGGTGGTTTTCCGAGGATGAGGCTTATCCATTTCACACTGGATGTGCTGACCCCCTGCAATTTCCCCAAATGTGGGAAACCTGACTGCATAATTTGTGGTAGTGGGGAACTGCATTCATGCTTTAAAAATAATAATAATAAAAATTTGTTTTAGAAAGTGCCCAAACCTTCATCCTTTCCTATCAAGAAGGAGAGGACTTCCCTGCCAGAGTTCCAAGGCAGGGTCATGAGATTCCTAATTCAAAGTCTCGTCAGGGTGGTCATCTGCTCTGCTCGTTGCCTAGTACTCAGAGAGATACATACTCCAGGGCCAGGTGGTGCCACGCAGATGACAAAATAACAAGTGATTGGGCTAATTAGCCTATTTACAATCATAAAATTGTGAAAGAACCTTTCGCAAAACTACAGATGTTTTTAGTGTTCAGAAAGTCTGAAAAAGAACACAGAATTGGGATAGGATTTGGATCCTACCAGATGTTCACAGAGGGAAAGTCCTGCTAAATGGAAAATTCCAAATGTGGCCAGTTAGAAACTCTGTGGGCTGAAAGCCCCTCTACAATCCTGGATAGTTCCTAGTGACATCACTTGAGGTCTCCAAGCCTGAGCAAAGGACAGGATCTGAGCCTAGATGCCCTAAGATGGGATGGGGCACCCTGGAAAGAACAAGGAGTGGAACTGTTCAGCAGTTCACCAGAGACTTATGTCAGCACCTTGACTCAGGCCAGGTGTATGATATCCCAGACAAAGAAGGGAGGTATAGAAGAAAAGCAATAGAAAATGTCCTAGACATTTACCAAACTGTCTACAAGAAGAGCAGCCTCCTCTTTCGTGGGCATCTTGCCCCCTAACTCTGATTTTGCAGTTCTAGCACAAAAAAAATCATAGTTACCCATCCTTCTGCCAGAGAAAAGGGCTCATGAACTGAACTGGACAGTTTCCCCCTCCCTCTGATTGGCCCAAGGATTGGCATGAGACTGAACAGGGAAACTAGGATTTTCCCCAACAGGAAAAAAAAAAAAAAAAAAAAGCATTTTATGCTCTGATCACATGAACCAATAAACACCCAGCCCTCCTTTCTTCTTAAGCTGGTCCCAGTGATAATTCTACCACGTACAACCAGTGGATTTGTGACTAATAAAGGAAATACGTGGAATTCTCACCAGTTGTCTTCTGGTTTGTATCAGACTCCTACCCTGTGGCTAGGTCCTAGAGGACACCCTCTGGCTCATAGCTAGAGGACACCCTCATAGCTCAAGGGTGATGAAACAGGAAAGTTGCAGAGTGGAGGGGGCAGGTTCCTGCTAGTGGTGACAGTGACATTGTCTAAGGCGTCGTGGCATTAGGCACTGCGCTAATGTGCCACCCAGCAAAGCTGGTGTTCTGCTCAGGGGCACTCTGTGAACAGAGCTGATGAGAACAGACTCTCTCTATGAGCCCCTCCAACTAAAAGCTGCCCCTACCACTCCCAGCCACCTGCTTTCCAGCAGAGCTGGCAGGAGAAGCTACAACCCACCACCCTTACACACCTCCGGCAAGCAATGAAAAGGGAGTCCAAGGTATCTGTCCGTCGAGAACATGAGAAACCTGCATTTTAATCCCACTTTTTACCAAAGATGGGAACTTGGTTAAGTAACAAAATCATTTGGACCTCTCTTTACTCATCTTTACAATGGGGATAGTGAAAGAACCTGGCTCCTCAGACTGTTTTAAGAATTAAGTGTGATAATGTATCAAAAGCATTCAGCACCATACCAGGCACGGTTGGGATTGTCATCATTATTACTGTGGCCAGTAGTATTAGGAAGTGCTCTGAAAATTGTACTCTGTGAAATAAGTCAGGATCTGACATTGTAAAATCAAAAAGGGCATTCTCCCTGGGAAATAGCTAGCAGCTCCTAGTGGCAAATTCCAGACTTGGGTCTATTTTTTGCCTTTATATACTTTCTCATTTATGTTTTGATTTATGAAAACGCATCCATCATTTTCTAAGGAAAGCCTCCAGGCACATGAACAAAAATGATAAAAATGCACAACAGAAACAAATAAAACCATTCGGCATGGCTAACAAGTCAGGCATTTGGCCCCAGAGGGGTAGATAAATCTAGAGCTGGGCTCAGCACTGGGACCCAAAGGTCAACAGGCTGGGACTTTGCTGAAGAAATAAAAGAAAGGGGATTCTGGAGCTTCAGCTAACAGCCTACCTCAGATCTTCTGAGAGCCTAGGAGTGAATCTTCCAGAGGCAGCCCCCGAAAGGGTCTCCAAGAGGCCAGTCCAGAAACCTGTGCAGAGCTGCCCTCTCTGCTCCTTCACTAGTCAGTGGGAGAACCAGCAGACTTCTCCAGCCACGCCAGGCACCCCGTTTACCCCCGTGAGGGAGAGGCCATCTTGGGGAAAGACACTCAGTTAAGAGAACTGGGGCTCCCTAGGAAACCTGTCAGTCATCCTTCTGTCTTTATCCCCTTACTCCAGAGGCATTGCTATGAGGGGACCCCCTACCCAAAGAATTTGCTTCAAAACTCAGCATTTCTAGCTTCCAATACAGATACCTCATTTTTGCTCGAGGCTGGGAACATGTGAGAGGAAAAGTGAGCAGGAATCCCAGCAGAATCAGGGAGGGATCCATAGGGGGTGAGATGGGTTAGGGCCCTCACTAGCAGAGCACAGGTGTCTTTGTAGAACCATGCTAGCCCACAATGGTTAACAGGGTCCATGATGGTTAACAAGGCATCTTGCAGAGTCTTTCCAAGGTGACATTCTAGGGGATGACACTCTAGAGGTGTCGCATTGGAACGGCTCTGCAAGATGCCTTTCTGCCCAGAGTCTGAGGGGATTCTCAGTTATAGACTGTTCTGGCCATAATCCACCAAACAAGGGGGTAATTCATAGGCTGCAAACAGGCCAAAAAGGTGGCCCAGTGTGAACATTAGGGCCCCACATGCCCAGTAGGGCTGCCCAAAACTAGATAACACCTGGCAGAGCCAATCAGATCTTCTATTGGGACATCTGACTGAGACATGGGGAGCTGTCGTCAAAGAGTAATGGTACATGTGACAGAACAGAAAAGAGTAGCCAGCACTCCAACTCCCCAACACGAGAGTGGACAAAAATGGACTTACATTTGTGGGGCAAAGCCCCTGTTAATAACAAGTATTCATAATAACAGTGTCCATGGAGCCACAGTTGACAACAATACTCATTGAGCATAACTTTTTGCCTGGCACTGTTAGGTCCTTGTGCACAGGATCTCACCGAAACTTGACAAGGAACCCCACATGGTCAGTGCTATTATTGTCACCACTGTATAGATGGTAGGAAACTGAGGCTAGAGAGGTGACACAGTGGTAAAGGGCAGAGTTGCAATGTGAACCCAGCAGTTTGATTATGGAACATGGGGTTTTATTTACTAGATTACACAAACTCCTGTCAAATCCTATATGGCCATGGACGATACTCCAGTTCTCGGTGAAGCCCAGCTGTGACTGCTGAGAAGATTTACTGTTCTTCCCCACCTCCCAGGGTGTCCTTCCAATAATCCTCCATCACCTAAAGCAATGGGATTACGCCATAGTCCCCTTAAACTGCAAGCATCTAACTAATACAGGGACACAAGTGTTCCAGAGAAGTGGCTAGTAACAGCAAAGAATGACAGACCCTCCAAATGAGGTTTGGTGGCTCCCTTTTACCCTTCTGAATCTTAAAGGAAGAAACACAAGCTGAGACATTCTGGACAGGTGGCTGGTGCTGGTGAAGTTGACCTCTTCATTTCCATCTTCAGGTCATTACAAGGGCCTTCCCTGAAGCCAACTAAATCCTTGGACAGAGAGGACCTGAGGCTGGTATTGCCCTGTGCTGCACAGTAGACAGCTCTTCTCCTGAGGAAGGGCTGCTGGCAAGGAGGGGCCAGTGACCCAGACCCAGTTAGTCAGACCCTCCCTAGTACAGTCTGCTGATGTCATTGAAGAAGGCCATGTCCTCTCATCTCAGCTGCTGGCCTATGAGCCTGGGGCTGCCTGCCTCATGGAAAGTGATAGGGGAGAGGGAGATAGAACAATCTGGGCCAGGCGCGGTGACTCACGCCTGTAATCCCAGCACTTTGAGAAGCTGAGGCAGATGGATCACTTGAGGTCATGAGTTCGAGACCAGCCTGACCAACATGGTGAAACCCCGTCTCTACTACAAATACCAAAATTTGCCGGGCATGGTGGCGCATGCCTGTAATCCAGCTACTAGGGAGGCTGAGGCAGGAGAATCACTTGAACCTGGGAGTCAGAAGTTGCAATGAGCTGAGATCGTGCCACTACACTCCAGCCTGGGCCACAGAATGAGACTCCATCTCAAAAAGAAAAGAAAAGAAGAGGAAAGGAGAAGAGAGGAGAGGAGAGAAGAGAGAAGAGAGGAAAGGAAAGGAAAGGAAAGGAAAGGAAAGGAAAGGAAAGGAAAGGAAAGGAAAGGAAAGGAAAGGAAAGGAAAGGAAAGGAAAGGAAAGGAAAGGAAAGGAAAGGAAAGGAAAGGAAAGGAAAGGAAAGGAAAGGAAAGGAAAGGAAAGGAAAGGAAACGAAACGAAAGGAAAGGAAAGGGGAGAGCTGTGGTGGCCCTCGTGCAGGACAGGAGATGAGGCAGTTGTGTGGCCAACCTGTAAAAGGAAAACACTTCCCACCTACTGCAAGGTGACTCAAGGTGGAGGTGCCAAAATTAGGGGAAAAGGCTTCCAGCCAAGCACAGAGGAAGGGTATGAAAGAACTTTCTAATAGCCTCAAAGCAAGATCACATGAAGATTCTGCAAGACTGCACGACATTTTTCTTTTTTCTTTTTTCTTTTTTTTTTTTTTTTGGAGACAGGGCCTCACTCTGTCACACAGACTGGAGTACAGTGGCACAATCACAGCTCCCTACAGCCTCAACCTCCCAGCCTCAAGCAATCCTGCCAGCTCAGCCTCCCAAGCAGCTAGGACCACAATGTATGTGCCATTATGCCTAATTTTTCTATTTCTTTTAGAGTCAGAGTGTCCCCACATTGCCCAGGCCAGTCTGGAACTCCTAATCTCAAGTGATCCACCCACCTTGGCCTCCCAAAGTGCTGGGATTACAGGTGTGAGCCACATAGCCCAGCCACAACATTTTTCCAGAAGACAAATGGACTAACCTCATATTGATCCTGGGACTATGAAAATAGGGCAGCCGGCAAGACTTGAGCCAAATATATAGACTCTACTTCATAAATGAAAACCTCCAAAAAGTCCAAATTTAGTATTTTTCATGCTCATGCAAAGGACAAGCTTCCTCCTCCATTGAAAGGAAAGGAAGGGAGAAGATTTACTACAGGGTGGCCAGAGCTTTTCCCTGGAATGGCCCAAAGTTGCTTCTCTGTCCCCAGACAACTTGGGTTTGAGCTCTAGGGGACCATATATAATATTTTCTAGGTCCCTGTGAGTACACCCTTGATGTACTGGAGACGGGAGGTCAGATTTGATTTACATTCACAGGCAAAATTGAAGTTAGAACTCACCCCAACTCAGCGGAAAGGAGACTGCGGGACAGTGAGGACTCAAGGAGTAACTGTGAGGCAGCTTAAGTGAACTTCACTCAGGGCACAGTAGGTTTTCTTGTTCTAAGTAAATATCTTAACAGTTTCCAGTTTTACAAATTTAAAAACAGCTAAAAATATGCACACTTATATTTTCTAGTTTTTGCAGATGATGCTGAGGCAAGTTAAGAGGGAACATGCTAACCACCAAAACCATCCTCATTTTCATGACTAGGTGGACAGGGAGGAACCGAGGCTTGTACTGCCCTGTGTTGCATAGTAGATAGCTCCTCTCCTGAGGCAGGGCTGCTAATGACCCAGGCCCAGTTAGCCAGACCCTCCCTGGTATAGTCTGCTGATGTCATTGAAAAAGGACATGACTTCTTATCTCAGCTGCTGGCCTGTGAGCTGGGGCTTCCTGCCTCACGGAAGGTGAGAGAGGGAGAGGGAGACAGAACCCTGGCAACCTGGGACGGGCACAGTGGCTCACACCTGTAATCCCAGCACTTTGGGAAGCCAAGGTGGGTGGATCACCTGAGGTCAGGAGTTCAAGACCAGCCGGGCCAACATGGTGAAACCCCGTCTCTGCTAAAAATACAAAAATTAGCCGGGCATAGTGGCACACGCCTGTAATCCAGCTACTTGGGAGGCTGAGGCAGGAAAATCCCATGAACCCAGGAGGCAGAGGTTGCAGTGAGCCAAGATTGCACCACTGAACTGGGAAACAGAGCGAGACTCCGTCTCAAAAAAAAAAAAAACCCTGACAACCTGGTGCCAACCCCTGGATCCAGCTGTTCCTGTATCCCATATTCCTCTGCACTTCCCAGTTACATGAGCCAATTATTCCCTTTTTGTTTATTATTAGTTTGAGTGTCTGTCACTTGTAACTTAAATAAGCCTGCCTACAAATTCTAGCCAAGGCATTCATCTTCTGGCAAGCCTCTATAAAGAACCTGTAGGTGCTGCTTTTGAACACGAAACTCCCTGCTTCATTTGATCACTGACTACCAGAGAATGCAAACTCTTGGACAACATGAGCACAGCAAGTATTTTATCCTCAGTCCCTCCCCTTCCTCTGACTGTCAGCCTTCAAACCCAATGCCAATCCCATCCCCACTTCCCCCTGACTCCACCATCATTACCATTGTCTCCCTTCTTCGTCTTTGTCAAAGTACCTCACCAGTGAAAGAAAAGTGACCTCTGCTTCAAAAATGAATAACTGCCACGAATGCGGAGAGCCACAGCAAAGGAAACCACGCCTCCTTTGATAAATACCATGCAGCTGCTGCTTGGTGATGATGGTCTCGCCCTGGTGGAGCATTCTAGGGTCAGATGTTTACAGAGAAAAGGCAGGCAGGTGCCAGTGCTTGAACATCAGGCCAAATCCCAGGTTTCCCCAGCCGTCACTCATTCTCATGCACAAAGTAGAGGCCCTGCAATTGCTTCCTAAGACTCAGTTTCCTTATAGGTAAGCTGGAAAACATTTAGTATTAACAAGCACCAGAGCTATGTCAAAGGAGAATCATCCAAAACATTGCTGAGCCTTGACGAAGATGAACAGCACTCAGGGGAAGAATTCTAGGTGGATCTTTGGGTAATAGGAACCCTGAAAACAGCAATGATCCAGTAGGTGACATGTAGGGCGTGCCCCTCGCCTTCCTGGACTGGTGCTCAGCATTCCACTTGTATGATCTCATTTAATCCCCACAACACACCCATGCGGTGGGAAATAATTATCATCTCCACTTTACAGAGGAGGCTCCTGAGTCTTCAAGAGAATGTGAGACTTGTCCACAGTCACTCAGTAGTGCAGCCACAGTGACCTTGAAGTCAGGCCCGGTGTCTGGCCTTTGTGACCATGCCATCCCAGGGATGTAAAAGAACTCAACAGTTGCTCAGAATACCCCTTTTACCATCTCAACGACATGGGCAATCAAGGACTGCCTTGCTTCCTGCCGGGTTCCTGAGTGAATCAGTGGGCATGACTTTGAGAAACAGAAAGCTCTAAAAATCTTGGGTGTTATTACTGTCTAGGCAGTGCAGTCAGAGATGATGTTGATGGTGGTAGCCTGTTTTACTCATCTCACTCTCAGAGGATGCTAATCACATGGGTGGGAAATTTCATTAAACAACTGTCTCCTGGAGGCAGATGTTCATCCCAGAGCAGATTGGCATTCAGTCCCTTCCCCCCAGCTGGCCTGAAGAGCACTGGCAACGCAGGCCAGTGCTCCAGAGGTGCTGGGATGGAAGGTCCTGAGGTTAATCCTCTTCCAGCATTCACTATCCATGCACCCTCTAAGTTTCGCTTTCTCATCTGTGAATTTTCTCATCTGAGGAAGGGCTGCCGGCAGGAAGGGGCCAGTGATCCAAGCCCAGTTAGCCAAATCCTCCCGGTACAGTCTGCTGAAGTCATTGAAAAACCCCATGTCTTCTCATCTCAGCTGCTGGCCTGTGAGCCTGGGGCTGCCTGCCTCGTGGAAAGTGAGAGAGAGAGAGAGAGAGAGAGAGATAGAACTTTGGCAACCTGGGTTGGGCTAGGTTATAATAATACCTACTGTAGGTTATAATAATACCTGACTGTGAACTGGGAGCCATAATAATACCTACTATGGGTTTTCTAGGAGGTGAGAAGTTTGTCTTCTACTTTTTTTTGAAACTACAAAATACTTTAGACATCCAAAATGTAAGTATTAATATATAACCCACCAGCAGCTTAAGAGATAAAATGTTGTAACTGATGCACTCCTGCCCCAGTTCCATTCCTCTCCTTTCCTTACCAGAGGCAACCATTCCCCCAAGTCTGATATAGATCAAGACTTGGAAAACTTTCTGAAAAGGGCCAGATGGTAAGTAGTTGCACCTTTGCAGGCCACACGGTCTGTGGCAAGTATTCAACCCTGTCCTTGGAGTACAAAGGCAGCCATAGTTGATAAGTGAAAGAACAAGTGTGGTGGTGTTCCAGCAAATTTTATTTATGCACACTGGAATTTGAATTTCATATAATTTTCAGGTGTCACCAAAGAGTGTCCTTCTTTTGATTTTTTTTCAACTATTTAAAATTGTAAAACCCATTCTTAGCTCACAAGCCACGCAAAAGCAGGTGGTGGGCTGGACTTGGCCATGGGCATAATTTGCCAACCTTGGTATATATCATTCCCATGCATATTTTAATACTGAAACATAATATGTGTATATCCATATACAGTATTGTTTAGTGGGTCTTAAAATTTCATATAAATGGTATTATATGGTACTTTCACTTCTACAGCTGATCACTCTTTTTCAACATCAAATTTGCTGAGATTTAGGTGAGTTATTACATGTAACTTCAGTTAATTCATCTTAACTGCTGTATAGGAACTCACTATATGACTTTACCACAACTTATATGTAGGACTATTTATAGGATTTTACTATATGAATTCACTGCAACTTATTTATCCCTTCTCCTCTCAGTGGGCATTCAAGTTGTTCTACAGTTTTACAAATAAGGCTGCAAGAAGCACCTTCTGCATGTCTCCTTGTGCATGTGCACAAAAGCTGCTGTAGGATTGCTCTTCCTAGTAGAATTTCATGGTCACAGGAATGTTTGCTGATCACATAAAGCCAGGAAGGAAAGGGCTCATACCCAGCACCTTGTGTATCAATCACTGGCAGCTCCTGTTCCTCTGGAGCCCCCTCAAGCACCGGACAGAGGAATGAGCACATGTAAGTGCTTAATACACACTTTTTCACTTAATTCATAAAGACAGGGGGGCAGGGGGCAGGGGCAAAGGGAGGGAGAGCATTAGGACAAATACCTAATGCATGTGGGGCTTAAAAACTAGATGACAGGTTGGTACGTACAGCAAACCACCATGGTACGTGTATACCTATGTAAAAAACCTGCACGTTCTGCACATGTATCCCAGAAATTAAAGTAAAATTTAACAACTAAATAATAAAAATTAAAAATTAAAAAAGACCATCATGGAAAAAAATCTGTGGGACAAACAGTGGGACCTGTGAGTGATCAGGGAGAGAAAAACTCAGTTAGATGAAAATCTCCAAGAATGGCTTTTTAAAAAAGCAACATAGTTGAAGTTGGGAGGGATGGATGGAAAACAAATTCTTCTGATGAAGGCACTGACCTAAGTGGGCTCCGAGGTGGAAATGAACATGCCATGTGCAAGGAAATCCAGGAGACCAAGTAGGCTGGAACATTTGCAAAGTTCTTTTTGCAGGCATTGAATGCCAGGCAGGGGGCATGGGGCTTGACTTGCTGGTCAGTGGGAGCCCAGGAAAGGCCAGCCTAGGATGGCCAGGGCTACCCACTGAGTATGTTAACTCAGCTGGTCCTGTGTGGTGGAAGCTTGGGAGCAGAGCCTGAAATCACACACACCGTGAAAATAGTATGTTGGTGTTGTGGCTCTTCCAAGGCTGAGCCAAGCCTGATACAGCTTGGCCTTTTTTATACCGTATCTTTAAACCAATTTAACATTTTTGGCTCAGGCAGAAGTGGATATACTATTAGTCATTCAGCTAAGGCTGTGGAGGCTCACATTTCCCACTGTACACATAAGACAAACAATTATTGTTATTAAGGGAGAAAACTATGTTTGACATGAAATCAGAGAAAAAGAAAGAAGAACAAAGAAAATCAACAGCATCTCTCCATTCTTTCATTCAACATATGCATATTTATTAATCCCCTTTTGTGTGTGCCAGGTACAGCAGGGCCACGGGAATGTATAAAGCATGGCATGTACCATCCACCCAATGGGTTGAGAGAGCTACTGTTGTTTTCCAATAGTAATACAAAGCAGCATAGGGTAAGTGTCAGAACTAATCTTTTGAACAATTAACATAATAGAAGTTCAAGGGAATAAAGAAAGGCTAAGGAAAGCCTGGAAGAGGCACTTCCAGTTGGCTTTTTGAAGGACTTAGAGGCAGAGAGGGAACAGGAAGGAACCTCAAACAGACCGGGACGAGCAGCCATATGGCGGTGAAAATGAGCAAGACATATTTGGGCAGAGTGAAGCCCAGAACGGCATGCTCCTACACTCACTGTAACACAGCAGCACCCAGTGCTCCTGATTTGGGGATGCAGGCTGCCCCACACGTCAATATTCTCTCTTCCCCTAGCATCCTGGTGATACATCCTGTCCCCATCTTCCTCTCCCTCTTCCCAGACTCCTGTGGAGCCAGGCACCAGGGGTATGTTGGCTCTGTGGCTTGCTGGCCTTGTTACCTCAAGCAGATTGTGTAACCGCTCTGAAATTTCATTTATTTGACGGGTAAATGGAGTTGATCATGCCTCCACTCACCCAGCTGTTGTAAATATTGAAGGGATCGGCCACATTGGGTCACTCTGTAAGTAGGAAAGGATCCTTCCTGCAAACCTACGCCACCATCATGTCTACTGTGAAGTTTCTATATAAACATCTGGAGTACAGCCAGATGCAAAATCTGAAAGGATACCATCAAGCCATAAGCAAGAACACTTCATTTAAAATGGAAGCTCCAGCCACGGGTACTCTGACTTCTGCGATCCTGGCCCTCATCGCCACATCCCCCACAATGCCATGCAGACAAAAAGACTAGATAGGGCTGATGGATGGACATCCAGAGAGTTCCTGGCAATTGTTAAGGTTATGTCCAGAACTACCGCCATGCTGCTTTGCGTTTGGGCAGGACACCTTCTCTCTCTGGGTTAAATGTGAATGGCTCAGAAATACATGCTAGAAGTTCTCTCCAGGACCTTTCCCAGGTGGGGGTTAGAATCCTGGAAGACGGTGTCTTCAAAATGGAATTTCCACACCCTGAGTGCTGCACATGATGAACCACTGGGGTGTGGGGAGAAAGTATTAGAGCTTCTACCTTCAATTTTTCTAATATACAATTACATTCATTTTCAGTTGCCACCAAAATAAATTACCACAAACGTAGCAACTTAAAACAGTCCAAACATATCTCAGTTTCTGGGCCAGTTGAACTCAGTTGGATCCTCTGTTTAGTGTCTCAAAAGCCAAAATCAGGGTATCTGCAAGGCCTCACTTCCTCCTAAAGGTTCTGGGGAAGAATGCTCTTCTAGCTTGTCCAGGTTGCTGGCTGAATTCGGTTTCTTGTGGCTAGAGGACTGCTGTCTTTTCCTTGTGGCTGGCAGTCTTTGTTCCCAAAGGTTGCCTGTGTCCCTTCTCGTGCTTTCCAGGTGGGCTCCCCAGAAACAGTAGGTCGGGTCTTTCTCACACTTCCAATCTCTCCGACGACCTCTTTTGTCACATCTCTTTGACTCCAGCCAGAGAAAGCTCTCTGCATTTGAAGTCTCATGGGATTAGATTAGACACCTGGATAGTCCAGGGTACTCCCTCTAATTTAAGGTCTTTAACCTTAATCACGTCTGCAAAGTCCCTTTTGCCATAGAAGGTGACATGTTCAGTTTCCATGGATTCAAGCATAGTCACCTTTGGGGGGCATTCTGTCTACCACAATCCTCAAGGAAAAGGCTTTACACTCAATGACCGCTGTTGCTGTGGGACACAGGGTCAAGGTTACATATGATATCTGAGATGTCTTGAGGGAAAGGTGGGAATCTCACGACAAGGAGCAGTTGACAGTGACACCCTCACTTGCTGGTTTGCTTTTAGCACATAGTGACAGATGAAAACCTGTGCCTTCACAGTGGCCAAGAATCAGAAATGAGAGTCCAGTTAGTTCCCTTCTTCCATTCAGATTTATATGTCTCATATATCTTTCTCAGCTATAATCGCCCAAGTATTGAAAATCAGAGCCAGGCTTTTGACTCACTGTGCCACAAAGTATTATACCAAGATTTTTAAAAATAATCATGCCTATCCAATCCCATTGCTCTCACTAGAAATTTGATTAATAATAATATATTTTAATGAGAACAAAAAGGGTTTCAGATAGTTAATAGACAAAATCTTTTTTTTTTTGAGACAAAGTTTTGCTCTTGTTGCCCAGGATGGACTGCAATGGCACGATCTCGGCTCCCTGCAACCTCTGCCTCCTGGGTTCAAGCGATTCTCCTGCCTCAGCCTCCCGAGTACCTCGGATTACAGGTGTCCGCCACCATACCCAGCTAATTTTTTGTATATTTAGTAGAGATGAGGTTTCACCATGTTGACCAGGCTGGTCTTGAAATTCTGACCTCAGGTGATCCACCCACCTCGGCCTCCCAAAGTGCTGGGATTACAGGCATGAGCCACCGCGCCCAGCCCTATTTTTAAATATTTATTTCATCGGTATCAATTTTTAAATTTGTGTTTAGATATGTGTTTTTAAAAATACATATTTAATATGTATTTGTTTAATGTTAATACATTGTTTAATGTTAATGTATTTGTTTAATGTTAATATGTAAAAATACATATTTAATATGTATCTGTTTAAAAAAACAGAACATATTAGTTCAACAGTATGTGTACAAAAGTTATAATAAGTATATACGTGTTAGATGTGCATTCTCAAAAATGTTTTTATTAATGAAGTTGCTCAAGTAAGGTTCGGAAGATAAACCTTTGGGTCACAAGACAGACATCGTGCTGGGCTAAACACAAACCTTCTGGAGATATTTTAAAGCTTCCTCAAACTTCCTAAATATGCTGTGTTTCAAAATACTTGGTTCTTGGGTTGTGATCGATTTTTCAGGCAATTTAGAGAATCTCTTTTCCAAGTAGCCCCTTCCCTACACTCTTGTTTTAGCTGAAGAACGTTAAGAAAAGAAAATGGAGTTCTCTTTCGAGGTACTGTTTACTGAGGTGCAAAATGAGAGACGGGGTCTGGGCCTCCTGGTTTCTTGTGTTTGGGTCCAGCAGGAGTTGAGAGCCTCTGAATGGCCATGCTGGGGGGTTTCCTGTGCAAGACTTTACACATTTGAGGTTCCATCAATCCGGCACCTATGGGACAGGAAGCCAGCAAGGTTTGTGGAGCCAGATAGCCAAATAAAAAAGAATCACCTTTTACTTTCCTGAAGTTAATTAATGCTGAGTGGAGCAGGCCAAGTACAAAAACTGATCAGGCTTTCTCTGAGCAAAGACTCCACATTTTACCCATAAAGCCAAATAAGCCTGACCCTGGGACCCCCACAAATGCAGGTCAGGCCTAGCTGGGAGGTACAGAGGAACTAACACTTTTCCCTTCACACTCCTTCTGGTGTTTCCCTTCTGGGTCTTATTTTTATTCATTTTTCCAGTTTATAAAACACACTCACCGATGGGCCCTTGGGGCACATGTGGAAAAGCTTAAAAGACACAAGTACAAAAACAGACTGACTTAGAGTCAAGAACCAAAACCCTAAGAATTCTCCTCTATCTCGCCCCCACCCCCTACTCCTGCCCAAGTTACATTATGGGCCTTCCCCTCCCATATTTCCTAAAAGGTCCATAAAGTTGGGCTTTTTCCAAAGGAAAGGGAGGTAGGTATCAGAACTATTCTCTTAATATCTTGATCCAAGGTTTTCTCGGAGCCTGGTGCTGTAGCCTAAGGTGGTTTGGCAAAGGGGTTGCTTGAACAAAGAGGTCAGGCCTCAGCAACGGGCAGTGAGGCCTCTGCTCCCAGGCCCTGGACAGCCTCCAGAACATCCGGGTCACTCCTAAGAATCCAGGATCCAGACCCAGTACACACATATCAGGAGCTCAGATTTCCCACATCAGGAAGGGAAATAAAGACTACTTTCTTAGGCCGGGCGCAGCATCTCACACCTGTAATCCCAGCACTTTGGGAGGCCGAGGTGAGTGGATCATGAGGTCAGGGGTTCAAAACTAGCCTGGCCAAGATGGTGAAATCCAGTCTCTACTAAAAACACAAAAATTAGCTGGGCATAGTGGCGGGCACCTGCAATCCCAGCTACTCGGGAGGCTGAGGCAGAGAATTGCTTGAACCCAGGAGGTAGAGGTTGCAGCAAGTCTCCATCGTAAATAAATAAAGTCTATATTCTTTGAGGGCCCAAACAAGATGCTTTCAAAGGCCCAATCTTCCCTCCCTTTTAAAAAGTGTGCTCTCGCCAGGCGCAGTGGCTCACGCCTGTAATCCCAGCACTTTGGGAGGCTGAGGTGGGCGGATCACCTGAGGTCGGGAGTTCAAGACCAGCCTGACTAACATGGAGAAATCTCATCTCTACTAAAAATACAAAATTAGCCGGGTGTGGTGGTGCATGCCTGTAATCCCAGCTACTCGGGAGGCTGAGGCAGGAGAATCGCTTGAACCCGGGAGGCAGAGGTTGCAGTGAGCCGAGATTGTGCCATTGCACTCCAGTCTGGGCAACAAGAGCCAAACTCCGTCTCAAAAAAAAACAAAAACAAAAACAAAAAAAAGAGTGTGCTCTCGAAATTACTTTAATCTGCTCTGTTAAACAGCTGACTGATCATCTGATGAATGGGAAAGAAAAAACAAGTAGTCCAGACACCATTTCAGCATAGAGAGGCAGTGCCATGCTCTCATTCCTTCTTTCATTAAATACATGTTTGTTGAACACCTACTATACACCATAGGCTAGAGCTACATCTGAAAATGAAACAGACTCGCCCCTTCTCCTGTGGCTCTTACAGTTTAGTGGGGAAGACACATTAACCAAATAACTAAGTAATTTCATGTGGGCCTCGTGCACTTTAGGGGAAACTGACTTCATCTGGGGGGTCAAGGAAGGCCTTTCTGAGGGCAGACATTCAAGCTGGAAACTGAAGGACACATGGAGTTAAACAGGTGAACAGTGGAGGAAGAGCTTTTGAGGCAGGCACCATGGAGAAGACTGAAGGGTCCAGAGACCACCACAGGCAAAGACCAAGAGACGCTGTCACCAGGCCTGGCAGGCCACACTCTCAGGGTGCAGCTTTGTCCAAGTGCAATGAGCAAACTAACGTGATCTATTCACGTTTTTAAAAAGATCTCTCCTGGGGCTGGGCGCGGTGGCTCACGCCTGTAATCCTAACACTATGGGAGGCCAAGACAGGCAGATTGCCTGAGCTCAGGAGTTCGAGACCACCCTGGGCAATATGGTGAAACCCCATCTCTACTAAAATACAAAAAAAATAGCTGGGCGTGGTGGTGTGCACATATAGTCCCAGCTACCCAGGAGGCTGAGGCATAAGAATTGCTTGAACCCGGGAGGCAGATGTTGCAGTATGAGCCGAGATTGAGCCACTGTACTCCAGACTGAGTGACACAACAAGACTCTGCCTCAAAAAAAAAAAAAAAAAAAAAAAAAAAAACTCTCCCTAGAACTCCTGTTGTTCCTGGAGCTCTGAGAAACGTGGTTTGAAAAGGGCCAACCTGAGGAATCAGGGTCGTGGTCTTCATTTCCATCAGTGATTGACTTTTGTGATCACAGGAGTTGCATTCAGATGGTTTGCTGAGAATGTTGCTCTGGCAGACACGAAAGAGAATGTGAGAAACACAGACACAGTTCTGGAGCACCATGAATGTAGACAAAACACACTCAGCAAAGTAGCAAATCCCCACACTGGGTAACCAGGAAGGAGATGAGTGTGGCCTTCCGGTGAGACCCGCTCTTCCTGAGGGGCGCTTCAGGCACCAGAGGCCCCTGCTCGCTCATGACTCCCTCAGCCAATCTCAGCCTTCTGCCAGGCCAACCAGACTCCTCAACCACCAGAGATTAGAAGAAAATAAGGCTGTCCTATTGCCTCTAAATCAAGTGATGAAGCATGACAACTGTCAGGACACTTTTTTAAACGATTTGTCCTGAGGTTTGTGAACACATTCTTCCTGAGGCAAAGAAAAACAAAACAAACCAAACCATCCTGCACAGCTTTGGGCACACCCATCTCAAGTGTCCCTGAGGACCAGGATCTTTGACTCCTCCTGCCCAGAGGAAGCTTCCAGAAGAACACTGTTCTCCAGTGGCTGTTGGGCTGTGGTATTTTTCACAGGAAAGGGAAGTGGGGTCTCTGTGAGAATCGGCCACCTGCCCCAGGTCCCCTGAAAGTTGACATAATGCCTGGACTGTATTCTGCTCCAGCTCTCTTCACAGACCCTGAGTGGGGAGAGGGGCAATGCTCTGTGATTTATTCATCCTGCTTCCATCCTTCATGCAGTGCATGAATAAATGAAAGAGAAGGTGTACTCAGCTGAAAGGAAAATAAAAAAGAAGGGAATAAGAGACACCCCCCCGGCCAAAACATGAAAAAATAGGCAATTTTTTCAAAAAGCCATTGCATAGGTTAAAATCGCCCCAGGGAATGTTTAAGTTGCTTCTTGGTCATTTATTTGAGCTTTAGGCCACTCTTGGGCTGTGGTGCTTAATGGAAAGAGTATTTACCTCAGCAACTGCGGCAAACCAGGGATCCAGCAGGCATGCTGGGCGGACACAAAGTACCTTCACAAAGGAGGCCATCAGCTAAGAAAATGTCAGACTTAACATTTGGGGATGCCATCAAGGGATCTTTTAAAAATATTTTTCTGTTAATGATGACTGAGGGTGGAGAAAGAGAAGGAGAAGAAAAAGGCACACTCAAGTTTCCCTTCTATTTTTCACAACTGCCCCTGCTTTTCCCTGTTCCCCCTCCTCTGTTGAACAGTACAGAAGCAGGTAAGGCAGACTGGGTAAGAAAGGATCATTTGGGAAAAGGAGTTTGGAAAGCAATGTCTTTCTTCCTGACACCTTGTTGCCAACAGTCACCAGCATGCACACAGGAAGCTCCATGTAAAATCCTGCAGGTCATTTTCCCCACAAGCCAAGAGGTAAAAGGTATCCAGATGTATGCTCTTGCATATCCAGTCTTCTGCTCCCCACACTTAAATGCATAACATTGGCCGGATTCAGTGGCTCACGCCTGTAATTCCAACACTTTGGGAGGCTGAGGCTGGCAGATCACCTGAGGTCAGGAGTTCGAGACCAGCCTGGCTGACATGGTGAAACCCCATCTCTACTAAAAATACAAAAATTAGTCAGATGTTGTAGCACGTACCTGTAATTCCAGCTACTTGGGAGGCTGAGGCAGGAGAATCATTTGAACCCAGCAGGCAGAGGTTGCAGTGAGCCAAGATTACGCCATTGCACTCCAGCCTGGGAGACAAGAGTGAAACTCTATCTAAAAAAAAAAAAAAAAAAAAAAAAAAGCATAACATTTTACTTGTCTGTATCTAATATCAGGCCTACAGCATGCACACGTGTGTGCACGCATACACACACACACACACACGCCAAGCAGCCCTCTTGTTTTCAGGAGCACAGAAAGAATTCTACTATTTAGATGCAGTCAATTGGACCAGATGATGCAGTGATAGCCTGGAGTGTTAAGCCCCAGACCACCAAAAGAGAAGCAATGGGCATTCGTACTGTCCAAGGAGTTGCGGCAAGTTCTCAACCTGGTGACTTAGCAGAAACCCCAAGGCAGAGCTCCTCCAGCTTTTCATGGGGAGGCTTCCTCATCGATGGGACACAGGGGGATGAAGGGAACAGTGGGGGAAGTGATGGGTGGTGAGTGGAAAGGAAGGGTAAAAGTGCAGAGGGCAGCTGCCATCTGGGAATCTTACTGCAAGCCACGGGAATGCGGATCAAGCCAGCACCTCACACTCCCCCTGCTCCACATACACACACATCACTTGAGACATCACCATCTCAAATATGGTTGTTCAGCCTCAAAGCTGAGCAAGCACAGTCTTTAGTGTTGGCAACAAAATAGACATCTGACCTTTTAGGTGTGAGTTAGCAAAGGCAGACTCTATAATTGTTAGCATAGGCTAAGGTGCAGTAACAAATAGACCCAAATGCAGTGACTAAACACCACGGAAGTTTATTTCTTGCTCATGTAACATCTTGGGCAGTGCTCCAACCTGTGAGCAGCTCTCTCCACCCGGTCTTTCAAGGAGCCAGGCTCCTTCTGTCATGAGGCTCTGCCATGCACGGAAGTTTCACTCCCTAAGGTTGGTGAAAGACGAAAGGGATATAGAAGAGTGTTGGCCTGGAAGAGGTACACTGCACTTTCACTCACATTCCCCTGGTGAGGAATTGTTGTGTCTCTGCTCAATGTAAGAAAGGGACGAAGAAATGGATTCCCTGGCTGGGCAGCTCCTCCCCAGTGACAACTATATAGTATGGAAAGGAGATGGCCACCTCTTCCACAGTAACTCTGAATTCATGCACTCCTCTGCTCCCAGGAAAAACCTTGGTTTACACATGACAAATAAGATAGAAACTACGTTCATTTCACTTTACTTCTACTTTCTAATTAAGGTTGGGGGCCGGGCATGTTGGCTCACACATGTAATCCTAGTGCTTTGGGAGGCCAAAGCAGGCAGATCACTTGAGGTCAGAGTTCGAGACCAGCCAGGCCAACATGGTGAAACCCCGTCTCTACTAAAAACACAAAAATTAGCCCGGCACTAAAGACTGTGTTTGCTCAGCTTTGAGGCTGAACAACCATATTTGAGATGGTGACGTCTCAGGTGCCTGTAATCCCAGCTACTGGGGAGGTTGAGGCAGGAGAATCACTTGAACCCAGGAGGCAGAGGTTGCAGTGAGCGGAGATTGCACTATTGATATTTTGGGCGGCAGAATTCTTTGTTGCAGGGGTCTGTCCTGTGCACTCCAGCCTGGGCAACAGAGAAAGACTCCATCTTAAAAAAAAAAAAAAAAAAAAGGTTGGGAAGATGATCAAAGAAGAGGAAGGCCAGGTAGAAGTCACTTACCTCCCTTTTATTCTATTTGAGTGCCTAGTTAGTGCATGAGTGGTGTCTTAGCAGCCCACCCCACCCCACCCCACCCCAGGCTTAACTAAGTGTGAAGATCTTTATTGGTTCCAATGTCAGAAAAAGGATGAAGTCCAAATGCGTCAGAGTCCTGTTCATTCTGTTCCTGGCCTGTTTTATTGGTTCCTTGTCCTATCTCCTCCTCCTCCTATCCTCATTCAGCCTACACACCAGCCACATCCAGCTCCCTCTGCCCGTGCCCGCCATGCTCTTTAATGCCTTCGCACCCATGCACACTGTTCCTTCAGAATAAAATGCCCTTACCCCTCTGCTGTGCCTGGCAAACTTCCACACACTGTTCAAGATGCAGCTCAAGCATACCCTTGCTCCCCGCCCTTAGTCCCATAATCCTTTGAGCATGCATCCATTAAAGCACGTAGGTTACTTTGTGTCTGTCTCCAATTAGACCAGCAGTTCTCAACCAGAGGCAATTTCACCCTCCACTCCCAAGGACATTTGGCAATGTCTAGAGACATTTTTGGTTGTCACAACTCGGGGGAGGGGGTGATACTGGCATCTAGTGGATAGAGGCCCGGGATGCTGCTAAAAATCCTATAATGCACAGGACAGACCCCCACAACAAAGAATTCTCCTGCCCAAAATGTCAACAGTGCAGAGGTTAAGAACCTCTGAATTAGATGGTGAGTTTCTCAGAGCAAGGATATCCCATTTCTTTGGAATCACCTTAGCAATGTCACAGTGCTGTACAATGTACAAAGTAGGCTCTTTAGGAATGTTAAATGGAAGGATGGATGAATAGATAGATAAGATAGATAACTGATAGATAATAGACAGATAAGAGATAGATAGATGATAGATTGATAGATGATAGTTAGATAGATAGATAGATAGATAGATAGATAGATAGATAGATAGATAGATGATAGATAGGTAGGTAGGTAGATAGATCAACATTAGAGCAAACCACACAGACTGAAGAACTGTGAAGCCAGGCTTATCTCCTGAGTTGTCCTTGGCATGAAAAGATGCAGAATCTCCAAACTTCAAGCTTCCATGGCCAGAGAACAACCGGTTAAATTGCAGGAGCTGCCAAAGAGAGACCCCAGGAGGACGAGGACTCTTCCTGGAGCTTACCACTAAATTCAGCAGCTCACTAAATACATTAGACACAATTTTAATAAATATCTGTTTGTGTCTTTCCTTTTTTTTTTTTTTTTTTGCAACTTGTATTCTGCTAATTGATTTGTAGAAGATAAATTATGTTTATCAATGTAAATAATTTGCATTCTGAACTTGTTTGTTTTACTTTATGCATCTTCACACCCTTTAGTCCCCGGGAACCCTGAGGGACAAAGTGTTTCATAAACTGGTTAAGAAGCAAATTTTCAGGAATAATGTATTTTTTAAACCAGACTTACTTACCTGTGGTTTGCTTGCTGCTACTCAGGCAAGAAGTAGGTGATTATTAGACCCAATCTGACATCACTCCCAGGGCATGCCCCGTCCCAGCCCCTGCAGAACTTCTAGTTAGAAAAGCAGCAACCGCCGCACATGCTCCAGCACAGAAGTGCTCCCCTCAACTCCCCTCCTTGTCCCCATGGATTCCAGCTGTCCCTCTTCCATCACCAAACAGGCTGACGACAACCACAGCTGAACATGATGTCAAAGGGCAGCCCCTGCCTACTGGTTACTCTGGGATTGTGGCCCAGGACTCTACAGACAGCGAGCTCAGAGGTCTGCAGAGCCCTCTTCCTAAGTGTGCCCCAAACTCCGTCATGCCCAGGGGACTCTGGGGCTTTTGACAAGCATGTTCAGCTGAGTTCAGAGCAGCCCAATTCCAAGAGCTTTAACTAAACAAAAGATCTGTGCCAAGCACCGTGCTAGAAGCTGGAGACTTAGAAATTTTTGAAGAAACAGAGCTACTTGGGGCAGGAGGAGCAGGGGAGACAGACATGCAGACAAATAATTACAAGCCTGTGTGTCAGGGCAGTGACAGCAGTAAGGATGAAGGGCTATGGGAACAGAGAAGCCCAGGCCAGATGTAGGGCCTGGCCCTGGCCATTCCCCTGCAGAGGAGAAAATGACAGCTGGCTGAAGGTTGGGGAGGGTGCAGCTTCTGACCTACAGTCCCATCTAGGTCCCCAGGCTGAGGTTCTCTACAACTCTGATGACAGCCCAGGACCACTCCTCCGCCTTGGACTTCAGGGGGAGCTGAGCTTTCCTCTTACAAACCCCATATGGATTCCCTTTCTCAGGAGGGGGTGGGGGTCAATGGCTAAGTCCGGCCTATCAGGACTGGGGCCCGCTGGGGCCTGGGGGGCTTGCGCAGACTAAACATTTAAAACCCTAAACTCCCACAGATGTCAGTCTGGCTGGACGGCACAGTCGGACACCTCCGAAAGGCTGTCCACTCCCTGTCTGAGAATAAACAGGACCACAAAGTGTTGGATTTTTTTTTTTTGTATGACTGCGTGTGTGTGTGTGTGTGTGTGTGTGTGAGAGAGAGAGACTTCCTTAACTCAGAGGTCAGCAGAGGCTCAGCCCTGCCCACCTCAGCCCCCACACACCAATCCCTCAGCCCACAGACTTTCCCAGGACTCTGTCCGCCTCTTCCTCCCCCACACCCTTCCAGATGCTCTCGAGTCCTCTGTCCATGGAGGCTTCCTTGAAGACTGACCCTCACATCTCTCTGGCCTCCCCCTCCAGGAGTTATTAGCCCAGTGCTTCTGATTTGTTCAAAACCCGTAACCTGAAGCATGAGCTGCAATGTGCTATCGTGGATAGTGCCTGGGGCCATGGCTTGAGTATCAACATTACTCTGGTGGTTCAGCCTTGGGTAAATGGGTGACTCAAGGTTTCTAACTGAGACTGAAGAATCTGCCCTTTCAGCCCCCATCGTGGCCCCCATATTGTTCCAGTAGAGCCAACCCTGGCTCTTCCGAACTTTCCCAGTAAACACCCCAGTAACCAGTGAACTACACAATTTCATTGCATGAGCAATCCTTTATTCCCCAAATTTCTCTCAGGTTAGGGGACAGAGATCTGATAAATATGGACCCAGAGGATCCAGAACAAATAGCTCTAAACTCCTCCCATAAATGTCTATCTGCCCCACAGCCTCTCCCCTTCCTCTCCCAGCAGATGCAGCCCCAGCCCCACCCTAGGCTCTCTTTCTCTGCCTCTGCTTCTCCTAGACCAGGGGATGCCAAACTATGACAGCTCAAGAAGGCTGTGGAGGAGCTTCCGTGAAGTCCCTTCCACGCAGCCCAGCCAGAACATCCTCAGTGGGGAATCTTAATTATGATGAAGGGTGACTCCAATTTCAAACTTCCTGGAGTTCAGAGGGGTCCAGTGTGTGCATCTGTAATTTAATTACTATTTATTATTTATCATCCCTTCATAACCCGAGAAGCTTCAAACCTTTAAAGAATTAGATATGTGTACTACCAAGATCTGCAACCCAGAGTGTAACAGATAAATCACTAGCTTCCTTCCTTTAAAAAAAAAAAATGTTTAACGTCTTTACCATTTCTGCTTCTCCCTAAAATGTGTTTACCCTGAATTAACCTTACAGAAAAAAATCCCTTCCCTAGGGAGCAAGAGGAGGGCAGGTATATTGAGAGTCAACTCAAAGCTGACCTTTAACCCTCAGCCTTTTCATCAGAAGATTGACCATATATTAAGCTGAGGGCAGCTGCAGCTGCCCTTGGCCCCTCATCCTTATCACGAATCAGATGCCTCTTCTCCCAGGCTGGCTTCAGTCCAGAAGCTCAGCTCAGCCAGCACAGATAGTGTTCCCTATGTCCAGTCTGCTTCCAGAATCCAGGACACTCCCATTGCCTTCAAAATGCAGGGCCACCACCAAGCTCCCACACAGCAAAGACCAGTAAGGACAGGTCAGACCTGGAGGGGAAACTTGCTCTGCTGAGCATCCCTTAGCCCCAAGAACGTCCTTCTCATCACTCAATTTGATGCCTAAAATCCCTTCTGCAAGTGAGCAAGCCTTTTACTTCACAATTGGAGCTAAGGCTACAAAATGCCCCAAGAAGTAATTCACTGGCTTTAGTTCATGTTTCCAAGGGCTAATAACTTCTAGAGTTGGTCTCTGAGGGGCTTTCAAAGAGCATGCCAAAGGGCATGGAGGCAGCAACCTCTGGTGGGAAGAACTTGGCATTTGAATTAGACAGGCTTGAATTGAAATCCTAGCTTCATCCCATACTGGCTGTGTGATCTTGGCTGAGTTACTTAACCTCTCTGAAGGTCAATTTCTTCATGTGTAAAACATTTAAATCATTGGGTTATCATAAATAGTAAAGGTGATGGCATAAGTAAAGTGCCTGGCATATAGACGATCAACTTTCTTCTGTCTTTTGCACAGAGGAAACTCAAAAAAAAAAAAAAAAAAGGAAAAAAAACAAATAAAATGATACTTCACTTGTTTCACTCTTGAGTCCAGAATCAGTACTAACTCCTCTGACATATAAATAGGAATTCATAAGTAAAATAAGCTTAAAAACTGGGGAAGCCACACATTCTTAGGAGGTTTGCATGACAGCACATTTTAATCTATATTCTTTACCATGGGTAGGGAAAAATTTTCCTGTAAAGGGCCAGATAGTAAATACTTTTGGCTTTGAGGGCCAGTCTCAGTCATGACTACTCAACTCTGCCATTGAAAGCAGCCATAGACTTAGATAGCATAGATGCATAAAAGAACAGGCATGGTTGTGCTCCAATAAAACATTATATACAAAAACAGGCGGTGGTCTGGATTTGGCCCCTGGGCTGCAGTTTGCCAACTCCCGTTCTATACCAACCTGTCCCAACAAGTTTCATGACTTTTGAGCATCACAGGGATACCTCTGAAGATCTTGCCATATTTCACACTGAAGTCTGGGGGAGCATTGAACCCTTGGGCATGTCCAGCAGTTTGTCCAGCCCTCTAGACTGCCACTGGGTTGAGTGAGTCTAGACTGCCCTGTTAGGGTCTTCGATGATGATTGCTCATATTTGGGGAAATACGCTGTGTCCCAACCCAGGCTATCTGGCCACGTGAAGTTCGGCTTAGCTTCTCCAAGGAGGACTCAAAGGCTAAAGAGGTAAACAATATGCAGAACACTTTGTCTCCTTCATATGCATTATCTCAACGCATTTCAAAACAAAGTCATAGCAAGAGTGGATACCATTACCTCACTTTACAGACCTAAAAGCTGAGACACCAGGGAGGAGCCTGAACTACCCAAGATTTGATGGTTGGCTAATTGGTGACATGAGAAGTAAAATGTAGTTCTTGCTCTTTCTGCCATATGACAGTATCTCCCCCTGCCCACTTTGTCCTGCTTTTTGCTTGATTTTAGAACTTGTGAAGTAGCATGAGCAGACATCTCCCACACTGAAAGGGACCCAAATTTTTAAGAGTAGAGAAAACATGAATTAAGAAACTCATGTAAATAGGAATTAATGACGTGCTGTGTGTGATCTGTGATGTTCCAGGCATATTGCAAAGATTATGTCTCATTTCAAAGAGCAACCTCTGCAGCCTGGAAGCCGGTTTAGGGCAGGCAGGGCAGGGCCAAGGCTGCTAGTGTGAGTAATCAGCCCCCAGGCTGGGGCTTTTCTGCACAATGCCACTGTCCGATCTCCCCAACTTGTTTCTGGCACCTTGCTTCTTTGTCCAAGCAGGTCATTAAGCAGGTAAAATTGACCTTGATCTATTTAAGAACATCTTCCAAAACGGCAGCTGGTCTAAACAGGGTGTCGAGCATTCATGCTCGTCCTGGGGGTACTGCTCGGTTTCTGGAAGGATTCCATAATGCATGGAGGAGTGAAGGATTCTGCAGCTTCCTAAAATTAGGGAAATCGTGTTTTGGTCAGACGTATTCGTTCATTGAGGAATTCAAGCCTCATTTCTGAGCGGGCTCCCTTTCCCTTTGCCAAATGTACATTTTAAAACTCTGTCTTTGCCCCACAGATTTATGTCTAAATTGCTCTAACTCTTTGAAATAAGGGCTGGATATAAATCTTACCAAATAATGACTAATGTATATTAAGAGTCAACTACATGCCAGGCACTCTGCCTGCAATAACTCATGCCATGTTCACAATAACCTCGCAGCTGAGTTAGTATTGTCTCCATTTTCCAGATGAAGAAGGAAGGATCTCAGAGAAGGCACAGTTTCAAGTGATACTGAGGATCTGAACTCAGGTTTGTGTGTCTCTAAGTCCTGCCTTTGCTACTTGCGCTCATTCGTGGATGTATCTCTTTTTCATAAATCTCAAGTAAAATTTCAACAATGCTGCAGGTCTAAAGCAATGACTGGGAAACTGCTCTCCACTGGGAGCTCATTCTTCCTCTTCCTGGTCTTCAAATAATCAGTGTCTGAAGGATGCAGAAGGAAAGTGACTACAGTATCCACCAGTTTTGCCCCCTTTCCTAAAGCATCCTTGAGGTGTGTCACTGCACCCTCCCGGCCAAGGTCTCCTCCAGGTCAGTGGGTCTTCTTCGAGGACTATGGTGACAGGGACAGATATCTACCAGGGCTCAGGCGAAGATCATCAAGCTCTGGTGACCAAAGCCAGAGGTGAACTCTGGGCCGCAGAAATGAAAGGTCGGCAGTCAGCCCATATTCCCCTGTTCCTGCCCCGCTCCACAGGGCAACAGACAGCCCCGAAACTCAGAAGCCATAATCGCTGCTCTCTGAAGCCATTTCAAATGCATCTGACCGCCCAGGTTTAATTCATCACCTTTGAGGTTTCAGGAGATGACCCGACCCTGGGCTGCAGACCCGAGGCTCACCTTCAAGGACACAGGCACGAAATACGACACCACTCCCCCTCCCCGCATCCTCCAGTCAATCCCCAAGGCCTCAGACAGCCACAGGACCCCAGGAGGGGGATGCAGACAGGCCTGACCAGGCACAGGAGGGGGAACATGACCCTCCAGGGCTTCTCATGCCACCACATTAAAAAAAATGTGGACTAGGTCAAATTTCATTCATTTCTTCTGGTTTACGAAAAGCAAGTCTGAGAGTCTGGGTGGGAAGGCAACTCAGAGGACAGTCCCCAAGGTACAGAAACCCAGACAGCCCCTGTGGGTGGGGGGGGGGGGGGGACGGACGTGCTGTTTGACAAAGGTGTCATGTGATATTAAACATGGTCTCGGAACTGCGAACACTGACCTTCGCCCCTGCCAGCCCTGCCCTTTCTCGCCCCTGCTCCCCCATTTCAAATCTGAAATGTAGATTTGGCCTGGATACAAAATACCTTCCTCTAACCAGGACTGAACGTTTGCACACCCTGAATGCATTGAAATGATACAATGCCGGGGTCAGAGTAACACAAAATACTAGGACCACTAGACATAACACAGACTCTTTATTTCTAAACACCACTATAGCAGTTGGCAGTCCCCAACCCCCACCTCCAACCCAAGTCTCAAATGTAAGAGAATTTTCACTTTATCTCCTCGGGCTTGTTTTCCCTTCACTCTCCTTATTCATTCCATGTCCTTGTATTTTATTTTTCCTTTTATTAAAAAATATATATATCAGTGCCTTCTCTAGAGCCCTCCTTTTTAAAACAGCACAAGAAGGCACCTTAAGGGAGGCTGTGGAAATCTGTTTGCAACTTTCTAGATGTAATTCTAAACCACAAGGAAGAATATCCTTCCGCCTGTGCAGCTAAAAAATTTAAGAAACCACAACAGCTTTTCTCACTCAGACGCAGGACACCTCCTCCAGCTGAAAAACTAGATTCTGAAAAGAAGGAATTGTAGGAAAACTAACCAAAAAGAGGATAACTTCTCCAAAACACTCACCTTTGAGTTTGGAGCACCCTGTTGAGTGTATATCTGTGTGTGTGCATTTGAGTGTGTGGACGCGAGTATGCATGAGTGTATCTTTGTGCAAGTAAGTGTATGTATGTGTGGATGAGCAAATGTGTATGTGCAAGTGTACATACATGTGTATATGAGAATGTGTGCATGCATGTGAGTTTACGAGTGAGAGTGTGAACATATGTGAGCGGCTGTTCATGCAAGTGAGTGTGTATATGTATGTGTCAGTAGTGAGTGTATATGTGTGAGCTGAGTGTGCATGTGTATGTCTGGGTTTTTTAGTGCAGAAATACAGCATATGATGAACCAACTAGACTAAGGGTCTCTTGGCTCCACCTGGAAGCTACCATACAACCCTTGCTCCTTACCTTAGGGCAAAGGTGAGGCTGAAGTTGCCTGGAGGTATGCGATGAACAAGGACCAGAGAAAAGCAAGGCAGCGAGCCCTCCGGGGAGTCAGTTCTGTGACTGAAGACACTCTCAACATTTGCAGACTTTGCTGCAGGTCCCAGGAAAGCCTATCACAAGAGGGTAAGGCTATGGCAAGATGGGCAAGCTCCCTTGAACGGAAGGGTGAGGCTCACAGCACAGCTGTCTGCTGGCGCATCCATTTCCTCAGTTATTACACCTGCCCCAAGCTCCTGGCTCTTGCAGGAAAATACCGCACTGCATCAGAGGAAAGATGCCCAGGCATAAGTCTGCTGTATTTCTACATTTGTGGGCCAAGAGACTGATGCATCCAAACTGCTTCAAGCCTCCTGAAGACCTCATTCCACCATTACCAAAGTATCTCCCCCATCCCTCCCAGGCCCCAGCATTCTAGCCACCAAATGACAACAGACTTCAGAATTAAATTTTCCTTTTTTTCCCAATAAATCTATAGTCTTCACTACCCCCTTATATTTTCTAATCTCCTAAACTCATTTAATTATGTCCAGAGTAATTAAACTTGCTATCAGGGGGCATCTGGAAGGAAAGTTAATACATTTTAATTTTACTTATACAATGAATATTCGATCCCACATACAGTGTAGGGGAAGGCACTGGTACACACACAATCTTGCATAATGGACTCATGGGGATCATGGGTTGCAGGAGGTTGGCGGGGTAGGAGCCAGCAGGATTCACCCAGACATGCTAGGAGACAGGGAGCACCGTATGGACGAAGCCTCGGGGTGAAAAGGGATTAGTGAGGAGTATTAAAACTGGGCAGGGTGGGGCCTCAGGAATCTCAGACACCCTTTGACCAAAGTTCCCAGGAGTCATACCAGACAAAAATCTTCCTAAGATTTGAGGATTCATGATTCCTTTTAAAAGCAGACAGAGGTAGGGTTAAAAAAATAATAATAATAATAAGGGGTAGCTAGTACTAACCCTCCCTCCCCAATCAAACTCCGCATGGGGCTTTCTTCCTCTACCTGTCTGACAGGGGAAAGTGGGCAGGGGCAAACCTCCTCCCAAATTCCCCTTCTGAGAAGGGGTAGGAGGTGGGGTGCTTGTCCGTCACAGGTACACATTGTGTTTCCATCTACATGCACCATGCCATGCCCCCACTGCTTGTAGACAAAAAGGAATGAGTCAAATAACTGTCAAGTGACTCAACACTTGACAGGCTGTGTGGCCATTATGTGGGTCCCTTCCATACTGGCTCCTGGTGACTGAAGCCAGCCTCAGTTTTGTCCTCTGTGATGTGAGGACTTGAGCAAGAACCTTGCCAAAGCTCCCCTAGCCAGGATACTCTACAATTGCACACCCCTGGCTTCAGGCCTCCCCAGGGAACTTTACCTCCTGGTGAGAAGGGGTTGTGGGCCAAGATCTGCTGGCAGCAGAGCTCCCCAGCATGGGCCATTAATCCACATGGGGACAGTTAGCATAACTGAAATTTAATCAAATAAATGGCTAAAACTTAATTGTTAAGTGGGAGTTTGCCTGTGCCATCTCACAGATGGCATGCTCCCTAATCCTACAGCTTACTGCACGGCTAGACACCATCCGAGGGACAGGGTAAGACCGAGACAGCTCCTGCTCACCTCCCAGTTGGCCCCACACCATGCACACTCAGGTCCTGGTGAGGCCACTTGTCACCAGAAGGCCCATTATGCTAACATGCAACTAAGATAAAATGGATAACTCTTAAGGGGGCAAAAGATCCCTCGTGGGAAAGGCTCATGGTAAGAGAACGCACCTCCCTGGAAACAGATGTCTTGGTCCTATAACACAAATTGCAGTATCACATCCCCAAAACACAAGCCCTCCCATAAATCATTCAGGGGAGCCTGTTTCGTTTTCCTGTTCTGATGAAAGTGACCTGCATGTGGGGCTCAAGGCCAAAAGCACTGCCACACTCGAGCAACTCCACACTTCCCCACGGCTTACTGTAAAGATGCTGACCAAAACCACCAGGGCTGGAACCGCTGCCCTGCCCAACCTGTAGAAGTTGGCATTCCCCAGGGTTCTGCCCACAGGCTGAGCCCCTGCCCTTCCCCCTCCTCCTTTGCCAATCCTACCAAGTGCTCAATGCCCACCCACGTTGGTCTCCTTTCTCCCACCTTTCTTGGATCATCTCACACAGAGTTGGGGGCTCCAGGTCCCATTTTTTATCTTCTATAGTGCCCAGTCTATGGCTCTGGTTTGGGCATTCTCTCTGACTCTAACTTGCGTTGTTTGTTTCACACAAACATGTTCTCTCTCCACATTGTATTTTCTGTAGTCAACAAAAATTCACCAACTGTAAGTGCGCAATTGAATGAGTTTTGTCAACCATATACAACCATATGACCACCAGCACAGTGATGTGTAGAACACTGACATTATCTCTCACCTGTTTGCCATCAATCCCCTATCCAGGCCCCATGGCTGTTGGGAATCTCTGATGTGTCTTCTATCACTATTGTTTTGCCTTGTCTAGAGTTTTGCATTTTGCAATCATTCAGAATGTAGTCTTTGTGGTTGGCTTCTTTCACATAGCATATTCCTTGAGATTCATCCACATTGTTGCATGCATCTCAACACATCATATGGTTGCATGCATAAAGTACTTCAGTACTTCAGCTCTTTTTAGAGCTGAGTAATATTCCAGTGTATGGATAGATCACAATTTGTTTACCCATTCATCACTTGATGGGTATTTCAGTTATTTCCAGTTTTCCTTAACATAACAAAATGCCACTGTGAACATTTAAATACAAGTCTTTGTGTGGATGTATGTTCTCATTTCCCCTGGGAATATAGCTAGCAGATAAATTGCTGAGTCATACGGTCAGTGCATATTTAACTACATAAGAAATCACTAAAGTACTTCCCAAAGTGGCTGTGTCATCTTGCATTTCTAGTGAATGAGAGTTCCAGTTGCTCCACATCTTGGTCAGTGCCTGTTATTGTTGGTCTTTTTAATTTTGATCATTCGAGTGCATATGTAGTGATATCTCCTTGTGGTTTTAATTTGCATTTCCCTAATGACTAATGATGTTCAGCATCTTTCCATGTGTTTATTTGCCATGCCTTCTTTGGTGGAATGTCTGTTCAAATCTTTCGCTCATTTTCATTGTGTTGCATTGATTTCTTACTATTGACTTTTGAGAGTGCTTTATTTATTCCGGATACAAGTTCTTTATCAGATGTATTTTTTGCAAAAACTTTCTCCCAGTCTGTCTTGTCTTTTTACTTTATTAACAGTGTCTTTCGAAGAGCAAAAGTTTTAAACTTCGATAATGCCTGATTTATCAATTTTTTATTTAATAGTTTGGTTTGTGTGTGCATGTGTGTCCTATTTAAAAATTATTTCTCAGGCCGGGCACGGTGGCTCACGCCTGTAATCCCAACACTTTGGGAGGCCGAGGCTGGCGGATCACCTGAGGTCGGGAGTTTCAGACCAGCCTGACCAACATGGAGAAACCCCGTCTCTACTAAAAATACAAAATTAGCTAGGCATGGTGGCACATGTCTGTAATCCCAGCTACTCAGGAGGCTGAGGCAGGAGAATCGCTTGAACCCGGGAGGCAGAGCTTGCAGTGAGCCAAGATCGTGCCATTGCCCTCCAGTGTGGGCAATAAGAGCAAAACTCCATCTCAAAAAAAAAAAAGCATTTCTCTAATGCAAGGTCACATCGATTTTCTCCATGTTTTCTTTTATAGTTGTTGCCCTGCATTTAGATCTGTGATCCACTTTAAGTTAACTTTTGTGTGTGGTGTGACTTGTAGGTTGAAGTTCTTTTTTTGCATATAAATTCTAATTATTCCAGCTCCTTTGATGAAAAGATTGCCCTTTCCCCCATTAAACTGCTTGTGCATCTTTGTCAAAATTCAGTTAATCTTATATGCATGGGTCTATCTCTGGACTTTGTTCTATTGATCCTGTCTGTCTGTACACTAACACCACAAGTTTTGAAGTCAGATAGCACTGTATAAGTCCTCCAAATGTGTTTTTCTTTTTCAAAATTGCTTTAACTATTTTAGGCATTTGCATTTCCACATACATTTTAGAATCAGTTTGTCAATTTCAACAAAAAAAGCCTGCTGGGATTTTGATTGGATTTGCATTGACTATTGATCAATTTCTCTCCCTGTTATGTTTTAAGCTCCTGGAGGACAAGGAACCTATCTTGCATTTCCCCATGGTTCCTGAGCCATAGTAAACTATGTGCTTATCTCTGGCAATGCGGCTGTGATTGGGGGCGGGGAGGGTGAAAGCCAAGCGAGAGAGGGTAAAGCAGAAGGCAAGGAATGGTGTAGAGTCACAGGCAGACGTGAGGATGATGAATGCGAACTCTTGGCTGGTGTCATGTATTCTGGCAGTGGCACAAGGAAGTGGTGACTCGGGAGAGGCCAGTTTTCTTCTCATAGCCAAGGTCACTGTTTCACAATCAGGGAAAGTTGCAAGATCCCCAGAACTTGAGATTTCTAGGACAAGCTAGGGTTCCTAGAGTCTGGGATCTGGTGAACAATCGCCAAAGAATAGAATGGAAGTTGATTTCATGTCTGTCTGACTTTAGCTTCCTTCTAGAAAGAGCTAGAAAGGTCTCAGAGATCATCTAGTCCACATTTTATAGATGAGCAAAACAAGAACTGGAAAGACTGAGGTCACAGAGTTAAACAGTGAATTGGTAGCACCCTAAGACTACGAAAAAAATCAGGTCTTCTGTCCTCAAGGCTGTTGACCTTTTGGCTACATCACATCTCCCCCCACTTTTTTTTTTTTTTAGTAATGTTTGTCCTCTCCTGTCTGTCACCAGAGCCATTTACGTCACAGAACTGGAGCTCTTAGAAGTCAATCAGTTGGCTGTGCCAGAAAGTCAGAATTTGGTCTTCAAGTCCCCCCGATGCCTCCTCCTTTCCTGTGCATCTATCAACACAAGACATTATTAAGAAAGCTTAGTGACTTCTCATCAAAATCCCCTCTATAACCAGACTCCCTTTCCCTGCCATTTGCTTCAAGCCAGCTTTGGCCTTCCCAGGTATTTTGGTGAGATGGGATGGGCTATAAACCAGAAATCAGGGACATGGTTTTTAAACCACCTATTCCTTACTCATCAGGCAAATCACTGAACTTCTCCACCCATGGTTTTCTCTCTCAAATGAGGACGGTAATACTCACCCTATCTGCTTGAAGGCTTATAAGAACACAGTGAAAATAGAGCAGAAGTCCCCTCCAATGCCTACAAGGTGGCATATAATGGAAGATACAGGGAAGAAGATAACACACTCCAGAAACAAACTTTTTCTGAAACCTCACTGCCAGAAGCAGGAATTACAAAGGAGATTTATGGGTACATTGTCAGGCCTCTGAGCCCAACCTAAGCCATCATATCCCCTGTGACCTGCATGTATACATCCAGATGGCCTGAAGTAACTGAAGAATCACAAAAGAAGTGAAAATGACTTGTTCCTGCCTTAACTGATGACATTACCTTGTGAAATTCCTTCTCCTGGCTCATCCTGGCTCAAAAGCTCCCCCACTGAGCACCTTGTGACCCCCGCCCCTGCCCGCCAGAGAACAACCCCCTTTGACTGTAATTTTCCATCACCTTCCCAAATCCTATAAAATGGCCCCACCCCTATCTCCCTTCACTGACTCTCTTTTCAGACTCAGCCCGCCTGCACCCAGGTGAAATAAACAGCTTTATTGCTCACACAAAGCCTGTTTGGTGGTCTCTTCACAGGGACATGCATGAAATTTGGTGCCGTGACTCGGATCGGGGGACCTCCCTTGGGAGATCAATCCCCTGTCCTCCTGCTCTTTGCTCCATGAGAAAGATCCACCTACGACCTCAGGTCCTCAGACCGACCAGCCGAAGAAACATCTCACCAATTTCAAATCCGGTAAGCGGCCTCTTTTTACTCTCTTCTCCAACCTCCCTCACTATCCCTCAACCTCTTTCTCCTTTCAATCTTGGCGCCACACTTCAATCTCTCCCTTCTCTTAATTTCAATTCCTTTCATTTTCTGGTAGAGACAAAAGAGACATGTTTTATCCGTGAACCCAAAACTCCGGCGCCAGTCACGGACTGGGAAGGCAGCCTTCCCTTGATGTTTAATCATTGCAGGGACGCCTCTCTGATTATATACCCACGTTTCAAGGGTGTCAGACCACGCAGGGACGCCTGCCTTGGTCCTTCACCCTTAGCGGCAAGTCCCGCTTTCCTGGGGCAGGGGCAAGTACCCCAACCCCTTCTCCTTCAACCTCAGCAGCAAGTCCCGCTTTCCTGGGGCAGGGGCAAGTACCCCTCAACCCCTTCTCCTTCACCCTCAGCAGCAAGTCCCGCTTTCCTGGGGCAGGGGCAAGTACCCCTCAACCCCTTCTCCTTCACGCTCAGTGGCAAGTCCCACTTTCCTGAGGCAGGGGCAAGTACCCCTCAACCCCTTCTCCTTCACCCTCAGCGGCAAGTCCCGCTTTCCTGGGGCAGGGGCAACTACCCCTCAACCCCTTCTCCTTCACCCTCAGCGGCAAGTCCTGCTTTCCTGAGGCAGGGGCAACTACCCCTCAACCCCTTCTCCTTCACCCTCAGCGGCAAGTCCCGCTTTCCTAGGGGGCAAGAAACCCCCAATCGCTTATTTCCACACCCCAGCCTCTTATCTCTGCACCCCAATCCCTTATTTCCACACCCTGACCTCTTATCTCTGTGCCCCAATCCCTTATTTCTGTGCCCCAACCCCTTCTCTGCTTTTCTGGAGGGCAAGAACCCCCCACCCCTTCTCTGTGTCTCTACTTTTTTCTGGGCTTGCCTCCTTCACTATGGGTAAGCTTCCACCTTCCATTCCTCCTTTTTCTCCCTTAGCCTGTGTTCTCAAAAACTTAAAACCTCTTCAACTCACACCTGACCTAAAACCTAAATGCCTTATTTTCTTCTGCAATGCCGCTTGACTCCAATACAAGCTCGACAGTAGTTCCAAATAGCCGGAAAACGGCACTTTCAATTTTTCCATCCTACAATATCTAAATAATTCTTGTCGTAAAAGGGGCAAATGGTCTGAGGTGCCTGACGTCCAGGCATTCCTTTACACATCAGTCCCTTCCTAGTCTCTGCCCAGTGCAACTTGTCCCAAATCTTCCTTCTTTCCTTCCCGCCTGTCCCCTCAGTCCCAACCCCAAGTGTCGCTGAGTCTTTCTAATCTTCCTTTTCTACAGACCCATGTGACCTCTCCCCTCCTCACCAGCCCAAGCTAGGTCCCAATTCTTCCTCAGCCTCCGCTCTTGCACCCTGTAATCTTTTTATCGCCTCCCCTCCTCACACCTGGTCAGGCTTACAGTTTCGTTCCGTGACTAGCCCTCCCCCACCTGCCCAGCAATTCACTCTTAAAAAGGTGGCTGGAGCCAAAGGTATAGTCAAGGTTAATGCTCCTTTTTCCTTATCCCAAATCAGATAGCGTTTAGGCTCTTTTTCATCAAATATAAAAATCCAGCCCAGTTCATGGCTTGTTTGGCAGCAACCCTGAGATACTTTACAGCCCTAGACCCTAAAAGGTCAAGTGCCATCTTATTCTCAATATACATTTTATTACCCAATCTGCTCCCGACATTAAATAAAACTCCAAAAATTAAATTCCGGCCCTCAAACCCCACAACAGGATTTAATTAACCTCGCCTTCAAGGTGTACAATAATAGAAAAAAGTTGCAATTCCTTGCCCCCACTGTGAGACAAACCCCAGCCACATCTCCAGCACACAAGAACTTCCAAACGCCTGAACTGAGTTCCTCCAGAACCTCCTTCCCCAGGAGCTTGCTACAAGTGCCAGAAATCTGACCACCAGGCCAAGGAATGCCTGTAGCCCAGGATTCCTTCTAAGCTGTGTCCCATCTGTGCGGGACCCCACTGGAAACTGGACTGTTCAACTCACCTGGCAGCCACTCCCAGAGCCCCTGGAACTCTGGCCCAAGGCTCTCTGACTGACTCCTTCTCGGCTTAGCGGCTGAAGACTGTTGCTGCCCGATCGCCTCGGAAGCCCCGTAGACCATCACGGACGCCGAGCTTCCAGTAACTCACAGTGAAAGGTAAGCCCGTCCCCTTCTTAATCAATACGGAGGCTACCCACTCCACATTACCTTCTTTTCAAGGGCCTGTTTCCCTTGCCTCCATAACTGTTGTGGGTATTGACAGCCAGGCTTCTAAACCTCTTAATACTCCCCAACTCTGGTGCCAACTTAGACAATACTCTTTTAAGCACTCTTTTTTAGTTATCCCCACCTGCCCAGTTCCCTTATTAGGCCGAGATATTTTAACCAAATTATCTGCTTCCCTGACTATTCCTGGACTACAGCTGCATCTCATTGCTGCCCTTCTTCCCAATCCAAAGCCTCCTTTGCGTCCTCCTCTTGTATTCCCCCACCTTAACCCACAAGTATAAGAGACCTCTACTCCCTCCTTGGCGACTGATCATGCACCCCTTACCATCTCATTAAAACCTAATCACCCTTACCCCACTCAACGCCAATATCCTATCCCACAGCACGCTTTAAAAGGATTAAAGCCTGTGATCACTCGCCTGCTACAGCACCGGCTTCTAAAACCTATAAACTCCTTACCATTCCCCCATTTTACCTGTCCTAAAACCAGACAAGGTTTACAAGTTAGTTCAGAATCTGCGCCTTATCAACCAAATTGTTTTGCCTATCCACCCCGTGATGCCAAACCCATATACTCTCCTATCCTCAATACCTCCCTCTACTACCCATTATTCTGTTCTGGATCTCAAACATGCTTTCTTTACTATTCCTTTGCACCCTTCATCCCAGCCTCTCTTTGCCTTCACTTAGACTGACCCTGACACCCATTTGGCTTAGCAAATTACCTGGGCTGTACTGCCGCAAGGCTTCACAGACAGCCCCCATTACTTCAGTCAAGCCCAAATTTCATCCTCATCTGTTACCTATCTCGGCATAATTCTCATAAAAACACACATGCTCTCCCTGCTGATCGTGTCCGATTAATCTCCCAAACCTCAATCCCTTACAAAAGAACAACTCCTTTCCTTCCTAGGCATGGTTAGTGCAGTCAGAATTCTTACACAAGAGCCAGGACCACACCGTGTAGCCTTTCTGTCCAAACAACTTGACCTTACTGTTTTAGCCTAGCCCTCATGTCTGCGTGCAGCGGCTGCCACTGCTTTAATACTGTTAGAGGCCCTAAAAATCACAAACTATGCTCAACTCACTCTCTATAGCTCTCATAATTTCCAAAATCTATTTTCTTCCTCACACCTGACACATACACTTTCTGCTCCCCGGCTCCTTCAGCTGTACTCACTCTTTGTTGAGTCTCCCACAATTACCATTGTTCCTGGCCCGGACTTCAATCCGGCCTCCCACATTATTCCGGATACCACACCTGACCCTCATGACTGTATCTCTCTGATCCACCTGATATTCACCCCATTTCCCCATATTTCCTTCTTTCCTGTTCCTCACCCTGATCACGCTTGCCTCATGCTATCCCCAAACTGCCATTCTTAACTCTTGAAGTAAATGAATAATCTTTGCTGGCAGGGCTATGCTGAATGTCCTTAGGCACTCTCTAATCAGATGTCCTGAGTCGTCCCAATTCTTAGACCTTTTATACCTTTTTTTTTCCTTCTCTTATTCCATTTAGTTTTTCAATTCATACAAAACCGTATCCAGGCCATCACCAATAATTCTACACGACAAATGTTTCTTCTAACAACCCCACAATATCACCCCTTACCACAAAATCTTCCTTCAGCTTAATCTCTCCCACGTTAGGTTCCCACACTGCCCCTAATCCCGTTGAAGCAGCCCTGAGAAACATCGCCCATTCTCTCTCCATACCACCCCCCAAAAATTTTCGCCACTTCAACACTATTTTGTTTTATTTGTCTTATTAATATAAGAAGGCAGGAATGTCAGGCCTCTGAGCCCAGGCCAGGCCATCGCATCCCCTGTGACTTGCACGTATACATCCAGATGGCCTGAAGTAACTGAAGATCCACAAAAGAAGTAAAAACAGCCTTAACTGATGACATTCCACCATTGTGATTTGTTCCTGCCCCACCCTAACTGATCAATGTACTTTGTAATCTCCCCCACCCTTAAGAAGGTACTTTGTAGTCTCCCCCACCCTTAAGAAGGTTCTTTGTAATTCTCCCCACCCTTGAGAATGTACTTTGTGAGATCCACCCCTGCCCACCAGAGAACAACCCCCTTTGACTAATTTTCCATTACCTTCCCAAATCCTATAAAATGGCCCCACCCCTATCTCCCTTCACTGACTCTCTTTTCTTACTCAGCCCGCCTGCACCCAGGTGAAATAAACAGCCATGTTGCTCACACAAAGCCTGTTTGGTGGTCTCTTCACACGGAGGTGCATGAAAGGGTGGACATCCTAACTTTCTACTGATTGCTCCATCTCCATTTCTCTTTCTAGAAATGGAGGCTTCCCAGAAAGTGTTAAGCTCACCTTTGCTCTGGTCTTGGAAGCCCCTTTCACTCCCAAATCACTGCACACAGCTCAAGTCCTAAACTTGCAACACTTTTCCTCTACTTCCCAAGTCAGTCCAGCCAGTGTCCTGGCCCATCTCTTGATAGACATCCAATTGCACCCCTGATTTTCCTGTTCAGTGGCTGACTTAGACACCCCAGGGCTAAATTCCCCCAGAAGCCAGAAGTTGTTTGTTCATTTAACAGAGTTTTGCACCCACCTAAGTATTATTAAGTGGGAAAGATCCATAAAAGCAATCAGTGATCAATGCTTCATATCAAGCACTGACCATTCTAAAAACTCATGGACTTCAAACTCTATCTAGTTCCCAGAGACATGTTCCTTTTGCTTGCTTTTCTCTCCTCTGAAAGGAAAGCCTGCGTTTTTGCTGAGACTGAACACTGCTCACGTGGTGAAAGCCTTCTTTTTGGTGATGCAGGATTCAACTCTGGTTCCTGGAAGACTCAAAACTCAGTGAGCCTGGAACTGACCCTAGGCTCTGCTTATCTCTCCTGCTTTGAGCAATTTAATTAGTAAATTAAGATAATACCATTGTTTTTCTAACCACAAATGGCTTTAAAAAGATCCATGTCGCTAATGGGTAGCTGAATCTCCCTCTAGCCACCTCCCCCACCCACGTCCTAATCTTCCCACCTCCCCCCTCCAAGGAGAACCATACTGTCTTGTCTTTGAGTGAAAGTGCCACATTTCCATGCAAATTGAGTGTCCAGAGTGAATGGGGTGGGGGCGGTGCCCGGACTTTCTCCATGGCTGAGTTGCTGGAGTATTTGCATAATAAAATGCGTTAACAGCTTGGAATTAATCATTGCTGTTACCCTGAATGGCCTAGGAACTATTTTCCAGGCCCTCTTCTGTGAAAACTATGGATGCCATTTGTAGGTAATGGAGCCTCTGCATATTTTTCTAATTATCACTACTACATTTTTCTCTGTCTCCAAAATATGCCCCCATCCTAGAATATCATAAACTGTTGTAGATAACTGGGAATTTCACATGATATGAAAATTCTCAAATGCTCAGTAATTTACACTACACATGCCTTTATGCATAAGGATGATGTTGGAATAGGATGAGCAAGGTTTGCACAATAGAGTGGACAGAGTAATGACTCTAGTTTGAGTCTTCTTCTATGGTTGATTTAGGGCTAAAACTTGGTTCCCTCTGCTGTAAAAAAGGGATGTGGTAGGTGGCCTTCTAAAATGGTCCCATTCTCAGCCGGGAGCATTGGTTTCACACCTCTAATCACAGCATTTTGGGAGGCAAAGGAGGTCAGGAGTTGGAGACCAGCCTGGCCAACATGGTGAAATCCCATCTCTACTAAAAATGCAAAAATTATCTGGGCATGGCGATGGGTGCCTATAATCCTAGCTAGTCGAGAGGCCAAGTCAGGAGAATTGCTTGAACCTGGAAGGCGGAGATTGCAGTGAGCCCAGATCCCACCACTATACTCTAGCCTGGGTGACAGAGCAAAACTGTGTCTCAAAATAAAATAAAATAGCCCCATTCTGGTATCCACACCCTTGTGTAATCCCCTCCCCTTGAATGTAGGCTGGACCTAATGGCTTGCTTTTAGCAAAAAGAATATGGCAAAAGTGATAAGATGTGAATTCCAAGGTCAGGTTACGAAAGTCTGATCAATCTCTCTCTCTCCCTTTTCCTCTCTCTCCCTCTCTGTCAGCTTGTTTAATGAAGCTAGCTTCAATGCTGTGAGCTGCTCTATAGACGCCCATGTAGGAGGAAACTCAAGGGGCCCCCAGCCACTAGCCATTGAGGAACTGAGGCCCTCAATCCAACAACCCACAAGGAACTGAATCCTGCCAACAACCACTGAGTGAGCCTGGAAGCGGATCCTGCCCAGCTGAAACTCGAGAAGATTGTAGCTCTGCTGCCCTGACCACTATTCTAACTGCACCCTTGAGAGAGACCCTCAGCCAGCTAATCTGTACCTGGATTCCTAACCTGGAGAAACTGAAATAGCAACGCATGTTGATGTAAGTGCTAAGTTTGGGAGTAATTTGTTATGTAACAATAAATAACTAATAATACTTATTATTTAGGCAATAAAACCATAGAAAATACTTCTCAGGGATGTTTTCTCCATAAGATAATCAGATTTTAAATCATCAAGTTCTATACAGATGTATATTATCATTTGTTTTCTACCCAGTAAATAGGTTCCTCTCCTAAACACTCCACTTGCTCCCTTTGACCAGCCAGAGGAAGTTCTGCCTTCCTCCAAATGACCCATCAATATATTTGTCTGGAGTTTTTATTTCTGTCACAATTCTGTTTCACCACTTGGGTTTGTTGTGCCTACGCTGTGGGCAGGACCACCTCACAGAAGACAATGGGTGGGCGATGGTGAGAAGTGAGTTGAGGGTGCAAAAGGATACTATATCACGGGACTCCCAAATCACTAAGCCAAAGAAAAAGGTCAAGCTGGGAACTGCTTAGGGCAAACCTGCCTCCCATTCTATTCCTCAAAAAGATAGCTACTAACATAAAAAAAGCTACATACCTCCCTCACAATTTGTCTACAAGGAAATTCCTTGTGGACAAATGACAGACAGATGTCAAAGTCATCCCTCTGCTCACTGAGATAAATGCATATCTGATTGCTTCCCTGGGAAAGGCTAATCAGACACTCAAAAGAATGCAACCATTTGTCTCTTCTGTACCTATGACCTGGAAACCCCCTTCCTGCTGCGAGTTGTCCCACCTTTCCAAACCAAGCCAATGTAAATCTTGCGTATATTGATTGATGTCTAACGTCTCCCTAAAATGTATAAAACCGAGCTGCGCCCCGACCATCTTGGGCACATGTCACTAAGACCTCCTGAGGCTGTGTCATGGGTGTGTTCTTAACCTTGGCAAAATAAACTTTCTAATGCAAGTCGAAACCACAGTGAGATACCATCTCACACCAGTTAGAATGGCGATCATTAAAAAGTCAGGAAACAACAGGTGCTGGAGAGGATGTGGAGAAATAGGAACACTTTTACACGGTTGGTGGGACCGTAAGCTAGATCAACCATTGTGGAAGTCAGTGTGGTGATTCCTCAGGGATCTAGAACTAGAAATGCCATTTGACCCAGCCATCCCATTACTGGGTATATACCCAAAGGATTATAAAACATGCTGCTATAAAGACACATGCACACGTATGTTTATTGTGGCACTATTCACAATAGCAAAGACTTGGAACCAACCCAAATGTCCAACAATGATAGACTGGATTAAGAAAATGTGGCACATATACACCATGGAATACTATGCAGCCGTAAAAAAGGATGAGTTCATGTCCTTTGTAGGGACATAGATGAAGCTGGAAACCATCATTCTCAGCAAACTATGGCAAGGACAAAAAACCAAACACCACATGTTCTCACTCATAGGTGGGAATTGAACAATGAGAACACATGGACGCAGGAAGGGGAACATCACACTCTGGGGCCTGTTGTGGGGTGGGGGGAGGGGGGAGGGATAGCATTGGGAGATATACCTGATGTTAAATGATGAGTTAATGGGTGCAGCACACCAACATGGCACATGTATACATATGTAACAAACCTGCACATTGTGCACATGAACCCTAAAACTTAAAGTATAATAAAAAAAATAAAAAAATAAACTTTCTAAATTAATTGAGACCTGTCTCAGATACTTTTTGGGTTACAAGGGTAAAGGAAGGCTGCCCCCCAAAACTATTCTTACCCAGCTTTTGTCACTGACAAACTCCTACCAGTATAATAGGGATAAGAATCATAATAACAACTACTACCAATTTTTGAGCAACTTCTTTGTGCCAGGAACTTTGCAAATATTCTTTCAGATCCTCACCACAACCCTGGGGAAAAAAATCCAGAGAGTTTAAACCACTTAGTCAATGGTAGGCAGTTAGCACATGTCAGAGCTGAGGTTAGAACAAAACTCCTCTCTCTTGTATTTGCTTATTTCTTATCTTCTAGGGCTGTGTGCCTAAACAAACTATTTTCAATAAAGTTAGAATTTATTGGTTTTGTATGCTTTTTATCCCACTTAACACATTAACATGAATATTTTTCCATGTCATTAAACTTTTTTTGAAAACACTATTTTTAAAGGCTGCATAATATTCCATTGTTGAGTGGATTTGCCCTTCCCTTATTTTTCCAGCCTTTAAGCTGTTTCCAGGTGATTTACTGTCATAAATTATGCTGTGATAAGCATCCTTGTACATGCATCTGTGATCGCATCTCCAATTATTTTCTTAGGCTAGAGCACTAGAGGAGGGACTGCCAGGTCAAGTTAGAAAACGCCTTTAAGTCTCCCGATGCCAGTTGCCAAATTGCTTTCCCGAAAGGTTGTACCAATTCATATTCCCAAGGAGATAAACACTTAACTTTGAAAGGAAAGGGTGTTTTAAAGTGTGAGATAAGCCGGCACCTTGTTTAAAGGAACAACTCCTTGAGTTCCGCACAAAGGCCCTCAGAACCCCTGTGAACCATGGGCTGAGGAAACATTGTTCGGCCTTCCTGACTGGCTGGTTAAATTCCCAACATCCCAGATGTCATTTTACTCATGGTTGTAGGAGGAGATTCAGTGGGGTAAGGGGGGAAATGGAAGCATTTGCATGATAATCAACCTGAAACTTAATAATCATGCTTTTATAAAACGTGTATGGTCCTTTCTTGAGACAGCTTTTCCAGAATTGGATGACCTTCTCCAAGTGGATAAGGATATTTTTCACTGCCAGATCTTAAGCTAGGGCATTGAAATTATTTCTATACACATACACAAAGAGAAGGAGGGAGCTGAGGTGCAAATATTTAGCCACCCAGAAAGAGGAGAAAAGACACCACTACAACTGTAATCCTCTAGATGGTACCTAAGGCCAAAGGAAGATTCAGAACAAATTTTTTTTAATTGTTAAAATTCTCTACCCCAATTTGTTATGCATTGACATAGCCAAAGAACTATTGGCCTATTTTAACCTTTGAACATTTCTATTTTCCTTTGTGAATTGGAAGAGGGAGAGAGGAAAAGAATGTTGAAAAAGACAATGGGTAAAGATGGCAATGGGAGGGAGACAGAAACAGAAGAGGGAGAAAAGGCTATTTTAATTCTCTGTAGTTACTTGGATTTTCACACCATAGGCTAGATATTAAGAAATCAAAGTCCACTTCCCTTACAGTTCAGGTAGGGCTGGGCCTGCGTGGTATGGTTTTTAGAGGTCAAAAAGATTTCTGTATTCTGCCATTATTTGAAATGCCCTGCATCAGTCAGAGAGGCTAACTGCTGTAACAACCCCAATCTCAAAGGCCTAACACAATAAACTTTATTTCTAGTTTATATCAGTTAGATACAGGTTAGCCAGGGGGCCAGGAGTAAAGGAGGACCTGCTCCACACGGTCATTCAGGGACTCAGGGAAATGGGTATTAAACCAAGACCAGGTCATTCTCATCCATCAGATGGACAAAATTTTAAATTTTACAACAAAAATACATGTTTATATCAATTGTGTGATTCAAATAGATTTTAGGAATTATAATACGGCTTCTAAGTGTTTTGTGCCCTCAGAGAATATAGGAAACACCTCATAAGCAAAGCTAGGGGTAGAAGGAGAATGAGGTAAAAGGGAAGACACTTGAGGGAACCACTTGCTTTGCTCCCCAACTCAAAACAGGTTTAGAAGAAAAGGAAAAATGGGTCTAAGCCGTTATAGGCTGTGCTTTATAAAATAGGCTCTTTTAGACTCTACGACCACTCTCAGATCCCTCCCTTCAAGAATAACTCACTTAAATCAGGATATCTAAGAATCCCAGGCATGGAATATCCATGCTCATCTCTTAAAGCTCTTGTTTTCTTGTGGTCACACATTTCTTAGCAGCCCAGTCAGAGCATCCATTTTGGAAGGAAAAGATCTTTTCGGAAGAAAAGTTGCTCCTTCACAGGCATGAGGTAAGGGCTTGGGAGACCGTGTGAGAACCAAGGCAGAGGCCCAGCCACGGTCCCACCTGACTCCTCTGAACCTTCAGCTCCCACCCTAGGACAGGTGAAGGCAGAAGGAGAAGCCTGGGATGAGAAGGTGACTTCAGGGACATCTGGTGCAAGACCAGCTAGACCAGGTCCAAACTAGCTTCTGGGATAGGAAGTGACTTAGTTACACAGGCATAGGGGCTGGGGGAGAAAGCATTTCATCATTTAAATTTCAGTATTTACTTAATAGGGACCCGAAGAGACTTTAAGGGAAGTCAAGTAATGGCCAAGGAAAATCAGGGTTTTCTAGAATCTTTTTATATTTCTTAGTGATGCTGTCACTTGCCCTGGCACCACCTTAACACTAAATTGGTAGGAACTGTCCTTCTTGGGGTGGCCGCCTGGCTGGTTTGCCCAGTGCTTTGCTGGTTTTAAAACTGACAGAAGCCACCTGTTCTCAGGCATACCAGCATGGCTGCCGCCCTAGATTGTCTACATAATTTTGCTGACAGCATCAACTGGGAGCTATTTTAATCAAAAAGACTCGGCCTGGCGCAGTGACTCACACCTGTAATCCCAGCACTTTGGGAAGCCGAGGTGGGTGGATCACCTGAGGTCAGGAGTTCGAGACCAGCCTGGCCAACATGGTGAAACCCCATCTCGACTAAAAATACAAAAAATTAGTTGGGCATGGTGGTGGGCGCCTGTAATCCCAGCTACTCAGGAGGCTGAGGCAGGAGAATCGCTTGAACCCGGGAGGCAGAGGTTGCAGTGAGCCGAGATCGTACCATTGTACTCCAGCTTGGGCAACAAGAGTGAAACTCTGTCAAAAAAAAAAAAAAAAAAAAAAGACAAAGGATTTGGTCTGAACCACTGACCGTCTCACCTAGAGGAGTCACGGTGAGGATAGGACAGGGCTGCTGTCTGTGATTCTGGCACAACGCAGCACTGTCTACTCCATGAGGAGACTGAATTTACATCTTTGGCCTCTCATCACAGACTTGGAAGGGAGCTTGGAGATTATCTAGAGTAACTATCCAGATGGCAAATAAGGAAATTGAGATGGAGAAACCTTAAGGAACTCACCTAAAGCCATGCAGCAGAACTGTCCAGGACCAAGTCTTCTTTTATAATCTAGTGCTCTTTCCAACACACGGCATAGACCCATCACTGCAGTGCCCAAGCAACCAAATTAATGGGCCTCAAGAGATAAACATGGACATCCATCCAAAACCCTATGAGAAACGTTCCCACTAGTCACCACCAGTGGCAAAGCAGAGGATCGCAACAACAGCCACCCCCGGGGAGATTAAATGTGATGGCTAAGAAGCCACACAATACCACTTGGAGCCACCAGGTTCTTCTGGGACTCCACCCCACAACTTCCAACCTCTCCTGTCCAACTGCAGAGCACTAAACCATCCTGTAATCTCTTTCCCTATCCCACCTTCTTGGGTTTACACAAGTCTGAAAAAGAAGGCCAAAAGAGAGGGAAGAGTGGGCATAGGATGCAGTCAGTTAGAGGCACCACAACAGCCTCCTCTGAGAATCTCTTTAAATAAAGTTTATTGGCAACTTCTGAGAAGCTGAGTTAAATACCTTGTTCAAGTTGATTTCATAGAACTGTCATTTCTGTTCTCTGAAAACCAACCTGACACCGAGCAATGACCTCTTCAACCAATGAAACACCTGCTTACCAATGTATTATTTTTTAAGGGAACAGAAAAGGTTTTGATCACGCACAGAAAGGAGCGCTTTTCAGCTAGTAGCATATGGCTCTTGGGAACACAGGGCTTTTAAAATCTCTACTTTTAGGACTCCTCTCATTATTATTTCATCAATTATTTCATTATTGTATCACCTGTGTCATCTGTGTAGATGTAGGTAATTTGGGTTGGTTATTGTTTTAGGAAGCATGTGGAAATTGCTGTCAATGAGTAATATTTCATATTCTCACCCCTCCCAGTTCTCCTTCTGGACTTAGAGCTAGTCACTATTAAGGCAGATGAACGTGGGAGTTAGACAATGAAACCACCCTCTTCACTATTTGAGGGTTGAAAGGCCACTCCAGGTAGTTATAATTGAACCTCAAAGCAGGTGACCTTGCAAAGTTAAAGCATCTGCTCCAATTTACCTCTGCATCTCACTGCCCCCAGACACAAGTTCTGCCGCTCTTCTCTATTCATGGTTCCTGCAAATCTTTTCTGTGCTCTGAGACCCAGCTTGAGATCCTCTCAAGACATGGTGCCAAGCCTCTCCAGCTGACATATTCTCCCTTCCCTGAATTCATATAGCTCTTAAATTAGCACTTAATTACAAAATGTGTTATATTGTGCTGTGTTTGGTGATTGTCTGATTCTTCCCCTTAGAGCACACAGAGTGCCCCATGTGGAGGCAGCATGTTTGATGAGAAAGGCTCAATTAATATTTCTTAAATTAATTAATTAATAAGAGCATGGATTTTTGAGTCAGAAAGACTTGACTTTACCATGTACTAGCTAGATGACCTTTATCGAGCCACTTAACTAGTTTAAGCTCCAATGTCTTTATCTGGAAAATGGCAATAATGCTACATGGCTTGGAGGAATAACTGAAATACACCTCACAGTTGCTCAAGTGGAGAGCATGTTCTTTACCCCTGCCAAGTGCCCACTGAGTAGACATTCATTTATTGACTGTCTAAACCAGTTTGTATTCCAGAGTCCTATTTTTCTTTTTAATAGTGTTCATTCCAAGACATGTCTACCACATTTTTGTTATTTTCACCTATCAATTATGAAAAAGTTTTCAGGAACCAAGACCCAAGTCCCACAACAAAAAGACACAGGTAGGTCAGCATGTAGATGTGTGTTGATGTGCCTTCTTATCTGAAAATAAAAATTCCCCAAACTTAATACAATTTGGGAAATGTTGAGTCACCTGCTGTGGACCTAGTATTGTTCAATTGTCATTTTCCTTGAAACACTTGGTACTGTGTCTTGCAGGTAGTAAGACATAGTGGGGGCCAGGCACGGTGGCTCACAGCTGTAATCCCAGCACTTTGGGAGGCAGAGGCGGGCGGATCATCTGAGGTCAGGTGTTCAAGACCAGCCTGGCCAACGTGTCGAAATCCTGTCTCTACTAAAAAATACAAAAATTAGCTGGGCGTGGTGGCGCACACCAAAAATCATAGCTACTCGGGAGGCTGAGACAGGAGAATCGCTTGAACCTGGGAGGCAGAGGTTGCAGTGAGCCGAGATCACACCACTGCACTCCAATTTAGGCAACAGAGTAAGACTCTGTCTCAAAAATAAAATAAACTAAAATAAAAAGACATAGTGGGTACTCCATTTGTGTTTGTAAACTGAATTATAGCCATGATTCCAAAGTATTGGGAATTTAACTGCCTAGGATGGGATGAAAATGTTTTCAAAAGGCACTTAATTCTCTGCATTCTAAGCTATATTTCAACAAGCAAAACTTCCAAACAGAATCCCAAAAGATGCCCAAAGCTGCAACCAAGACAGCCCCAGGCCAAGAATTGTTAAATGGTGTCCTTTAAACTCTGCCTCGTAAATACTCCCAGCCTAATGACTCAATGCCCCCAAACAGCCCCTGAACTGGTCTGCTAACCCCAATACATGTTAAATTTATGATTTCTAAACAAGATAAAAGACCTGATTGGATTTATTATCTTTAAGAAAAAAAAAAAAAAGCATTCCACTCCTGACCAAGTTGGGACCCTGCGCTGGTTTGTTTGCTACTAGCGCCTACTGGCCAATCACTTAGACAAAACCTGCTTGTAAACTTCCCTGGCGTTTTGGAAGTCACCTCCTTCCCCTGACTGGCCTGCACCTCCTTCTCTCTCACCACAGATTGCTCATGGCAGGTGACTCCTCGGTGATTCAGGGATGCCTCCTGTGCCTCTGCCTGGTGGCTTCGTACCTGGCCACCCTGAGCAGCCGCCTCCCAGACGCCCCTCCTGGGTTCTCTTCCAGTGAGAGTCCTGTAGAATCTAAGAGTGACCTTAGAATTGGTTGGCTCCTGCTACAGATGAGAAAACTAAGACCCAGAGAAGAGAAGAACGTGAACTGAAGGAGCAAGGATTAGAGCCCGGGAGTCTTGGTCCTGAATCCAGTGCCATGCCCAGCAGCCATGTGGCCCGAAGACAACCTCAGCAGCCCCCTCCCTGAGACACTCCTGTCAGCTCACATGGGGAGTAGGAGGAGTTTGCCTTCAAGGCCTGGACCCAACACAGCACCTGGATAGGGTCCCTGCAGCTGCCTTCCTCGCTGCCAGCGCTCCTGCCAGCTCGTCTCATCTCAGCTCACTCCCCGACCTTCCATCCTCTCAAAGTCAGAGTCCTTTCTTCAGGAACCATCAAGGTGAGATGTGCTAAATCTATCTGAGGAGAGGAGACTAAAGACCCCTCCCAGATAATCTGAGAATAATAAAACAACGGCCTACTGAAGGAAAGAGCTTAGCTATCCTGACCAGAACAGCAACCTCAAAAGAGGGCATCTGAATTCGGAGGGGAAGGCAGGGGAGCTGGCCAGCCTCAGGAGTGGCCCAGAGACTCCATTCATCAGTGCCATCAGCTATTGCAAGCTGAATGCAATCATGTAGAACTATGCCTCACTAGCCTGACCCAGCACTCACACCCTGCCCTTCCAAGAAACGGTCTGGCCTGAATTGCTATCACCCCTCCCCCCTCCATGGAAGGGTTAGGACCAGCTCTAGCCTGAGCACTGCAAGAGCTACCCTCCATTCCCACACTCACCCCACAACATCCAACACACTCCTGCCTAGCCCTCAGCATGTGTCTAAACCCAGGCATGGGCATGACCAGAAAGGACAAGATTGAAAACCCCAAGGGAAGTCTGCAGAATGAGTCACAATACCTGCATCCTAATCCACGCCTCTTCTAACCGGTTCTGTGGCCTCCAACAAACCCCCGGACTGCTCTCAGCCTCAGTTTACTTCTCTGAGAAATTAGGGCAATAGCAATACCTGGGTGGCATAGAGACAAAATGAGAAAATAAAAACTCTTCAAACTTAAAAGTATTTGTCAAAGCTATGACTATCTCCTTGCATTACTAGTAATAATATAGTCACTTCCTTGCCCTCCACCCAGATATTTACTCAGAATTTTCAGAGAATTCCCCAAATTTACCAAGCACCTTGGAAGAATGAGCTTCTCTTGCTGCTCAAATTCCCTTGTAGTTAATCCCAGCTTGTGCCCATCGATTTTCCTTAATAAGATTAAAGGGGAAGTTTCGACCAGGTCATCTCTCAGGACTCAGGAAACAAAACCGTTTGGTAAAAAATAAATTCCAGTCATCTGCCTCTGTCACCAGCAAATATATGCTCAGTGCTACCTGAGAGCAAATCAGTGCTGAATACTTGGCTCCTCTGCACTGGTTTCAGAATGTAATTTCATTTCTGAAGTCCCTTTACTTTTGAGGCCAGTTCTTGAGCTTCTGGTTCTAAAGCCTGATGACACTTTAGCCCAGTGGTTCACACCTGTACTCCTACAGTTTGGGAGGCTGAGGCATGAGGATCCCTTGAGCCCAAGAGTTCGAGGCCAGCCTGGGCAACATACTGAGACCCCCATCTCTACAAAAAATTAGCCGGGTGTGGTGGCTATCCCCAGCTACTGGGGAGGCTGAGGTGGGAGGATTGCTTGAGCCCAGGAGGATGAGGCTGCAGTGAGCCACGATCATACGACTGCATTCCAGCCTGGGTGACAGAGCAAGACCCTGTCTTAAAAATAAAATAAAACAGAGCCTCATGGCAACAAACAAAACATGTGCCCATGCTCTGCTTTATCTCAGTGTTCACACCTTGCATTCCAGCCTTTTTCATCTAAGGACTTTAACCTTCGGGACCGAACAGAGAAATCTACCGGCAGGGGCTGGGTTGTAACTCCACTATCTTGTTGCTTAAAGGGAAAAAAGAGAGGAGTCCATTCTGAAAAAACAAGGAATGACCATACAACAAATTAATACAAAGTTTAGTCTTCTTGTCTCTGCCAGCCTTAGTCCCTTTTTTTTTTTTTTTTTTTTTTTGAGACTGAGGTCTCGCTCTGTCATCCAAGCTGGAGCATAGTGGCACAATCAATCATAGCTCACTGCAGCCTCAAAGTCTTCAGCTCAAGCAAGTAGCTAAGATTACAATCACATGCTACCATGCCTGGCTCCAAGTCCAAGTTTGAAAGCCAGCTTTTCCATGTTTCCTAACAGGCAGTATGGACAACATGAAACTTTTAGAATGATAAAAGTAGATGTCACAAACTCACAGTAAAGAGCTGGGCCCCAAGGTAGGGAGCATTTTACCTTTGTTGGGAATGCTCCCATCATTTTAAAAGCCCCTATTTCTTCTACTTCCGAAAGGCTTAAAAATTATTCAAAAGTGAGAATATAATTAGAGGAAGCAGCAACCACGGAATTTGATGACTTTTCCCAATCTCCTCCTCAAAAGAAACCTTCCACTAAAGTAAATAGCTCTAAGGGCGCAGTTCATCAAGAAAGCACTCATATCAACCCCCGGCCTTAAAATAGACATAAATATTAGGTCAGTTTCATAGTCATTTATCCCACTCTGGGGATAAAACACATAAATAAATTGGAAATGGGCACTTCTCCCACCCTAGGGATATGATCCTGCCCCGGGGCTCCAGGGCTGCTGCCATGCAGTAAAAGAAAGCCATCTCTTCTCTGGCTGATACTGGGACAGTTTCCCTGCAGGAGTCTCAGGCCCCAGAGAATGCCTCTCTTCCCAGCACTAAGGTATGCGACCCCTTGGGCAGAGCACCACCTGGACCTCTCCCAGAGACACCTTGTTCCTTTTCATGATGTACTGTTGTGTCTTCCACACCAGCCCCTGTCCTTTACCCTTGGGCCCTCTCTTCTTCCTTTGCCTCCTTTTTTGCTTTTGTTTGTTCGGTTGTTGTTTTCTATTTGGGTTTGTTTGCTTCCTTTTTTTTTTTTTTTTTTTTTTCTTGAGACAGAGTCTCACTCTTGTCACCCAGGCTGGACTGCAGTAGTGCAATCTCGGCTCACTGCAACCTCCGCCTCCCAGGTTCAAGCGATTCTCGTGCCTCAGCCTCCCAAGTAGCTGGGATTACAGGCATGTGCTGCCACGTCCCAGTTAATTTTGGTATTTTCAGTAGAGATAGGGTTTCACCATGTTGGCCAGGCTGGTCTTGAACTCCTGTCCTCAAGTGACCTTGGCCTCCCAAAGTGCTGAGATTACAGGCATGAGTCACTGCGCCTGGCCTGTTTGCTTTCTTTTAACAGTCTGTTTTAATTGTGTTAATATATATATATAATGTACCATTTACCATTTTAATCATTTGTGAGTATACACTTCAGTGGCATTAAGTACGTTCACAATGCTGTGTCCTCATCCCACCGTCTACCTCCAACACTTTTTCATCATCCCCAGCATAAATTCCCTACCCGTTAAACAGTAGCTCCCCTTCCCCATCCCCTCATTAATCCCTTAGTAATCTCTATTCCATTTTCTGTCTCTATGAATTTACCCAGTATAGGTACCTCATGGAAGTGGAATCATATAATATTGCTCCTTTTATATCTGGCATATCTCATTTAGCACAATGTATGTGAGGTCCATCCATGTTGTAGCATATGTCAAAATTTCATTTATTTTTATGGCTGAATATTATTCCACTGTGTGTATAGCTCACATTTTGTTTATCCATTCATCTCTTCTTTTCTTTTTTTTTTTTTTTTTTCCTGAGACAGATTTTCCCTCTGTCACCCAGGCTGGAGTGCAATGGTATGATCTCAGCTCACTGCAACCTCCGCCTCCCGGGCTTAAGTGATTCTCGTGCCTCAGCCTCCTGAGTAGCTGGAATTACAGGCATGCACCGCCACGCCCGGCTAATTTTTATATTTTTAGTAGAGACGGGGTTTCACCATGTTGGCCAGGCTGGTCTTGAACTCCTGGTGTCAAGTGATCTGCCCGCCTCGGCCTCCTGAAGTGCTTGGGATTACAGGCATGAGCGGCCACGCCGGGCCTCATTCATCTTTTTATGGATGCTTGGGTTGTTTCTACTTTGCGTTTATTGTGACTAATACTGCTATGAACGTGAGTGTATAGAAATCTGCTTAAATCCCTGATTTCCATTCTTTTGGCTATACACCTGGGAGTGGAATTTCAGGATCGTATGGTAAGTGTGCAACTTTTTGAGAAACTGCCAAACTGTTTTCCACAGTGATTCCACCATTTGACATTCCCACCAGCAATGCATGCGGTCTCCATCTTCTCTACATTCTAACTAACACTTGTTATTTTCTGTTTTTGTTTGTTTGTTTTTAATAGCCATTCTAGTAGGCATGAAGTGGTGTTTGCCTGCTTTTTTTGATGGAGGTGGAGGAATAGGGTGGAATTGGTCCTTAACCATCAATTAAGCTGGGGGCCTTAGACCTCTGTGAATTGGCTGTGACAATAGCTAAAGGAGGCTGCTACCTCATACTGAAGAGATGTTTCCTAAGTTTGTCACCGGAGAGGGCACCGAACCAACTTATTGTCTTGGAGGGAAGAAGCAGCAAGGCAGAAGACTTGAACTTCTCAGAGAAAAAAACAGTCTACAGACTTCATTTTATGCTGTCCTCACACACTACTGAAAGCTCTACCCTGGGGACCTGGCTTGACTTCTAACTAGCTGTGTTATCTCAGGAGAGCTCCCAGCTGCTCTGAGTCTCAGTCTCTCAATCAGTGAAATGGAGGCAATAGCACCTGCCTGGCTGCATCGCCCCACAGTGCTGCAATGAGCATCCAACGAGAGAAAGCTTGTCACCTGTGTTGCAAACTAAGTTACACAAATGCAGGCAGTAGCAGCTAGAAGAAAATGGTTGGGAATCTGAAAAGAATTAAAGCCCCCCATGAATTTCTTCTCACGCCTCCTCCAAAAGCCAGGGACTGCTTCACCCCGCCTCCAGGACTGCTGCTCCAGCATTTCCGGCAGCTGCTGACAGAATGTATGTTGCTTCTGATCCCCCGTGGCACAGTCAAGCCCAGATGGAGCAAGGGCCTCCCTCAGAGAGAGGCACCCAGGGCTCACCCTTCAAAGGAAGCACTTGGAGGGATGGCTTCTCAAAGGTCACACAGGAAACTGAAGTTAAAGCCTGGATCTAAACTATAGGAGAAATAGGAGCATTTGAATCCACACATTTGAATGTGGTAATTAGTGATCCCACTCCCCCGACCCATCCCCAATCTTCTGCCCATCTGAGAGCGTTTAGATGATCTGATGATGTTAATTTGAACTTCAAAACGCTTGAGAAAAATGTCCACTTTGCTTTTTAAAAATGGAAAGAAAACAAAAGTAAGTTACTCCAGAGACCTGGATGCATGTGGCCGTTCTAGTGACAACACAATAAGGAAAATAAAATCCATCCTAGGAGAGGAAATTATCCCACCAAAGTTCTTCTTGGCCCTTCCAAAGGCCATTTACCTCTGGGCATCTATGCAGAGTTCACTCATCACCCAGGAATTACGTGAGGAGGGTTATGCTTGCTACAAGGGAAGCCACGAAGAGTAAGACAGGATCAGATGGAAAAATAAGACATTTAAATATAATGCTCCAATTAATAAAGCCCTAAGAGCCAACCTCCTTTGTATGAAATAATCTGGGTTTAAAAACAAAAAAAGCAAAAAGCTTTATTGAAGAATGCAAAGTTGAGCTGTGGTCTTTGCAGCTGCCTGACTGAAATATAACCCTTGCTGAGATGCTTCCTTTCTCACTGTGACGTAAGCTAGGCCCCCAGACTCCTGGCTAAGAGGAGAGACTTCAAAATGCACGCTCGGCACCCAGCCTTCTGATCAGTTTTATCTGAGTCTTTCCCACACTTGTTCAGTGCACCCCAGCAAAACCAGGAGAGTTCCGTGTCTTCACTCCTTGTTGAGACTTGGTGATTGATTGGCTGGTTATTCTTTAACCCATTCACACTTAAGTGTTACCTCAACCCAGCCTTTGTGGGGTAAGCATTTTCTCTCCTAATTGTGTTATAAAAAGATTTTCATCTTATTAAGGAAATCCAGACCTTGGCAGTTTAGCGGGGCAGAGTTAGTCTAAGAAGCCCCTGCAATAACCGCAGGCTCACCCAGTCTGCCTCAAGGTTAACTGAGTTTCATCATTAGGTGACCTGGGGACCCCTGTCCTCCGGCCCCTTCCCTCTCCTCCCTGCTGTCCCTAACTTTCACTCTTCAGGAGGTGGCTGGTGGCCTATTTCTGGAGAGGGTTAGGCAGGGGCAGACCACACTTATGTCCATAGCGTCCTCTTGGGCTTGAGCCAACGCCATCAGAGTAAATGTGTCTCTCAGCAAACATCTCATGTCCTCAAGGGCTGGACATCCCTTTCCTCCGCAGCCAACATCAAGGTGACCCCTGATGTTATCTAACATAGTGTTAGTGGTATTTCATGCTTGCGCCCTATTGACCTCTGATGCATCCCTATGCTTCTTGCAATAATTTTCCCTCTAATCATAAAGGTTTAACCCCCTAAAAAGGAGGCATTTGGAAGACCCTCTCTTAATTCTTCAAACCCTGCAAGCCCTAAATGGTGAAAGAGGGGCTCATGCAGTGGTCAGAGGGTAGGGGTAGCACACTTCTCACAAGTTCATGTGCCTCCCTAAAACGCAGATCGTGACTCATAGGTCTGAGGAGGGAGGGGCTGCAGGTTGCGCATTTCACCTGGCTTACAGATGACGCTCTGTGGCTCTACGGTCCACACACGATCCCACATGAGTCTCTGGCGGGGAGCTCCCTTCACCCAGAACCCCCAGGTGAGGAAGGCTTCTGAGAGGGGGCAGAGCTGAGGGCCGGTGTCCTCATCTGTGGAGCCCATGGGGATGACCACCTGGAGACACACAGAGTGCATCCTCTCAGTGACACCCTGAGAGGGAATTCACTGACTCAAGGGTGGCAGGAAGGCCACTAATTACCCAGAAGGCTGTTTGTGCCACCCAGGGAAAGAGGAACTGACCTTTTTCTCATGGGGAAGTGCGTCTTCTCCTCTCCAAACCACAGGCTCACAAGCAGACCAGCTCAAGTGAAGTTCCTGCAATGACCACTGGGTGTGGGCCTGCTTTTCCGGCCCCTGCTGAGAGGGGTCCCTGAGAGAGGTCCACGAGCCACGCAGGGCCACCATTCCCCTGCCCTGGTTTGGAACCCCAGCCTCCCCCACCCGGAGCCAACTCGCCTCCAGCACACGGGCGCTGTGCCTCCCAGCCTAAGCCAGGAAAGAAAGCTGTGTACGCTGACACTTAAATTAGAGCCTCGCAATTATCTCTCAATCCCGGCTTGCCCTGTGCTGCTTTATCACTGTTTTTTATAGCTAAAGTTACTCGCCCTCGTTTTAAGTACATTGTGCATAAGGCATAGGCCAACTTCTGATATATTCCCACAAGCAAAATTAAATACCAGTAACATGTGTTTTAGTGAATTGGGTCCCTCAATTTGCATCTTATAATAAGGATGTTATCATACTGGTTTATGGCTGAGCTCTTTAGTTTTTATCTCTCTGGGGCTAGATTCCCCCTCATGAGTTCAATATAAGTCCATGAACTAATGCAATTTTTAAAACACTTTTCTTCTGTGTTAACATTAACACCCTTATGAGTGAAAGGGTTTTACTCCCCAAAGTGTACAGAATGTTTGCATTCACTGGAGGATGTGGCGGGATATTAGCCCTCAGTGATAGCTGTGGTTGCTCATAAGTGAAAGGAGTTGAGTCTGTAATCCAGTCTGCCACTGCGAAGAAGCCTTTTTCACCTCTTTGCACTGAGACATAATCTCTGGTGTGTTCATTCTCTTACATTTAGATTAATTATAAAACATTGTCACCAGAATATTAAAGTAATGTTTAATACACAGAAGGGAATAAGGTACTCTGGAAAATGCATAATTTCCCTATGATGATTTTGCCAGTTGCATGCAATATGATCTTTTGATTGCCAGCTATAGAAATATTGTGACTAAGCTTTCACTAGCTTTTTATTTTTGCAACCATCCTGTCATAGCACTTTGAAAACTGTAAGCTTGGCCCATCAAAAAAAAAAAAAAAAAACAACCAAGAGTGCCCATGCTAAAGATTTCTGTCAGCTTGGTTCCAAAGAAGGGAGATGATAGGAGAGGGTGAGCCTTGTACGGGCAGCACCTTCCACTTCAGCAAGCCTAACACAGCTGGGTGGTGGAGAAAGGATGGACTCTTACCCTCTGTACAGGCCCAACACACATGCACACCCATACACACACACACACACACACACACGTCCTTTGAACATGGGAAGGTGTCAACATTCCTAAATGGAAATCTCAAGTCCTCTCACTTGCTTCAGATTTTCCAAGCTCTACTGCAGCCATACACCCCGGAGGAATCATCTGAATCAACACCGAGTCACAGCTAGCAGAACTCTCCTTGCTGGCAGTGGCTGAAATGGGACCAACATTCCTCAGGGGGCTGCTCCTGGGGATTGGTTACCTCCCTCTAGATACTGGGCTCCATCCTTGGCTGTGTTGGTTAAAAACCAAGTGTCGTTACCAGCGGAGGGCTCCTGTCCTTCGAGGTCTCTCTCCAGGTCTCCACAGGTGAAACTTTTCCACGATGATAATCATTTAAAAAATAATCACAGTAATAGCAGAAGGAGCACTCCAACCCATCCGTCTTCCCAGCACACTCACTGGGCAAGTTGGTAACCCCATGCTTCTGTCACACCACCAAGAATGCTGGTAGAATTCTCAGTGTGTTTTAAAACTAAAATTAATTTTTAAATGTGTTTTCTGTTTATCCATGCCCCCTAATGGCAATGCACCCAGCACCTATTATCTTGTTTCTATTCTCTTCAAGGCCTCCTACGTCTCTCTGACCTCTACCCTCTGCTCTTCGAAAATATACTGGATGTGAAAAGCCCTCTCAACCCCAAAAGGCTCAAAGTCTTGTAGCTTAATTACCTTTCCATTTGCAACACGGAGGCCCCTTGGGTCAGAATTCAATGTGATTTCCAGTAGGAGAGGGGATAGGTTTACTTGGCTCCAGCCCACCCCACATCTGTTCTATAGACACAAGGACCCCCTAGGCCAGGAGAGGATATATGCTAACCTTTGCTGGCCTGGCTTTCTAGCCTTTACCTTTAACTCCAGGAGAAGAGTGGGAGCCCAGAGTGAATACAGCTTCTGAGGATAAGACTACAGAAACTAGAGGATAATGACTATCAAAGATCAAGGCCAGTAATGTCATTGAGATCGTCATAGTCGTTACAGATGAGGCATTTTTTTATGTCTAGATAGATGTGTGTATACGGGTGGCACATGAATAGGCATGTGCTATAAATAGATATATACACAAGGAACTATATGTGACTGTGCATATGTGCATACTTCCCATACATATACCATGATTCTGACTCATGGGCAAAATGGAAAAGAACGAATCTATGCAAACAGGCCCTTGGAATGCATGCTTGCATTTCCTAACCCAAGTATAGTATGTATGACTTTTAGTGATTATGTTTTGCTGAGGCACGGATTAAGCCTTGTGCTGACATGAAGAGGGGGTGCTTAGCTAGTGAAGGAAGTTTGCCTGCTCACAGACTTCATCTCACACAGGCCTTGCTTTCCTCCCTGTCCCCACTCAAGGTCTATACCTCACTTTTTCATTACACTTTACTATATTTCAGTGGGAGGGGAAATATGGGGCGTCCTGGTAATAGCAGAGTGTTTTCACACCTCAGGGGAACACTTCCATGTGTGTTGAACCCCTCAGACGCCTCCCGGCCGTTCTCTTGTGACTGATCCTTAGCATTTATTTACACGCTTGCTCCTAGGCCACCGTCCTGAGGTGGGGGTGTTGCAGGGTGGGCATTGCTGAGACTTGTGGCCATGGCAGGTCACAGGAGTGGAGACCACAGAGCTCTGGGAGAAACTCTAGGATGAAATAGAGAGTTTGCAATCCAGCACCAAAAAGGAATTCTTTATATGCCCTAAATATTATGACTTAAGACACTGGACAGTCATAGACTAGTCCTGCTTCCAGGAGAAACAGGATAGTAGGCATGGGGGAGAGAGATAGGGAAGGACACCAGATGATATGACTTATGACTGCAGTACAAAAATACCAAGTCTCTATTTTTGAAATGCAAGCTCCAAGAGAGTGAAGCCCCAGCCTGCACTGCCTTACTTTGTGCAGAGAATGCTTCTTTGGTTATGTATATACATGCTTGCTTATTCTAATCCATGCCTTTATTACGAAATTCATCTAATGTTGTGGCCAAATGGCAATAAAATAATATTATTACAGGACACGGGCCTGTACCAACAAGCATATTGCAAAGAAAAAACAATATAATGTAACTTTTACAAATAGGAGAATCAAAAAATTCTTAAATCACAGCTGGGTGGTGGCTCACGCCTATAATCCCAGCACCTGGGGAGGCCAAGGCAGGAGGATCATTTGAAGCCAGGAGTTTGAGACCAGCCTGGCAACAAAACAAGACCCTGTGTCTACAAAAAGAAAAAAATTCTTAAATCTCCCCTCAAAAAAGAAGTATTTGTACCTCTCTGATCTGCAAAAATCTTGTAGCGTTCTATTCTTTTTTCTGTTAGGTTTATCATTTTGCTTTGAGACATGATACTAAAGTGTTAAGTGCTTAATGAGACATGAAGTCGTCCTTTGTGTTGTAAAAATAGTCAATCCCTAGGAACTAACTGGCCTGTTTGGGCCTCAAGGTCTTTATCTTTAGGCTGTTTGTGGTGTGGTGTGGTGTAGGATCAACCCATAAGGAAGAACTTTTTCAAGCTTCTACAGTCTTTGATGGGTCTAGACCAGCACAAATGGGGAATTTAGATACAGCTTCAAACAACAGGGTCAATGTCTATTTGAATGTGTCAAGGATGACTACATAGTTTAACCCAAGTACTGTATGCACAGCAGAATCCTTCAATGAAACAACCAGTGCCTTCCAGGATCGGCCTTCTACTGGTCTCTTGGCTTGTTTTGAATTCCCTTTCAATCTATTTCATGCCCTGCTACACTCTTCCAAAACTTTTCTATGGACATGATTTTGAATAATCATTAACTGACTATAAGATTTAAGAAAGGCCAGGTGCGATGGCTCACTCCTGTAATCCCAGCACTTTGGGAGGCTGAGGCGGGTGGATCGCCTGAGGTCAGGAGTTCAAGACCAGCCTGGCCAACATGATGAAACCCTGTCTCTACTAAAAATACAAAAAATTAGCCAGGCGTGGTGGTGGGCACCTGTAATTCCAGCTACTCGGGAGGCTGAGGCAGGAGAATTGCTGGAACCTGGGAGGCGGAGGTTGCAGTGAGCCAAGATCATGCCATTGCACTCTAGCTTGGGCAACAAGAGTGAAACTCAGTCTCAAAAAAAAAAAAAAAAAAAAGATTTAAGAAAATGTTATTGACTATAAGATAAAATACAAGCCCCTTGGCCTATTGTCAAAATTTCTCCATAACATGGCCCCAAATTAGTTTCCCACCTTATGTTCCACTAGTTTCATAGACAAACCTCTTCCTGCCATACTGGTCTGGTCAGTGCCCTCCAGACACTGCAGTACTGCCTTGAACTGGTTTGCTGTCATCTTTTCTCTCTGTCATCTAAATTCTAGCCTGTCTTTGATGGCTAAAAGCCTAACATCTCTGTGGGCCTCAGAGAAATTATCTTCCTCTGCATTCCTCCAGTTGGCATCTCTCACTAATGGATTAATCATATTACCCTCTCCTATTGTTATGTGCTTTTATGCATATAATCTTAGCCCCCCCATAGGACCAACTGTAATCCCTTTGAGGACAGGGGTTTGATCTTGTACCTATTTATAGTTCCCCACGTGCCTAGAGCCTCTTGCACACTGTAGGCTGGGGGAAAATATTTGCTTATGCTGATGATCTGAGAAAGATAATACTGCAAACAGGAGAAGTAAAGATTTCTTTGTCTTGTTCCATTTGGAATGAATTAGTGGCAGGTAATCAGTTAGAGGTCAGTTCAGAAGGTTAAAATACGTGGACTTATCCCCTGTTACAGGTCTCTTATCTTTACAAAGATTGTGTTCCTGTTACTAACCTCTTTCTAAATCATTGGTGTTGTTATTTACAAGAAGGACTGGGCCAAATATGTGAGGAAACATCAATGTATACTCATCCCTACCATTTGAAAAACAAGTTTTAAGTGTGTGTACCACTGATGAAGTATGAAGAATAACGTTCCCATTCATTCCAGAGTACTCAGGCCCTTTGCCTGGGACTGCTAGCTACACATGCAAAGTGAATTCTATATCAGCATTTTGTAAAGCCCACTATTCTCACCGTACCAGCTTAACTGCAACCAGTTATTTAATAGGATTCTAATTAATTTAATTCTCCACTGGTAGCAATTTCTGATGCACAATGTCTGTGCCTTTTACCTCTTTGCATCCCTTCCCCAGCACTTAACTCAGCAGGTTGCATATAGCAGGAACCTAATAAATATTTGTTGATTGAACAAATGAATGAGCCATACGGCAGATGGAGAATACTGGAGAGTGAATTCCTCAGATATGCCTCACAAAACCATACCGGTCCTCCCAGCATCAGAAATGGACAGAAATGCAAGTACCACAGCACGAAATGGCACCAGCCTTGCTCCATAGTCTGCAGAACCAGAGCCCTCAAAGCAAAACCACTTTGAATAGACTTCTTAATCAGTTTAATTAGCACTGCTGTTAATTTTTTAAGATGGTAAACTCAGCATTGGCATTACAAGTGGTAAGAAAATTTCAGGATGAGGTAGATACTAGGAGTCAAAAGGTAGAGGTTGGGAGTAAGCATTCTGTAGTTATATGACAGTAGTAGTACTATTTGCAAAACCTTAGACATGTCATTTAAAGTCTCTCTAAGCTTAAGTAGAATGAAAATAATAATAGTACCTATACCACACGATGATCAGGAAGAAGAAATAAGAACATGCATGGAGGCCAGGCACGGTGGCTCACGTCTGTAATCCCAGCACTTTGGGAGGCCAAGGTGGGTGGATCACCTGAGGTCAGGAGTTCGAGACCAGTCTAATCAACATAGTGAAAGCCCGTCTCTACTAAAAATATAAAAATTAGCTGGGCGTGGTGGCACGTGCCTATAATCCCAGCTACTCTGGAGGCTGAGGTAGGAGAATTGCTTGAATCCGGGAGGCGGAGGTTGCAGTGAGCTGAGATCATGCCATTGGACTCCAGCCTGGGCAACAATAGCAAAACTCCATCTCAAAAAAAAAAAAAAGAACATGCTTGGAAAATCCTTATCACTGTGCCTAGAACATAGTAAATTCTCAATAAACATTAGCTGATATGATTATTTCTACTTTAACCTACGTTTTCCTCTTTACCAAGCTCTGGGCAGTCTGCCAATCAAGGACGAGAAGGGTTAGGTTCTCAGTCAGAGATCACATTTCAGAAACATCTGGGCCTGGATCTCCAGGCACCCGAAGAAGTTTGGTGCTTTGCCACCCTCAGTGAGATGCCGAGGCCCTGTGGGAAAGGGCTGCCCTCCATGCTACCCTCCAGCAGGAAAAGGGGTGAAGAGGGACCCCCAACCTTAAAGTACAACCAAAGTGATAAGATGCACCCTGAGCACTGTACAAGCAACTGTGTAAAAAATGTGTGCATGACGACAGCTTTGGTTTTCGAACAAAAATCGCTTGCTGCTTTTTTTCTGTGACATAAGCTTATAAAGAAAAATGGGTTTACTAGCCAAAAGCAAAGAAAAGCCCACCCTTAACATGGACCACAACCCCACATCCCCGTGGCCATCAAGACTGGATGTCAACACTCCAGTCCCAAGAGGCCGGAACACAAGAATGTCTCCCACTGCTGTGACTGTTGCGTGCTGCTGGGAAGTAGGAGGTAGGAAACAGATTGTGTCCTTCCTTTTTCAGAGGGAGGAATGGGCCTTGAATGTGTCACATGCAGAAAGAGGGGACACCAGGTGGGTCAGCATGGCAATGATAAAGCCAAGATCATAACCCTGAGCTGTGGGCTCAGAGAACAGCACCATTTACCAGTCCAGACCAAAAAGCACAGGAACCCCATCCTCATCCTGCCCCCAACACATAGGCCTGTGTCAGAGGGAAAAGAAAATGTGCTCTCAGAGAAGCTGAAAAATAAAAAGAGTTCCACAAATAAGGCATATTGGCTGCAGGCAAATCCACACAAAGGACCGCTTTAAAGAAAAATCTCTTGTGTTCCTGAGTTCTGAGCTTTGGGTGAGTTTCTGAAGAGGAATATTTGCATTTTGGGTTTTTCCCCTTTGTGTGGTGAAGCAACAGGTAAAATCAGTCACTCTGAAATAGAAGCATGAGTAACTGCAAATCTTAGAGCCCAAAGGAAGCTAATCTCTTCCTACCTCTCAATTGGCTTTCTACGTATTCTAGAAGAGGGACAAATCAGCAGGGAGAGAGAAGCAGAAGGTTCAGAAATGGCAGCGGGAGTTGTCTGCTTGCATTACCATCTAAGGAAATTCAGGCAACTATCACTGGGGGAAAAATCAGGCAAATTACTTCGTCTCAGACCATCCTCAACAGGGATGTTTGATTTGCTGTTGCTCAGTGAGGCTTCCCGCTGTCTTTCTCCTATTTCAGGGAGGGCTTTGCCTGTGCAGGCTCTAAACAGCTGCTGCGCACAGCAACTGCTGCCCTACCGGGCCCCAAGACATTCAAAGTCAACCCATGTCCACTAGAAATAAATGTGAATCAAAGGGTGACTGGCAAGAAAAGAAATGGCCACAGAGGCCGGGTGTGGTGGCTCACGCCTGTAATCCCAGCACTTTGGGAGGCCAAGGTGGGCGAATCACCTGAGGTCAGGAGTTTGAGACCAGCCTGGCTAACATGGTGAAACTCCATTTCTACTAAAAATACAAAAAATTAGCTGGGCATGGTGGCTTTTGCCTGTAGTTCCAGCTACTCAGGAGGCTGAGGCAGGGGAATCACTTGAACCAGGGAGGCAGAGGTTGCGGTGAGCCGAGATCACGCCACTGCACTCCAGCCTGGGAGACAGGGTGAGACTCCATCTCAAAAAAAAAAAAGAAAGAAAAAGATACAGGTTATGCTATTGGTTATTTGGATTCTCTAACAGGATGTGATGTGGCATCAAAATTCAAATTCAGTGGGTGTTTCTCTTATATCTTGTCTAGAGAATGGAACAGATTGTGAGACCCACTTAAGTCATTGGAGATGAATTTGGTTTGATGAGCAGCCCTTTTAACTTTAAAAGCTGTCTCTCAGCAATTCTTGGTCTCCAGGTTTATTTCTACCGTTGGAGGGGTGAATTAAAGAAGAATCCATTCAGGTTGTGACCTAAATCTTCTCCGTCATAGGAATACTATTTTAGAAACCTGTTTTCCGTATGGGGCAGGCTGACATGTTCCCTGCTAGTACTGGCACTACCAAAACAAGCTTTTGGGTTTGTTCTTAAATCCTTCTGAAATGCATACTTTTCTGCTATTCCTATTTCTGAATTTAGTGGGTCACTAGGGAGAGATTTGCCACTTGAATTCCTTTGCACAGGAGCTGGGAGACTTGGGTTCCAATTCTGACTCAGCCACTAACTGTGTGGTTTCAAGCTTGGCTATGATGTTTTTTTCACACTGTGATCTTAGGTACTTCACTTAATCTTTGGGCCCTTATTATTCTGATCTCTAAAATGAGTGATTACTAGGATTCCTTTCAACTTCAGTCTATTCTTTTCTTATCTAATTTATAGAATCACAAGGAAAATTGATTCTATCATGTATATAAAAGTATTCTATAAAGCTTAAGTACTTCCTGGGAGCATTTTTTAAAATACAAAGCAAAAAGAAAGGCCATGTGGTTCGTAATAAGATATCCTAATTTAAACTAAGATAGAAAAACAGACAATGACTGCTTCTGGATTTTACTGGAAGTGAGAAGTTCCATGACTTAATGTAACTCCAGGGGAATGCAAACTGAAGAGTACTGTCTCTCCTAGGCAGTCAGAGGAAAGAAATATAATATTGTTTCTCTGCTGGTTAGGAACTCAAGATGAACTCTTGAAGAAGGAAGGTGTGCTTGCATCACCAGTTATTTTGGAACTTCCACCAGACTCAAAATTCCTCAAATCTGCTTCCTTCACACTATACTCCAAAAGGAGTCAAAGCTATGTGGCATACTGTAAGAACAGAACCAACAGCCTACAAAATACTTCCATTCTAATCCTACTATTACTTCCGGGGACACTGATTTATAAAATAAGAATTATAAAATAAGAATTTTTAAAAATAGGAATAAATATAGCCATCTTCGTCAATGTTAACCTCACTATCAAAAAAAAAAAAAAATCATGTCAACGCATACAAAACCTGAAAGATATTCCTGACCACTTGAAGGGCTTGGTTTTAATCTGAATGCTCTTGGAAACTCCAAGCAAAAGTGCCCAGAAAATATGCTGCCAAGGTTTGGGGCACTCAGTTAGACCTCAGCAGATTCCAAGATTGCACTCCTTGCCTAAGAGTTTTCTTTAAATGATCACTGGTTTTTGAAACAATTATTTCTCAAACAGGCTGATATTCAACATGCTGGATGCTGGGTGCTGCAGGGGCTTTGAGTGTCTTTCTCTCCCATCATGGACCCCAATTCTAACAGACCTTTTTTATACAGTGTAATAATCTGTCCGGGCGCGGTGGCTTACACCTGTAATCCCAGCACTTTGGGAGGCCGAGGCAGGTGGCTCATGAGGTCAGGAGTTCGAGACCAGCCTGACCAACATGGTGAAACCCCGTCTCTACTAAAAATACAAAAATTAGCCAGGTGGTACGCACCTGTAATCCCAGCCACTCAGGAGGCTGAGGCAGGAGAACCACTTGAACCCGGGAGGTAGAGGTTGCAGTGAGCCAAGATCGTGCCATTGCACTCCAGCCTGGGCAATAGAGTGAGACTCCATCTCAACAATAATAATAATAATAATAATAATAATAATAATAATAATAATAATAATCTGAACAGCCCACAAAAGGCTTGGGAAAGTAAAAACAATGCCCTGTATTTGGTCTCCTCCATCCAAGTGGCTGGGACTCTGTCCTCTAGTCTGTGCTCATGTCAGGCAACCAATTTATCTCTCTGCAATCTGAAGTTCCACTCTGCAGAGAGGACACAGTGAGAACCCCTGGCAGATTTGTGAGCCTCTTCCCTGCTTCTGCCATTCATGGATAACCATGATCTTGACTCATCACACAGAGAGATGTCTTCCCAAATTGTCAATCTTGTATGGGGTTTCAAAAGTCTAGCCCTAGGCCAGGTGAGGTAGTGCAATGCCTCTAATCCCAGCACTATGGGAGGCCTAGGAGGGTGGATCACGAGATCAGGAGATGGAGACCATCCTGGCTAACACGGTGAAACGCCGTATCTACTAAAAATACAAAAAATATTAGCTGGGCGTGGTGGCGCGTGCCTGTAGTCCCAGCTACTTGGGAAGCTGAGGCAGGAGGATCCCTTGAACCCAGTAGGCGGAGGTTGTGGTGAGCTGAGTCCTTGCCACTGCACTCCAGCCTGGGTGACAGAGCGAGATTCTGTCTTAAAAAAAAAAAAAAAAAAAAAAAAATGGCTAGCCCTAACACAATACCGTTTCCTAATAAATTCTGTAAATAAATTTTTGTTGTCTTTCAACTTTAAAAGCCATGGGAAAAGACAGTCTTTTTGTTCTGTTTGTTTTGAGGGGGTTCTTCTCCACAGTGAAGAGGATAAAACAATATCCTTTATCCACTTCTGTTATCCTCTTGCCCCTTAAAAATCCCACTTTTAGAGATATCCACTTATTTACAAACTGACTCTGAGAAGAAATATATAAAAAGTGGGGGTAGAAACACAGACCAGAAATGAAAGTGTAGTGACCACCAAGTGCAGTTACAAAGGCTGAACTTGTCTCAAGACCCAGGATTGTTGTTTCAGTTCTGGCCTCCCTTTGGAAGTGGTGTCACTCTTTCTAGGCATCAGCAAGGAGTTCAGCACATTTAGGGAGGAAGCCATCACAGAAACCCTAATGGTCTTATGTTTCAGCAACACATAGGCAGAGCATGGGGCAGGGAGAGGGTTTCTTTATGAAATAACTTCTTGTCTGGAAGTCCCAACTAATTGATAGGAAGTCACAAACAGGCCACTCGTGCAATCAGGGTTATTTGTCATGGAAAAGCCACAGGGGAAAGGTGATGGCAAGGAGGCTGCAACCTCCCTTTCTCAGTGCACACATCTGTTGGTAGGAAGAGGCAACTCTGCATGCCTTTACCAAAGGCCATCCTGGGTCTGTATGTGTAAGCCACATGTGTGTGTCTGTGAACATTTATGACTTATGTGCTAACACAGGAAAAGATACTCCCTTTGATCAGTTAAACAGAGTTTGGTGAAATTAGCTCTGGACAAGAAACCAGAAAACCTGGCTTCTCTGCTTTCTCTCTTACTGATGTGGCCTCTGGCAAGCCCTTAACCTTGGTAAGCCTCAATCTCCACCTCCATAAAGTAGAAGTCGTGAGATCTGTCCCAGAGAGCAGGTGAAATAATGCACGAGACAGCACTGTATACAGTATAAGGTAGTTCACTACTGTAGACAGTCATTATTTATTATGAATAAGCAGGAAATAATTCACATGCCAATTATTTGGCTATCTTTTCACTAAGCTAGGTAATCTAGCCAGAAGGTGGATAGGTAGGATTTTCCCCACTTAGGTTCACGGCCTGTATGTGAATCTACAGCACACAGGTGTCTGAGCTCTATTATTGACAAACCTATTTTAATTTGCTATGTTGTTTCTAATTCTCTTCTGGATCTCCAAGCAGTAAAAAATACCAAACTGAGAAAAGTTCTGTGCAAATTAACTGGGCCAGAAAGAATTTTTACCACCTGTTTGTAGATGTAACTTATTTGTGGCACTAATTTCTAAGGAATAGAGCATTGCTGTGATTGTCTGTTCTGATGTGAACTTCTTTCCTCCTATAATTTCCCCCCTCTAAAATCTGCCCCAAATTTCCTGATGTAAGTACTAAAGAAGTTTTATGTTTGTTTGTCTGCATTAAGATATATTTCCTGAAGGTTTGGGAACCTAAAATTAGAATATTTAATAAGAAACTACTGACATTTATCACCTTCTTTAGGATTTACCGCTCGCCCAGTGATGTTCTTTCCTAAGCTAAATTAAAAGACAAATTCAAATCCTGCATGGTAGCCACCAAAAGCATATATTTGAAAAACAGGATTCGGCGTGCCATATTATGCATTATTTAATGGTATGCAAATTATAAGTCAGACAGTTAGGAAAACCACACTTCAGCATTAATAAACAGCAATATTACTACTACATTAATTATGATATTGCTATGATTTATTCCCAAGTTTTGCATTTTGATTCTCCTTGAAAATTTATGCCATCTGATAAGCGGTAACCTAGTTCCCCTCCTACATCTCCTGCCCATTTCTCAAATCTGTTCCTCCTACCCACCCGATGGGTGTCTGTAGGAAACAGGTACAGAAGTACAAAATCATAAGCAGCCTCATTGTCTTATAAGCATTAAAAATTAAAGAACAAGCAAACACCACCTAAAGCTCCAACATTTATTGTGTCAATGTTAAGCACACTTTTTAAAAGACAACATAGAATGTATAGAAACAAGGGGTTGGGGACTCATGCGCATTTCCACAATACAGGTAATTAGGTTGGCTGGTTTCAGAAGGGCCAGGGCATCACTCATGACAGCGATGGTCCACGGGCCCTCTCTATGGGACTGATTCACTGTTCCAATGTGGGTCTGTTTTTTTGTTTTTACTTTTTATTAAAAAATATAAATAAAATGGCGCTGCAGGCCTAGGCTGGAAGGACTCTGCAGGACTCTGTCTTCGCACAACGGCTTCTTGGAGGCTACTGTCAGAAAACATCACAAACTAGCAGGATGACAGACCACGCTGACGTCGACTGGGCGGCACGCGTCCACCCCACCCCTGGGGGCTTCAAATTTTCTCAGAACTTAAGGGCTCTCGAGCTTCCATCCGAAAACTGCCACACATCTTGAGCTCTCTGGGTACTACGCCGAATGGGGGTGTGTGAAGAACCTAGAAAGAGGTTGGAGACAGAGGAGGGGGAAAAAAAAAGTACAGGTGTGACTTGGCCCAATGATTTTCTGTTCTCTAACTAGCTTTTTAAAAATTAGAACTTAAACCAACCACAGGTCGAGCCACTGGCATCTTAAGCATGATTTCAAACTCAGCCTCCCCTCCCCAAGTATCTCTGACCTCTGAGTCGTCTTCCCATGCCTCCCTCCCTTCCGTCCCCCCAAGGAGGACCCAGGTCCCCCCACCCCTGCCCAATTGTATGATAGTCCTAATAAACTCGGGACACACCTGGAAGGAAACACTTGCCCTTATGACTGAGAAAACTTAGTAAGAAACAGTCCTTTGGTTGAGGAGAGCGGGAGAGGGAGGAGGGAAAGGGGACACCTTCTCAAAATAATAATAAAATTATAAAGAAACAAAAAATCAAAACTGATGTAAAAGCAGCACAACGAAAACATGAAATGTCATCAAGTTCAACGTCAAAGCAGCCAATGATTTACAAGAGGCGAACAAATCTCTGAAGAGAAAACCAGAACCCAAAAGAGTTGCTCTCAAATTGCACCAAAAACTGCCTGTAGTTTCTTTCAAACATGCAGTTTTCTTTTCTTTTTTGGAAGGGGGAAGGCAATGGTGAAGGGAAGAAGGGAGTGGTTATTTTCCTCCGGGGTTCCTCCCTTGCTGTGGACATTGACTTGAAGCAGCAGAACTGGGAGTCCGGATGTGCCGAGGAAGAGGGCTACCACTGTGGCATTCCAGGCCTCGTTGCCATGGCGACCCGAAGCAGGGGCCTGGGGCCTCCTCTCCCCTGACTTGGCGCCGCAGGAGGCCCGGGGTCTGGATCTCAGCTGCTCTCACGCATCCCACCCCTGAGCAGAGCAGCGGAGACCTGGGCTGAGGGGCATGCTGCGTCCAGGTGGGTTCTGGGGAATCCCATTCCCAGTCCAGCGCTAAGTCACTGTCGTCGAGGCCCCTTTAGCTGATACCCCAATCAAACCCTTTCGTCCAACCTGCTACCAATATTCAAATTCTAATAGACAAAGTATATCATGGGCATGTACCACGTTCACAGCTATTTAAAAGCACAGCCCCCCTATGGGTTTAGGGGCTCCCGCTTTAGAGGATACTTGGGGAAATGGCTTAATTTGCCTTTTCTACCATCCCTATGAAAGATCTGATACACGTGCTCCCTTGAAATAGTTTTTGCCACTTTACAGAAAGGAAAAACGTATTTGGATCAACCATCGAGCTGTGTTCAGCCAAGTTTAGGTTCTCAAGTACAATGACCCGTGTGAACTGGATTGGTCTCTTTCCCATTTGGAAGGGAGGAATTAATGGTATCCCATGACCGTAGATGACGCTGGGAAATAGAGAGAGAGAAAGAGAGAGAGAGAGAGAGAAACAGCCCCATTCCCCTAAAGGCTGAGTCACTGGCCTCGTGCTGTATGTAGTAAATTAAACAGCGGGCTAATGGGATAACGAGATGCCAGCAAGCAGAAGTGCAGACCGGACAACCCATGTCCACAGTTCATAGCTATAGCAGCCCTAGAGTAAATACACATCATACCAATTCCCTCTATGTGTTCTGATGTCCATTTCTCTAACAATGGGTTCGTTTATTTTCTATTGGGAAATATGCAGGGCTTTAGGAGACAACTAGGAAAATCTGCTAGATGGCTCATGCCTTTTAAAAGTTAGCAGTCTTTTAAGAAACATTTTTCCAAGCAGGTTGAGAGAACTCTGCCAATCCCATCCTCATATCGGCAAAGTTCCCACAATTTTTTTTTTATGGGAAGTTGTCTGAAAAAAAGAGAATGGGATGGGTACATTCCTGAACACACCAGGCCCAGGGACAATGGAGTAACAGAATCGTAATGAGGAACACACAGTTACAACACAGTCATAAGAAGTCATGTTCATGTGTGTACGGAGGGGGAAAAGAGGCTTAAAACAAGAAAACACTGTATTTCCTCCCTCAGTCTCTGTGAGCAAAGTACTACAAGCAGGAGAGGATGGGGCCTGAGGCTTCTCAACTCCTTTTCAGGAAGGCCCGAAATAATCCCAGTACCTTTCAGCAAACTGTGTCTGTGAATAAACCACCTCATTTCCTTATTTCTCCAATTGGAATTATACCTAAGCCATCTCCCGCCACTTCCTTTCAAGTTCTCACTTCTAGCATTATGATTATATACAATATGTACTTATTGCATATACAAAAATGGTATTTAAATAAACAGTTCTATATCTACAGAATGCCCTGGGAAAAACTCAACTACTTCACACTTTCTGCCATGGCCAGTGCAAATGAAGAACTGTGTTCACCTCACTTCTTAGCAACCTTTGTAATGTGTTGGTTCCAGCCTTTTTGTAGGTCCTAAACAAAGAGAGGATAGCAAATGGGTTCAGGAAGGAGGTAATATAGGCACTGGAAGAGTTTCTGGTTTAAAATCTGTGAGAAATAGAATTTGCGGTATTCCTGTTTATTAAGTTGTTCTCAAATGAAGATTAAAAAGAACATTTTAAGCATCAGTTCAGGTATGTAGAGAACATTCCATCAGCACGTCAAGCCTGTTACAAAAACTTACTTGAGGATTTTAAGAGACATTAATGTTCTTAGTAGTTCCTCATTTAAAAAAAAAAGATCATGAATTCATCTTACTATTGGAAATGTGCATGTTATTTTATATTAAGATTTTAAATTTTAGAGTTCTGGATACAAAATATCATTTATAAGTGATATCATGTTGGCTAGGTTCTCATGTTTCTATTGTTCATCAGCTTCAGAAATAATATTTTATCAGAAGGCGTCAATAAGTCAGGAGACTAAGTAACCTGAAGAACCCATCTCCCAGTAAATTTATTTAACTTTGGGACCATGTAAATCAAACATAATCTGTGATTTATCACCAGATGTTTGCACTCCTCCCCATTCCCCATTTGATTTAAGAAATTTGAACAGACAAGTGTACAGTATCCACCATTAATTCTGTCTGTCAGGATGCAAAACCTAATTACGCTAAGAGCAGCATATACTGAGAAATTAAAATGAATACTGTATATAAAACCTACACAGTTGCACTCATAGCTCCTAATAAAAGAGTAATAGGGACACACAGAGGTTTTATGGACATTTAATAGGGTGGAGTCGAAGTCACCACATCTAAAGCTGGCATGGCACTGGGGAATTATTTCTATCTGTCTTGAGCAGCATTTTGGATTCAGTTTTGGAGAAACCTAATCCAAAACACATACAGTATATCTTTTCTAAGTTCAGTGACAAACATCAAGTTCTCAAGGTACCGCACGCCCACCCCACCCCACCTCCTATGTAATATTCTCCAACATCCTTTCTCAGTGGATTCCTCTAGCCCCACTCTCTCCTTCCCACCCAAACTGGCTTTTCAGAAAACATTGACTTTCTTTATACTTTAGAAAGATAAAACTATTCTTGCCTCAGATAAAAGGCATGACATGAAAAGGCCACCTCACAGGCACTAGGGCATAAGAACTGAGCGACAAAAAATGCTACCACAAGAAGACAACAGAACGGCTTTTGTTTTGGTTTTTTACAAAAATAAGAACAATGTCGTATTCATTCATCTACACTGGGAACAGGGACACGATATCACAGAGGTATGTGTTTAGTAAAGCAAATAGATGCTGCAACATGCAGTATTTGTAAAAGTGACAACACAGATTTCTAAGGATTTTTAAAATAGACCTAACTGGCTGGTCAGAAGATAATTGAAGGGTATTCCCGCCCTTATTTGCTGTCATCCAGGAAGACCCTATCAAAACACCTAAAGTAATCTGTAGCATCTAGGGTTCCTGGGATCTCAGAACCACAAGGCAAACCACTATGCATCTCAGGAAATCAGTGGCTGATTCCAAAGATTTCACTATGTCTGGCTACACCCCTAGTGGCTGCTTTCTTTTCTTTCGTCTCTCTCTTTTTTTCTCCCTCTTTTTTAAACAAAACAAAACAAAACAAAACAAAACCTGATGCCTTTGTTTCCAGATTTTTAGATTTCAAAAGTGGGGTTATTTTGTTATGAGAAAAGACTCTTACATGGAAACCAAAGAGCTGATTTTTTTTAAAAAAATCTTTTTTACATTATGTTCTAAGATAAAGCAAGGATGGGAGAATAGAAAAGAACTTTTAGACAACAAGAACAGCAAAAAATTTAAAGGAAATAAAAGTTTAAGATGCTATTACCAGCAAGTTTTTTCACTTATGTTTGAATGGATTTCTGCTAAGAGATGGAGTAAGTTTTTAACATCAGACTGAAAACACCTTCCATTTCTTGAAAACTATTCTAAACTGGAAAGCCTTAAAACTATGTCCAGGGTTTGAGATATGTCTATTTTAATATAGTAAGTACTTTATGTTCCTTTAGGGTATAATACACGCATCAGAATGCCCATAGAAATAATCCTGAAAAAGACTGACTGGCCTTCTCTTAAAACCTGTTATTTTCTTGCAAGTAATTTACAGAGTGTGTCAAATGAGGACACAAGAAGCTTACAATGTGTACTTTAATTTTTTTTATTTTTTCAATAAAGGGACAAAATGGGTGTATGAACAGGTTAATGCAGACAACTGCCAAAAAAACACAGACAGTGGTTTTTCCAATAGAACTTAACAAAGACCAGAAACAAATACAATAAAAAGCCAGGTTGTAATGACCTTTGGTCATCTAAATAAAAAAAAAAATAAAAACAAAGAAAAATAAAAGATCAAATTAAGTGCCTCTGTTTTGAACAGGGCACATAAGCAATAATAAATAGTGACTCCCATAGTAAAAGATAAAATTTCAAGTTACGACAAACAGCTTTCATTACAGGAATAGAAAAGGCCAATAACAAAATATTCTGCATTGCCATTTACAAAAAAGTATTGACTAAAGCGGGCTTTCTCTTTAATATGCTTTGCATATGAAATTCTTTCCAATCTAAATATAAAGCACCATTTAGTTTTTGGCAATGAAAAAAACTGCAAAACATTGGTTTTTTTTTTTTTTTCCTTTTTTTTTCTTTCTTTCTTTTACTGCATATGAAGGTAAGATGCTGGAATGTAGGGTGATAGAAGGAAAGGGACAAAAAGCACACTACATAACAAACCAACGTTATTAGCTTGCAGTACTGCATACAGTATGGCAGCAGGAAAAAGGAACAAAAAAGGATATGTACAACCCCTATGACAGCCATCCATGTGACATTCTAGCAGGCTCCCCCAAACCGCCATTATATGGCTTCTCATCTGTAATGTCACACTTTTTTGTTTCTCTCTTTTTTTTTTTTTTGAAGCATACAAATAATTTGCACTATATTATCCTGCCAAATTAAAAAAATATACTGTGGCAGCCTGTCTTTTTTTTTTCCACTACCAAAAAAGGTACATTGATACCTTTTAAGAGAACAAGCAACAGTTAAAAATACAAGCTTCAATATAAATACTATAGTGCCTAACACTAGATGAACATTTAATTCAAATACCATTCTAGAAATACAGAAAAAAGACCATAAATGTATTTTAGCATAGGAATCAACATGAGTGTGCATTTTCCTATATTTAAGTACTATATAATCTTAAACCTTTCCCCAATGTATGTTTTTTTTTTTTACAACCTGAAGAGCGGTGTGTATCCAAGGCATAGAATTTCCACTACCATTTTTAAATGGATAACAAGTCTTGTAACACCACCAAGACAATGGAACCCTAAAATGCAGTTCCCCCCTAAACATAATGAAGTGTTTTTTAAAAAAAATTTTTCTTAACATTTATATTTAAAAAAGTTTTGTACAAAAAAATCCTTGCACTGTAGAAGCGAAAGCAATCATTCATTTCTATGTTAAGTGTATTCTGTTTCCATTCACAGCGCTTGCAATGTTGCGTCCAAGTAAGTAAGCTCAATAGTCAAGTAAATGGCTGGCAAAGTTTTTTTTTTTTTAGTTTTTAAAAAATGCTCCTCAATGAGATTGTGTTCAATTTTTTTTCAGCATTCTTGCAACTTTTCCCTTAAGTATAGACCTGTAAACTGGGAAAATTGTACAGTGCACTTAATTGTCCTATCTGAGCAGGTTTATTTTATACTCAACCTCTGTATCTCTGATTAGAGAAAAGATACAGATATCACAGGCAGAGTCAAGTGCTATTTGAACACCAACTGGGGCAGATGCTAGCTTAATAAAAAAGAAAAAATTAAAAAAATAAAAATAAAAACAATGAATCCTCTTCCATGTTAACACAAATAGCACACAGTGTATGGAAAAGAAATGAAGTACAACTTTTAGGGAGCACAGACATATATACTGCTACTCTTAAAATTCTTTCTCTTCTTTTTTTAAGAATGTCACATTTAAATGCAAGTCTTAAGAATTCATAGTTAATCATCATTGTATCAATATTAGCTTATATACCTGTTCTAGTTTTAAATGGCAAATAGTACCACGTTGTGCTAATAAATCATATTATTTTCTTCTGTTCCCCTCTGTCAAACCTTATTGTCAGCCTCTTCCTTTCAATATGGTATACAAGGTCTTAAAGTTTATCATTTGATTGTCCACTTGACAACCAAGTAGATCTGGATCTATTTCTTTTGGTGCCAGTATTTTTAAAAAGACATTATTAAAGCAAATATCTTCATAAAATGAACTCCTTACTAGTGTATTTAATTGCGTTCCAGGGCTTTTGCACATTACACATTCAATTTAATCATTGTTTAAAAAAAATAAAACTTTGGGCAAAACAGCCCATTTCTTTTAAGCTCTCACCAGGAGCAAAGTAGCTTTTATACTGGTATAATCAGTTTTGTTTATAAAATTAAACTAAAGGAAAAATGATGATTAACTAGGACATAATGGGTCATCTTTTTAGGTAGCCATTGTTGTGAGAAATACAATATAGAATTATATGCTAGTTCCTAAGGTTTATTACCTCACCCAATGCTGAATTAAGCTACAAGTTTATAACAAGTAGAAAGAACCATCGATGTGGTTTTAATAGATCCAAGGCACTCATATTTTAAAACCAAATGATAGAATAAACTTGTTCTGTTTTTCTGTTAATTTGTCAATTCAAGGCCTTTTTTCTTCCTTTCCAATTGATACATTTAACCCTTTAGAGACAGACATTTAGCTCATAGAGATTTTTTTTCAGTGCTATCTATTCTGTCTATAGAGGGTTAATCCAAAGACTGTTTTTCCTCCTCACGTTATAAAATAAAACTGTACATGATATGTATTACAGAATGTATGCAGCATGGTCTTTTTCTCTCTCTCTCTCTTTTTCTCTCAGAACGGAACTGGAAACAGCAACATGTTTGCTCAGCAACGAATTAGGGACAATTTAAAATAGCCATAACATACCATACATGCTGTCTAAGTTTAAAAAAAAACATACACAACATGTAAATTATTGCACAAGAGAAAGGCTCAAAGTTTGCGTAAAATGCAATAGTATTGCCCCATACAGATCATGCATTCAAACGGTGAGAACATAAAGGAAAAAAAAAAAAAAGGAAAAAGAAAAAAGAAAAAGAAAAAGAAAAAAAACAGGTGTGCTGGTGACAAGCACTCTCATATTCTTAGCTTCGTTACTTCTGTTTGTTTGTTTGTTTGTTTAAATCACATGGGACTAGAAAAAAATCCTACAGGGAGTGGGGCTGGAGGGCGATGGGGAAGGGGAGTGGTGAAAAAGGGGGTGTCAGGTGGGAGTGAGGGAGGGGTATTAATATACCTCTATTCAGTTTTTATATCATTATTCAACACTCGATCACTGTGCCATTTTTTCATGTGTTTCTCCAGGGTACTGTACACGCTAAAAGGCATCTTACAAATTTCACATTTGTAAACGTCCTTCCCCACCTGGCCATGCGTTTTCATGTGCCTGGTGAGCTTGCTACTCTGGGCACAGGCATAGTTGCACAGCTCGCATTTATAAGGCCTTTCGCCCGTGTGGCTTCTCCTGTGGACAGTGAGATTGCTACAGTTCTTGAAGACTTTCCCACAGTACTCACAAGTGTCGCTGCGTCTGCCCTCTTTTGAGCTGGGCCTGCCCGGGCCCGGACCACTAATATGGGGCGTGCTCCCTCCACTTCCCGTGCCGCTGCGCCCCGAGATCCCTCCGTCCAGCTCCCCGGGCGGTGTGGAGAAGCGCAAACTCCCGTTCTCCGAGGAGTGCTCCGACGAGGAGGCAAAAGGCGATTGTCTGGAGTCTCCGAAGCTAAGGAAGGGATCTTTGAGCTGCCTGGAGGCCGCGTAGCCGGCGAGCCACTGCGAGTACACGTTCTCCGTGTTGGGCATCGCGGCCGGGGGCAGGTCGAACTCCTTCTCGAGCTTGATGCGCTTAGAGAAGGGGCTCAGCGAGCTGGGGCTGCCCAGCAGCAGCTTTTTGGACAGGCCCCCCGAGGCCGACTCGCCCGGGGAGCAGCCGCGGCCATTAACAGTGCCATCGTCTATGCGGTCCGACTCGCCGGCCACCGAGTCTTCGTCGCAAGTGTCCCTGTGGCCCTCGGCCTCGGCCAGGTGGCCGCGCTTATGCTTCTCGCCCAGGACCTGGTGGAAGGCCTCGCTGAAGTGCTGCATGGAGCTGAGCACCATGCCCTGCATGACGTCGGGCAGGGCGCGGCTCTCGTCGCCCACGCCCACGACCGCGCCCCGCGAGCTGTTCTCGTGGTGGCGCGCCGCCTCCAGGCTCAGCCCGAAGCCGTAGTCCACCCTCTCGCTCTCCGTCAGCTCCTCCTCCTCCTCTTCCTCCTCTTCTTCCTCTTCCTCGTCGTCCTCCTCTTCCTCCTCGTCCCCGTTCTCCGGGATCAGGTTGGGGTCGTTCTCGCTCTTGAACTTGGCCACCACGGACTTGAGCGCGCTGCTGGCGCTGCCCACCAAGTCGCTGGTGCCGGGTTCCGGGGAGCTGGCGGTGGAGAGACCGTCGTCGGACTTGACCGTCATGGGGGACGATTTGTGCATGTGCGTCTTCATGTGGCGCTTCAGCTTGCTGGCCTGGGTGCACGCGTGGTCGCACAGGTTGCACTTGTAGGGCTTCTCGCCCGTGTGGCTGCGCCGGTGCACCACCAGGTTGCTCTGAAATTTGAACGTCTTGCCGCAGAACTCGCATGACTTGGACTTGACCGGGGGCTGGGAGGGAGGAGGGGCGGATTGCAGAGGAGGGAGGGGGGGCGTCGCCAGGAAGGGCGGCTTGCTACCTGGCTGGAATGGTTGCAGTAACCTTTGCATAGGGCTGGGCCGGCCTGGGGACAGCGGTGGGCTAGACGTGTTCCCTGCCAGCTCTCTAAGTCTCCTAGAGAAATCCATGGCGGGAGGCTCCATAGCCATTGGATTCAACCGCAGCACCCTGTCAAAGGCACTCGGGTGATGGGTGGCCAGGGCCATCTCTTCCGCCCCCAGGCGCTCTATGCGGTGGGGGTCCAAGTGATGTCTCGGTGGTGGACTAAACAGGGGGGGAGTGGGTGGAAAGCGCCCTTCTGCCAGGCCGGAAGCCTCTCTCGATACTGATCCTGGTATTCTTAGCAGGTTAAAGGGGTTATTGTCTGCAATATGAATCCCATGGAGAGGTGGCTGGGAAGGACATTCTGCACCTAGTCCTGAAGGGATACCAACCCGCGGGGTCAGGGGACTTCCGTGTTCGCTTTCTAAGTAGATTCTTAATCCATGAGTGTTCTGTGCGTGTTGCAAGAGAAACCATGCACTGGTGAATGGCTGTTTGCAAGTTGTACATGTGTAGCTGCTGGGCTCATCTTTACCTGCAAAATAATACAACACCAACATCAATGTTTAATCACTGAGGCGGGCATCAGCAATTGCTTATTTATGTTCCACCTCCAGCCTTCCCTGCCCCCACCCCTCAACCCCAAGGCCTAAGCCCTCACTGACCTACCCCCTGTGCCTGGCACGTCTGAGCATGGGTACCCAGTAAATATTGGTCCAATTGATCTTCCTGCCATTAAACTCAGTTCTAGAAATTTTATATCCAATCCCCAAAGCAGAAAAATCCTGACCAGTTCTGGCTTGAGGATGAAGGTCCCTACATTCTAGGCACCTCAACAAATGTCTTCTAAACTTTCCAGTTCCATCAGCTGTAGTTTGGGGCAAGCCATCTCATCTCCATGTGCCTCTGTTTCCTCCTTGTTAAGTGAGAAACTTGGACAAGGTGACCCAAGGAAACTTTTTGGCTTCCTAAATCCCAGCTTTCTATTCCCCCCTGGGTGACAGGTGAACTTTCTAAATAGGCAAACATTTCATAGAGGTATCAAAAAAGGGGAAGAAGGTCAACTCACTACAATGTTCTATGGCCCTAAAGATGCTTTCAGCATTAGCCTGAAACACACTAATTGTTGATATTGTTAAAATGAGAGGGTACTCATAAAATACTTCCGTGGAAAAAAGACTAGCAACATTCTCACACCCCAGACTGTGGGAGGATCAGTGAGTCCCAATTTTGGTTCCACAACACCCCATGGGGACGTCCATTTTTATCTCAAAGAATGTTTAAAAAATCTGAAAGAAAAACTTCATTCAGATTTAACGGATAGGCTGTATCCAATCTTTAGGAGTTGTCCCCCGGTCAGACAAATGCAAGTCTGGAAAAGTTAGGAGGAGTGGCTGGTGCCGACTTAAGCAGACACAGCATCCTAGTTTAAGGAACAGTTAAAACAGCCAGCGCCATGACAGGCAGCAGGCTGAGAAATGCTACACTATCCTCCTCCTCATTGTTTTGAGAGGCTAACAACGTGAACCAAATTATACAACATCCTGCGCCCTCGGCTGGGACTCAGCTCCAGTTGAGAAAGAAACAGAAAGATACAGTTCAGCTAGTCAACTCTGGCCAGTAGCCAAGCCGTCTGGAGAGGGGCCCTGCTTAAGTCACATTATTTCCCTTGCTGAAAAGAACCCAAGAGTGGTAAATGCCACTTTGGCAAAGAAGGGCCAGCTTGACTTCACAAAATATTTCATTTGGGGAGATGGCTAAATTAAATATATATGGGGAGATAGCTACATTAAATATATATATATATGGAATAACTGACCAACAGTTTACTAGTCAACTGCAACATTAAAAAGGGCAGAAGTAATGGTAGCCAAAGGACGAGGATGAGAAAAACAAAACTTCCCAGAGATTCTGAAAAAAAAAGCCTTAAAATATAACTGAGAAATAACAAACTTTTCTCCTTCTTTTAAAAGAAGGGCTGCAAGAGTTCTTTAAGGCCACAGCTAGTATTTGTCAGTAACTTTCTAAGAAGGAAAAAAAAAAAAAATCTACCAGGGAGGTTAAGAGTGAGAATGAGGAATTAATCAATTATATGATGCCTCCATTTAGCAAGTCAGAAAGAAAAGCCGGCAGGGTCTTCTCAGGAGCCCCCAAACACTGGTATTCCAAAATAAGCCAGCCTCGCTCAAGCACTTGTCTAAATAATGGACTCCTGCCCTGACCTTGTAATTTACTTTACAACGCATTTATAATCCCACTCAATATATCTCACTCCTGGGTAAATCTCTTAAACAAGATTAGATGGTAAGATACCAAAATTAGGTTTCAAACATTTGTCTAATGTGGAAGGGGGAAAAAAGGCAGAAAGATTTTGAAAGAAAACGCTGACATTAGTATCACATTATCTGCCTATTTTTGTTTGCCTCCTCTCTTCAAAGGGAAATAAAAAGCTTCATTGAGAACATTTTTATAAATTTTTTGTTGTTGTTGAACAATAACTTGGGTCCCAAATAGGCTGGAAAAAAAACTATCTGGTTCCAACTACATGATCCTCTGTGGCTTCCTCCTTGTCCTCCCTAGATCTCTGGGTGACTATCATTCCTATTTAGCCTGACGATCTGAGTTGGGCAAGTAAAAAGATTTGTCTGATAATCCAAGTCCTTAACACGTTCATCACTCCAAATGCCTTAAAATTATATTTTACCTTATAAAACATCGATTGAAATCCAGGACTAGACTCATAATTAGTGGTGCTGGTTTCACATGTGCCATGAATTGTAGTCATTGATAAATGCCAAAATCTGTGGCATACAGCACTACATCAAGGATCTCATTTGTATCCTTTCAAAAAGGCTTAAATGAGAAAAGTCCATTTTATTTTGCTGCCCTGAGCATCCTAAACTTTTTTTCAGAGCCAGTTATGTGATCATGCTACAGTATGTTAACACTGTGATGTTATCCTCCCCTCTCTCTCATACATCAGGTCAGAGAAAATGGCATTTTATCTTATAATGAGCATACAACATACAGTTTTCACTATCGCATTTTAGTATTCCCATCAACTAGATATTCTAGATCATGAGGGCAGCTAGTGTAATCATAATGTCAATGAGAAGGGCTGTTACGATTGAGACTAAAGATTACATGGAGAGAGCTGCTTTGAAACTGGTAATTATTACCAGTCCACTAATAGCAAATGATGCATTACAATTTCACCATATAATCTGTATTTCACTCAGCTCATGCCGGTGTACCATATTATATTACAGTGCTCACAGATTCTAAATTCCTAAACTGCAGTCATCAATAAATGTGTTACTTGCCATAATTTGTGAAATTACTTTGTTCATAACATCTTTGATGATTTAGAAAGACTGGAATTGATTTCCTGTGTGGCAAAATTAGGGCTACATTGATTTATTGATGTGTAAAATATAATAATATTCTTCATTTACTCTGATGAAAATCAACTTCTCAATTTGAGAGCCTCATTGGGCATTTACGGGGATTGTTTTGATTTAGAGCAATAAACTGACACCTGGCCCCTAAGCATAGGAACTTGAGACATCAAAAGGGTTAAAATCAGCTATTAGCCCACCTACTGGCTTTTATTTTATTTCATTTTACTTTATGGGAAGGAATGACCCCCATTTCTAGTATGTCACCAATGTGAAAAAGTCATGTGATCTAAGCCTCAAGATTCAGAAGAACAAGGAGGTCTGAGACTGGAGGCCTAGCTCTATTATCCACTAGATTGTAACTCTGGGATAGTCATTTGATTTCTCTGAGTCTTGGAATTCCTATCTGTAAAATGAGCATAAAAACAGTACCTGTAAGAATTGTTGGGAAGTTCAAATGACAGAAGTATATAAAAGCCCTCTGTAAACTATCAGGTCGAATGTGAATGTGAGTTTTCATTACTACCAGGGGTGATTAATTACTGAGGGTAATGACTAACCACATTACACACCCCGAACGGCTTCCAGAGGAAGGTCCCAGTCCAGGCCTTAACCCAGGCCAAAAGGAGGCTCTAGTTAAAGAGCAGGGGTGACTGGCACACAGCAGAGTGGCCACAGGGAAGTGCTATGAGCTCTGGAAGCCAGGGGCAGCAGGTTAATGCCGCCAAGTGGAATGGGCATCAGGTTTGTTCTAGAGCTTTCTGGACCCCCACAACCCACTTCCACATACCTTGTTCTGGTCACTCCTAAATTGGTCCTGCCAGCAGGGGCACCAGCAAACTATGTACCCTCCCTTTGTGGGAAGGTGGGAGAGGACAGGGGTTCCCTATCAAGCTCAGACTTTCCTACCAGTCAAATCAAACTCCCAGCCCTCAGGAAGACCAGGCTGAAGACCGAGAACTATGTTTCCCTGGCAACAGCCCTTGGCCTCTCAACTCCACCCTCCTCTGAACTGCTCAACTCCCTTCTATCCCTTCCCTCCAAAAGTGGCTCCGTTTCCACAGCCCCATGCAGGCCCCAGATGCCCCCAGCAACAGGAGAGCTCTCCCCACCCAGCCAGCATGCAGGGACTAGAAACCGTGAGCCCAACCTCCTAAACCTTCTGCAATCTGTGACCTAACCCAGGCTTAGGCCCAGCTTGGGGGAAGGGAGCAGATGAGGTGCTTTTAACCCCTGAACCACCCAGCCCTCAGGACCTGAGGGCTTATGAAATTCACACAATAACTCTTTGTTACCTAGGATTACCTAGGAGTTAACAAAAATAAACAACTGGCTTTGAATCTGGTCTCAGGGTGCATGCCCTGCTCTTCAGATACCATTTACAAGATGGGTAAGTGTCATCTCCCTCCCATCTAAAAACAGTCCCCCTTAGAGCCTTAACTCTGGCATCTTGCTCTTTGTTATTCTCTCTCCATGACCTTTTTCCTTTTCTTTTTTTTTCTTTCCACAGCAGGTTATTTTTCATTTACTTTCAAATAAAAATTAGATGTCACACTTCTTTTCTTCTTGAACCTGCTTTTTTGTGTTTAGGGTGGAATCACTGCCCACCCCCTAACCTTTTAGCCATGCATGATTCATACCATGTGTTCCTACACAGAGAAGCAAACTGTATTATTTTCTAAAACAGTATCTTTCAGAAAACATTTGTATAAATGGACAAATTTAAGTTTCATAAAATGGTCCCTACTATAAAAGCTCACTTGAACAAGTAAATGGTGGTGGCAGTGGTGGTGGTGGTGGTGGTGGTGATGATGGTGGTGGTAGTGGTGGTGGTGGTGGTGATGGTGGTGTTGGTGGTGATGGTGGTGGTGGTGGTGGTGATGGTGGTGGTGGTGGTGGTGATGGTGGTGGTGATGGCGGTGATGGTACTGGTGATGGTGGTGGTGGTAGTGATGGTGGTGGTAATGGTGGTGGTGGTGATGGTGGTGGTGGTGGTAGTGATGGTGGTGGTAATGGTGGTGGTGGTGATGGTGGTGGTGGTGGTAGTGATGGTGGTGGTAATGGTGGTGGTGGTGATGGTGGTGATGATGGTGATGGTACTGGTGGTGATGGTGATGGTGATGGTACTGGTGATGGTGGTGGTGGTAGTGATGGTGGTGGTAATGGTGGTGGTGGTGATGGTGGTGGTAATGGTGGTGGTGGTGATGGTGGTGATGATGGTGATGGTACTGGTGGTGATGGTGATGGTGATGGTACTGGTGATGGTGGTGGTGGTAGTGATGGTGGTGGTAATGGTGGTGGTGGTGATGGTGGTGGTGGTGGTAGTGATGGTGGTGGTAATGGTGGTGGTGGTGATGGTGGTGATGATGGTGATGGTACTGGTGGTGATGGTGATGGTGGTGGTGGTGGTGATGGTACTGGTGGTGATGGTACTGGTGGTGATGGTGGTGGTGGTAGTGATGGTGGTGGTAATGGTGGTGGTGGAGATGGTGGTGTTGATGGTGATGGTACTGGTGGTGATGGTACTGGTGGTGATGGTGATGGTGGTGGTGGTGGTGATGCTACTGGTGGTGATGGTACTGGTGGTGATGGTGGTGGTGGTAGTGATGGTGGTGGTAATGGTGGTGGTGGTGGTGGTGGTAGTGATGGTGGTGGTGGTGATGGTACTGGTGGTGATGGTGGTGGTGGTAGTGATGGTGGTGGTAATGGTGGTGGTGGTGATGGTGGTGGTGGTGGTAGTGGTGGTGATGGTGGTGATGGTACTGGTGGTGATGGTGGTGGTGGTAGTGATGGTGGTGGTTGTGGTGGTGGTGGTGATGGTGGCAGTGGTGGTTGTGGTGGTGGTGGTGATGGTGGTGGTGGTGGTGGTGATAGTAGAGCCTTCACATTTTAACTACAATGATGTGCATTTTTCTCTAAAACCAGGAGAAAAATTAGTCAAAATTATGTGTGGGCATGAATATACAACATATACTATGTTCAAATACACATGTAAATACATAAGGAATATGCATTGGAATAACTCTGGAATAACCCTAAACTGACTCCTTTTGATTCTGGCCTTGGCTAAAGATGTGTGCCATGGACTATACCCAAAGTCCTAAATGAGGCCACAGGAGTGAATGTCCAGTAATAAAATGGGCTCCAGAGGCACAGGCATCTTCAATCACTAGCCACGGAGCAAGACAAGACCCTGGGGAGAAGACCCACAGGGATGAGCTACTATCAGCTCCCAGCCTCCAGTGAGGAAAGAAAAAGGGGAGGGAAGAAGTCCCTCTGGGGCTGAGTGGAGTGGGGAGCGGCTGCCAAGTGAGTAATGGAATAATACATATGACAATCTATTTTGGAAGTAACTCCTTCAGTACTTAAAAAGTAAGGGCAATTTCCAGAAATTCTCATCTCTATACACATGGACATTTGTAGAAGAAATAAGGCTCAACTTACAAATACCCTGCGGGGCATATTCTGCACTCATCCCAGGCGTGGGGATTAGAGCTCCATGTGCAGAACGAGGGGAGGAGAGGCCCCTCCAGTGCAGAAGTTTATCTGTGAAAGAAACCCAAAATCAAGCACTACAGCTACAAACAACGTGCATCATAAACCACAGGATATCACATTTCAATTCCATTAAAATAGATTACAACATCATTACAACAGCCTTGCAGATAGTTAACAGGCCCAAGGCCTGAAACAAAAGAAGAGTGGTGAGTTATTTCCCAGAGTTTCTGTTTTGTTTTCAATTTCGGTCTTTTTGACAAAAGTGAAAGGGTTTGTTTTAGGAAAGGGGAGAGGTGGTCTTTGGTTCATTTGCTTATTTATTTGTTGTTGTTTGATTATTGTCTTGTGGAAAGAAGATGTGTAAGCAGCAAGGGGAAAACTGGTAATATTGTGGGTAGCCTGGAAACATGGGGGGATTTTATCTGCAAGGCTGGTTTACATGCATACATTAACTTTACTTTATAGACAAACCCAAGCAAAAAGCAAAATGCTGATAGGAAATGAGTAGATTTGTGAATCGTTTTTTATGGGACAGAGTCCCACTTTGCTTTCTCTGTCCCTCTGCCCCCCTCTTCCCATGCTATATTTATGATAGCGCCTTCAGTGATAGGGGAAACCTGGGCATTTCTGGACTGAGCTGGGCCATACTCTAGAATCCTGTCAACTGGAAACCTTACACAGATGTGGCTTCTCACAATACAAAGCAATGGAAGATAAAGATTAGACTTCTGGGGTCCAAATAACTTTGACCATTAAATGACAAGGAAAGAACCAGCATTCCAATAATGCCAGCACCCAGAAACCCTGACCCATCTTCACCATTTTACTGCACTTTGTTGTACTCTGGTGAAGACAAGTGACTTCTCACACTAATAAAATGAATCTAATAGTCAATGAAACATTTGTAGCACTGAGATTTTTTTGAGAAGAGGAAAATTTGGTTTGTGCAATCTGGGGATTTTACGGTTTATGTGGTAAGTGCCTAGCTTTTCCAAGTCCTCCTCTAGCTAACTAACCATGTAGCTGTCCATCTTGAGACAGACTGGAGGATAGATGGTGCAGGAGACGCTCTGTGTGTTCTAGAGGTTTGGAGTTCATGATGATTGGGGAGGGCGGGAGACAAGAAAAACAGACTTTGATGGTGAACAAACAGTATGTTTTCCATTAGCTTAATATTAAGAGCACTTAGAAGTGTTGTTGTTGTACTCTAGGATAGCAGGTCTCAAGTGTAAAATACATCCTGTTCTCCTTATATAGAGCACACTGCCAAGCACAGCCAAGGCAGTTGGGACAAGATTTCCTTTCGCAAGGAGCCTGGTGGGTAACGATGGTGTGCTGCTGAGAAGGCTCTTACACAGACAGCATAGGTCTGCTGTTACCAGGCCTGCAGAGGGAAGCCCTGGTGGAAGCACCACCTAGCCTGAGAACATCTACAGAGACATTTCATCCTCTCTGACCCAAAACAAAATAAACACCACAAAGTGAACCAACACAAGCAGGAAGACCGGACTTAACAAACAAGTATGTCTACATTTGACTGTTTACGTCAAGTGAATTGAGAGTGTGGCGTAAAATTACTACAGATTTTGTCATGGTATTTTTCAATGAGAAATCTGAGAATCCATCTTTGCACTTGTTTTTGCCTCAGCCGTTCACTAAGTTTGCTGCCAAAACAGACATCCTTTTCTTAGGAAACACAGGCAACCCAGGTATCTCTGTGATCCCAGCATAAACGCAACAGGTACTTGGATCCTTGTATGGGGAGTATCAAATTTCAAATTCTCTGCCACTTACTCTGGGAAGAGACCCTGAAGTGCTTCAGCAGGCCTCCAGCAAGAAATGGGAGAACTGCTAACCTAATCCATGCCTAGCCCCTCGCATGAATCTCTTGTTGGCAAACTTGTCTACAAACCCATTAGCCCTAAACAAGCTGACGGCAGGACCAGATCTCTACAGTGTCTGGCCGTGTGGCAAAGTGAGGTCTCATCTGACTATCTGGCAGCATAGTTTGTTTTTGTTTTTGTTTTTGTTTTTGTTTTCTAAGTTGTAAAAAACCCTAGCTATCATCAAGTCTGTCCCTTCATTTTACAGATGGGGAAACTGAGGCCATGAGAAATTAAGTGACTTGCCCATGGCTACACTGATGATTAACCACAATGTGAAGATTAGAATTAATCTCCTGACTCCTGATCCAGTGGTCTTTCCTGGGAATTTGTCTCTTCCCCCCTGCTGCTCCTGCCGTGGTCTTCACTGCCCAACAAGAAGGTCCTGTTTCTACTGATCCATTAAGCAGTACTTAACCGTCTTGGGGGAGGGTCCAGCCCAGCAGCGCTACATGGGGCTTTCGAAAGGTGCCAATGAACTGACTTGGTCTCACAATTGGAAAACAAGGCCTGCTCTGCTGCCTGGGCCTCCTGGCCTCACCTTTGCTGTGTTCACCCTCTACCTCTGCTTCCCCTGCAGAATTAGACAGCTAAAAACATTTCTATCAGCCTAAGAAGCTATTTACTTTAGAAAAAAAGCACACTGTCTTTGTGAGACTCACCCTTGCATTTATCTTCCTTCAGGAAGAGGGTCAAAGCAAAGCCAACTGGGGACCCCAGCTGATTCTGCTGCTTCTTCCACTAAACACATCCATAATATTCTCTTTGGTAAGTAAAATCGACATTCCCACATGAACTGGAAATGCTAAATTGTTAATAGCCTCCCTAGGGCTTAACTTCTTGCTATGATGCCTTCAATTATTTCATCACGGCTTAGGCAAAGTAAAGTATCACAATTAATGCTTCTGAGCGTCAAACTCGAGGAGCAGCTCTGCCTTCCCAGGCCAAGGTGGGGAAAAGGAGCTGCCCCTGGTTGAGGGCCTCTTCTTTTCCCACCTTCGCTTTCATTCTCCCCAGCCAGAGATGGGCTCTGGTTGCTGGCTAGGAAGTGGGTGATCTAGTTATGTCCTCTTTTTTTCTTTGTTAGTGCTCTTAGGCAAGTGATTCTCACAGCGCAGACCCAGGCCCACCCCCGATCAGCATCACCTGGGAGTTTGTTCAAAATGCAAATTCTTGGGCACCACCTCAGACTTACTGAATCAGAAATTGAGGGTGGGGAAGCAGCCTTCTATGTTGAATAAATTCTCCAGGTGATTCTCATGCACACTCAAGCTGAATCAGCACTGCTGTCTTAGGGTAAGGGAAGTATGAACGCTGGAAGCTTTGAAATTCCCTGGGCAGAGACCCATGGGCCATGAGGCTGTTTTCCCTCCTGTCCAGGACCCACCTCCTTTAGGACTGGAACAGTCAAAAACAAATTAAGCTTAGGGAATCCCTAAGGATCCCTCCATTAGGAAATTCAGGTTCCACCCTCCGTCTGTCATTGATAAGGACAGGGAACAGGTCCAGGCTCTCCATCAGGTCCAGGGCCTTCTTAGCATGAGACAACACCCAAACCAGCTTGTGCCAGACAGATTGTGTCCTCACTGCTTCCATTAAAGCCGACATGTCAGCGAACGCAGCTGTGGCAACTGCACGGACACAGCAGGAACTGGACTCTTGTTTCCCTTTCTGGTCTCTCAAATGGGACACATTTCCCTTTTCTGACTCAATCTTTTTTCAAATGTCTTACACTTTTCTGGTGGAAGGTGTTTCAACCTGTTCTATTTCATAAAGGTCTCTCTAGACCCAGTATTTCCACTTGGGGCCTCAGAAATGCCTTACACATTATTAGGTTGCAAAGTTTCCTTATGGCTGAATTTAAAAATAGTGACTCTTATTTTTCAGGTTTCATTAAAAAATATGCAGCAAACTGGGAATGGCTTTGATTTAATGTTATACATTTGGTCACTTTACATTTCTACATATATTGGGTACCAACTTTTGACAAAGAGCTCTAAGCCCAGTGGGATGTTCCTGGAATTTAAGTCATTAAATCAAGTTTTTTGGTTTCCTCAAGAACATCTCAAAGATTCCTTGACTATTAACATGCTATTTGTTTCTGAAACTAATCACTGGGTGTGTAATACAGCCACATTACTGTCTACTAATCAACAGGTAATACTGCAGATTTCCAAATGTGCCAAAACAGCTAAGCAAAAAGCATCATTCCAACACGTTTAATGACTGCTTTGGGAGCCCAACTTTAACAGGTATTAAAACCACAGGACTCTCCACAGGAGTACATAGATGTGTGCTATTCACTAAAATGTACGTGTGTGTGTGTTTGCAAGCATTTATGTGTACATATGTGTGTTAGCGTGTGCATGCATATGTGTTTGTGAGCATGTGCATGTGTGTATATTGTGACTGTGTGCATGTGTGTGTATGCTTGTGCATGTGTTAGCATGTGCATGCACATGTGTGTTAGCGTGTTCATGTGTGTGTATATGTGAGTGTGTGCATATGTGTCTGTGTACGTGTGTGAATGTGTGTATATTTCCTAAACATATGTTTTTAGATAATTTCCCTGTTTTTTTTTTTTTTTCAGTGAGACAGGCACAAAAGCAGTAGAGCTGTCCCACGTGGAATGGGCTATCTCGTGACACTGTGACCCCCTTTCTTTCACCCTGGGTCTTCAAAAAGAGAATGGATGACACTATGATGAGGAGGGGTCTCTATATTGGTGACAGGCCAAAATACAGGACTACCTACAGTCCTTTCGCAGTCCATAATCCTCAAGTCCCTCAGCTCTTCCATGTACCACCTTCTAGACTACACTTAAAATGCATCCTGAACGTTTGTAAAGTACCCTGAAGGAACCCATTCCAGTTCTGAATCCGATTACTAGGTTCAAGCCACACAAATAACAACAGTGCAGCTAGTCTGAGCTAGAGGCTTCTTTACCTAACTGCAAAGTAAATGTCCTTTCTATTCAGCCGCATCTAGCTCTTGACCCTATGTTTACCATAGATACCAGTTCTTCTCACTTAGATTCTCTGACTTATCAGAGTATTATAGAGCAAACATTAGCTATGCCTGTGACTTGAGTTGTGTCAATCTGTAATGAAAATGTGCCAGCTTTATCATCACTCACAGACTTCTTAATTAACCTTCTGATATTGTCAAAATCGCACTCTCTTTTGTTCTAGAAATGAGCATTTACATGTGCATTTTTTTTCCTTCATTGCTTTTTTACTGGCTGTTTTACCAAATCCTGATGTTCTTTAAAAAGTGTATTCTGCAAAAACAAAAGAAAGCAATAATTATAGACACTACAATATAGAATTTCTTCCCTGAAACTCTCTCATGGTCCTTAGATTCCTTGATACTTCACCAGTGACTTTAATAACATCAATCACTCATTTTAAAACTCTTTTTTGATCAATGCTATCCTCTTAGAGCCTTGATTACTCAAACAACAGGTTACTAACTTCACCTTTTAAGAGTTCTCCTCCTAGGCTTTTTCTCAATAAAGGGAGGAAGTAGAGATGACATTTTGCGTGCCCCTTTATCTATAAAAATGCCAGCCACCAATCTGTCAGGCCTAAACAAAATTTTTCTGCAAGCTGTGTCTTTAACATAAGCAAAGCATATAATTCCAAAAAAAAAAAATCTTGCTTTTCTGAAAAGCAACTAAGCCAAAGACATTGTGTTCCATCTTTGTGTTGAAATGCAGATTTCCCACTAAAAGGCAAATCCTTCATTTCAAAAGGTTGAATAGGATGGTACTTAAAAAAAGAATTCCAGCTGGTTAAATTTAGGGTGTTAAAAAAAGTTCACTCCAATAATATTCTTTGGCTCTGGGCCCAAAGTATTTTCACTTGATCGTGAATTAGATAAATTTTTATTACACTTTAAGCTTTTGCCTTAGAATGGCGGAACTTATCTAGGAGACTGAGAGGGCAGCTGCATAAAAAGACAAATTGTCTTAGGACAATTTTTTTTTGTTTGTTTAATCACATACCTCACTATGCAAAATGTGTGTTCCCAGGATAAATTCCATTCATTCATTCTCTCATGCATTCATTCAACCTCTCATGCATTCATTCAACAAATATTTACCGAGTGCCTACAATGCCCAAAGCAATGGGCTAGCCGCTGTGGGCAGTACAAAGAAAACACGGACACAGATTTCTCCCACAGCAGGCTTCATTTAGTAGAAAAGGTAAGGCCTGCACAGAAATTGCTCTACCCCCATGTAGAAAGTGTGTCATGAGAGAGGTACAGATGAGCTGCTATGGAAATTCAAAGGAAGAGAAATTATTTCCATTTGGAAGGGAGGGAGAGAGGCTTTGGGAAAGAGGAAAACTTATGAGTTAAACCTGGAGAGCCAAGAGAAAGGATATCCTAGATAAAAAGAAAAAGCAGGTAAAGATGCTTAGAGAGAAGCAAAGCCCAAGGTGGGCACAGAGTAAATGGGGCCCAATAGGCGGTTACATTCACATCAAAATATTGCACACTGATTCATCCAGTTGACAGCGGAGGATACGACCATCTAAATAAATCCTCTGAAGATTTCTGTGACATCTTCAGCTTTCACAAGTGCGTATTTTCCAATTTCACATTTTCTGAAAATAAGGGACACAACCATGTGGACTCTTGTGAAACTCCATGAAGGTTCATCTGTTCTGTTTTCCCCCCACCTCAATTGTTTCTTCCCCCAATGAATGTGGGTGGCCCGCTAAGGCAAAATTTACTATGTTTTATTCCTCTGAGTCAGACAAACAAGTGTTGATAGCCATGTTCTTCCTTGCAATACTGCCTCCCTGGCTTAAATAATCTATTTCAGATGTCTCATTGCCAGTTTAAGATGGGCTTGTACTTGCTGACACATTTTCAACAAATGACTGTGCAAGAAACATTGAGATTTTCCTACACTACTTTGTCTCTTCAATCATCAACTTGACCATCCCTCCAAATTTCCCCTCTTTCTTCTTTTCAAAGCCATGGGGAGGATAGGGGTGCCCTTACTCCTGCTCTGAGTCCTCAGCTGAGGATCTTGTTTGTGTGTAGTGGGGGCAGGGGGAGGGGTGTAGCCTTGCCTCTATCCGAGGTATTTATCAGGTTATTTGGGAGCTACTTTCAGAGATGCCCTTGCTCTATGTATTCCCACTGCCACCACTCCCCGGATTCTTTTCTTCCTTTAGGAAGCAGGGACTTGTTCCTCTGGAGAGACTGCTAGAGGAAAGTCAGGAACCTAAGTTCTGCAACCCCAACTCTGCCACTCACCAGCTGTTTCGTGACTTTGAATAAATCCTTTCTTTCTGGCCCTAAGTGTTTCCATCTTTAAAAGGAGAAGACTGGATTAGATGGGGTGGCTTCTCTCTCCTGCCTCCCATGCAAGTCCAGGCCTCCTTTGGACCAACCAAGAGACCTACTATAGGCCGTGCTAGAAGCTGGCCAGGATACACCTGTTCCCCTCATGACCTTGACCTGGATGAGGAGGGCCTTATAGGAGAGTTCAGGGCTGGGCTTGGTCCCCAGGCTAATCCTTAGGCTTAGAGAGTGAGCCTGATGATGGATTTCAACCTCCTGGGACACAGTCTTGCAAAGTTTACATGTCTGAGCTTCAAGGAGGAAACCTAGGTGTGTCCTGAGCCAATGAGACTGAAGGTCAGAGAACCAGGAAGAAACTTCCCCAAACCCAGGCTAAATGTCAAGGGAAAAGGTCTCAGTGGCTCATGCCAGAAGTCCAGTAGCAAAGCTCGGCCTCATGCCAGAGCCTGGCACCCATTGCTCACAAAGGCACACACAGGACTCTAAGAAAAGGGAGTCCTCTCCCCAGCCACCACAAACCAGGACAGCAAAGCCCAGCACCCTGTGGTCCTTGACCTCCCACCACACCCCATCAGCATGGAGGGTTCTTGGAAAGCCATGTGTAAAATGAATTTCTGTAAAATAAATCATATTTGCTAACCAACATAATTTCAGAGATGTTTCGTCACCCTTCCAGGCTCATTGAAAATTGGCAGGGCTTCTAACATTTTACCTTTTAAGTGTGTCTTCCTTCCCCCAACCCCCAATATCCTCTCTGTCAAGTAGTTAATGATCTGTAAACAAACACTTTAAATTCAGTGGGGGAGCTCACTATTTAAAGAAACCCTGTGGTGAAACCTTTTGAAAAGTTAACAATCTTTCTGTAATGTGAAAAATCACTCTCTAATTTATCAGTTTCCATTAATGAGATTTTTGTGTGTATTGGGCCTTCTGAAAGTGGGGCTCAACTGCAATCCATGCCTTTGTAGTTAGAAGGGACGATAAAAGACACTGCCCTGAACATATTTCTGTCACCCGAATTGTCCAGCTTCACACAAACGTATCACAAACACCCCGATGCCTCCCTGCCCCACTCGAGAAATGAAGAAAAGGATGGGAAATCATCATTTGGACACCTGGAAAGCCTTGCAAACCACACTTGCGTTTCTCCCAGGTTAAGTATTAGATACCTGAGGAAGGTGAAATACGCATTTTCAACTGAGCATTCAGGAAGAGGCATGGGGCTGTGAAGATGGATGCGATGAGAATGATCATTTGCAAACGTTTGATTCTGATAACACCTGCCAGAGCAGAGAAGGGCTTGTCTATCAAAGCCAGCAGAACACACAACTCCCAAATTACTCTGAAGACCACCCCAAGCCTTTTTATCTGCATCAACTCACAACAAATGTGCTTTATGCCTCTATATTATCATTTCGATCGGTCTTGAGAAAATACTAGAATAAGCTAAAGAAAACCAAACATGGGTGGAGGGGCAAGGGGAGGGATAGCATTAGGAGAAATGCCTAATGTAGATGATGGGTTGATAGGTGCAGCAAACCACCATGGTACATGTATACTTATGTAACAAACCTGCACATTCTGCACATGTATCCCAGAACTTAGAGTAAAATAAATAAAGAAAGAAAGAAAGAAAGAAATAATCAAACATGGTGTTTCCAAGAGACTCCTGATGTTTTGTTCGTGGGCACTGTGGAAACAGGGGCAGTGGTGCTGTGAGAGACAAGGGAGTGGGGAGCCATGGTCAGCAAGTGTGGGCAGCCCCAGCGACACTGCAGCCCGGCCAGGTGGAGGGCTTTCCTGACTTATCATCCAAGACTGGTCTGTGCACGGAGAAGGGGCCAGAAGAACAGGCAGCCCCAGGAAGGCTCTGTCAGGCCTCCCCCAAGGCCAACAAGCCCAGAGGAGGGCAAGGCCTCCAACTCTAGCCCTTCTTAAGGAAGCACATCTGTCCTGGCCTTTATGGAAAGCTTTTTTTTTTTTTTTTTTAATTGAGACATGGTCTCACTCTGTTGCCCAGGCTGGAGTGCAGTGGTGCAATCTTGGCTCACTGCAACCTCCGCCTCCCGAGTTCAAGCAGTCCTCCTGCCTCAGCTCTCAAGTAGCTAGGACTACAGGCATGCGCCACCACCACACCTGGCTAATTTTTGTATTTTTTGTAGAGATGGGATCTCACCATGTTGCCCAGGCTGGGTGGAAAGTGTTATGTTCTTCCCAAAGTACTCTCCTCACATCCTGCCCCAACAGTCGCCCTGTGGAATGAGGGAAGGTATTAGCCTCACCTCCCAGTGAGGAACTCGAAGATCTCAGAAGTGTCCTGCTGTGGACAGGGAGGACAGGGCTGGGCTTCAGGACCCTGCCCACCTTCTGACAAACCCCTCCCACTGCCACCTCAGGGCCGCGGCAGAAACCTGTCGTCTGGACACTGGTCATACAGCCCCTTTCAGGCAATCTCCTCACTTGCCTTTCTGGCACTATTGAGTGACTGGTGTGTGGACTTCAGGGGAAGCGTGGAAGGCACTTCACAGGCCTAATACTCTGTGACAGTCTTGGCCAAGAGATTCTGAGAACCAGAACTGGCCATTCTCCAGAATTAAAACCTATTATGTCCTATGGTTAACACAGAGCTGCTCAGAAATTATGAGAACTAATTTAAGGCTTCAAAGCTCTACCAAAAAAAATGGTCTAGCAGGTCAGGCTCTAACATTTCTTCAGGAATAAAACTAGGCTGCCCTCTCGCCTGAGGTGAGGCTGAATGAAGGAGCGCTCTGGTGCTGCGAGGCCAGGCCTCCTCCCATGACGGCAAGTCCTTCTTTCAGAAAACAGGCCTCTGCCCGGGGCATGCTGCAGCTGCTTCTCTGCAGTGCCTCAGCACCTTCCCGCCTCCCAGGCACACAGCAGCCCAGCCTCAGTCCTCATCTCTCTGGCAAAGTCCCACAGAACAAAACACAGGCCTTGGCTTTGACGTGCTTTGTTTTTTGTTTTTTTTTTTTCCCTCCTCCCTGGCTTTTTACCCAATTTCCTAATCCTTCATTTATACCACTGACCAATCTGGAAAGAGTTCCCTGAGCAAATTGGAGATGCCCGCAGATACAACCTGCCATCATTGGAGCAGCCTCAGTCCAGCCATGGGGTGTGGCACTGCCGTCTGTTCTTGGCTCTACTAATTCTGCTGATTCCATATGAGTAACATCCAATGTTCCCAGACACCTCCAAGCTCCTCCAACCAACAGCACAACATCTTCAACTCCTTTCTACCCACCTAGCAGGTCCACGTGGGGACTCAGCCTATGGACACCTGGCCTCTGCGGGCACAGCGGCCACACACCACGGTGGGACCCGGAGACCATTTTTTGTTTTGAGTCTCTCTAAGACTGCTTGGGAAATGAGGTCTCTCAGGTCTAGCATTTCCACGCAGTCCCAACCATGAGGCTGACCAGAGGCCACCAACGTCAAGCTCTCTCAGGTCTACTAGGAACAGGAAAGAATAACTCTCCCTTAACAAGCCCCTCAGGCTGAAATCCTTTTGCTTCCAGGGCCTCAACCTTCTACTGCTGGGTAGAAAGCCCCCTCTGTCACCGGCCCACAGATCTCAGCTGCCATCGCACTCAAACCCTGTCAGGCGGTGGAGAGTGTGGACGGCAGGCTGACGCGGTTTCAAAGAGGCCGACCAGGCAAGAACCGTCCTGTACTCCTGCCCCAGCTCTAATGCAATAAAATGTCTTTTATCAATGTAATTCAAGGCAAAGAGTCAAGGGTCTGTCACCATTTTAAAGAGGCTTATTACATGGCCACAAAAATTTGCCTCAGGCTCAAACCTGGCATGTAAGGTATCAGCGTGGGACAGGTTCTTTTGATTTTATTTTATTTTCTTACAAAATCTGAAAATGAAACGCTTCTGTCCCTCCCTTCCACCAACCGTTTTTTGATTTATGGGGAGGAGGAAAGAAATCTGAAGTTGACAGGTTGGGACAACTCCACTCAGCTTTCTCACTCAAAAGCTGCTTTTGTTAAATCATACTTTGCATTTATGGCCTGCGGCTCTTGGCTGACTTTGGCGGCTCCTCCGGTGTGGAGCAAGCTGTGGACTTCCCCGGGAGGAGGCCCCACTGAGATGACTGCCCCACTCTGCACCAAGGACAGCGAGGAGGGGGGAAGGTGGGGGTGGAGGAGCTGGAGGCCAGGGGGCTGGGGACATGAAGGCACTGGCTAGGTAACACAAAGGCCTGTAAAGGATATGTCTCTCTTCTGAACCTGGCTCTCCACTCCATTTCTCCTGGATCCAAGTCTCCCTGTAATCAGCATGTATCTACCACTGGTTCTCCAACTAAAAGTTCAAGGCTTCTAAGAACCAAGACTCAGTGGTCTACCTCTGACTGTCCAGCACCATGCTGGGCAAAGAAGAGCCCCTCAATAAATAATTAGGATTCAAGCGCTGTGCAGTGAACTTTTCTTCCTGTTGGAGAGCCATTCTAAATGACCTGGCTGGAAGGACCAGGCCATGGAGCCAGCAGTGACCAGGGGAAACCTTCCCTAGTAAATGATTCACTAACCAAGGAGCCTCTGGGTCAGCCTTGACCCAGGAGAGGATTACAGCCCCTTGAAAGTGGCTGCTGGTCCATCGCTTCACTGTACTATTTTGGCAATCTGTAATAGTGTATTTACTCAATGGTTGTTATGGACAATCAGGTTAATCATTCACTTTCCAAATGCTGTGTAATTACACAGTTAAAAGAGCTACAGCGGATGTCAAATTTCCTTAAGTCTTCTGGTGAATTGGTCTCAATTACTAGTCTGGGTCCCTTTCTTCCTTCCTCTCTCAATTTGTTTTAGCAATCCTCCACATTTTCCTCTATTCTCATCCCCTACCTGCACCCCCATCTCTGTCCCAAGAGAAAGAACAGTGTGAAGTACCTCCGCTTGAATAATCCTATTTTTGAACTCATAGTTCTAAATAGTTTTTGCTCCACTAAAAGGGCTTAAAAATAAGGCTAGGAAGCTAGACCTGGGAGGGGCATTACAGGCTGGCTGGAAGCCCCCAGCTGCCTCCCTGCCTCAGATGCAGGGAGAACACCTGCAGCCACCCACACCTTGTCACCCAAGTTGCACTAGATCCTGGTACAGCCCAGTGGTGGCCGCAGCTCAGGGAAGAAAGAAGGCAAAGCCCTGCTGTGCTCAAGGAGATTGAGGCTTCCCAGCCCCAAAACTGGGAAGGGCCCTGGAATGGGATATCCCCTCCCCTCCCAGCACCCCATTCCCAAACCTAGCCACCCATCTCTGCTTGGGACATGCTGGAAGGCAAGAAGAGAGAAACAAGTAACTCCTTGAAAACAAAAATGAAGCAGGGATCCTAGGAAAAGTAAAAACATTCAGAACCCAGGGCCTTCTCTCTGTCTCCCACGACCTACACCAGGCCCTTCGCACCTCTGCTTTGCGGCTTTAACGCACTACACCCCACCCACCACAAGCACATACACATGCTCTCAGGAGTCAGAGGGTCACCCAGGGCTAGAACTTAAGCCACCCAGCCCACAAGCTGGCAGGTGAAGGAGGACAGGGATCAAGGTGACAGTGCTGTCCACGCTGGCCCCTGGCTAAGAGCAACTGCAGCAGAAACAGTGTTTCTTCTCCATTTCCATGGCTCGTGAATTTTTTTGTCTTGTTTTTCTTGACGCTCCACCCCCTACATCTTTCTTTTCCCCACATGCTCCAGCACATACAACTCAGGGCTCCAGTGTTTTAAGGGCATTTTTTTTCCACAAGTGAGATTAATTTTCTAACAGAACCCTAGTACATTCTGTGTGATGGTGGGAGAGCCTTTTGACCATCACAGTGTCCTGGAATGAGCTCAGCATGCTCTCTGGGAAGTGAATTGGGAAAGTGAATGGGGAAAAGCCTCAACACACAGACAGCCCCATGGAAAATTCTCCAGCTCAGGAAACCCACCTAGGTATAGAGACCTTCTCCGGAACCTCTGGTCTGTTCTAGTCCTGCTGTCAAAAGAAAGGGGTTGGACTGATGTTTCCCAGTGGAGGGCTTGTTTGTCATTTTTGGACCTAACATCCAGTTCATCAAGGTCACTTCTGACTCCCAGGAAGAGAGGCAGACCTGTTAAGGGGCGGGTGGTTTGAGCCACTTAGGACATTTTGGACATTTTGCATCTCTCATGATTCTATCTTGAGAGTTTAGTTTGGTTGGAGTTTAGTTTTTGAGTTTTTTGTTCGGGTTGTGGTTTCTCTTCCTCCATTAAAAAAAAAAATTGGAGCTGTATTTCTGTTTCCTGTTCACGGAGCGGACAGAAGGAGGGTGTGCAGTGGAGGAGGTGTGTGGGGAGGAGGCTGATACATGGAGCAGAGCCGAGAATATCCGGAACTGGAGAAAAGTGAGAAATGGAGCTTTTTTCTTGGCTTCCAAACAGTTGTAATTTCCACTGCCACTGCTTAGTTCCTGGGCACCAGGCATACAGAGTGGGAAAGGGGCATGTGACAACTTTGCCACAAATCAGGATTTGGCATTTAAATCCACAGGAAGCAAGAAGAATAGAGGGACTGCTTATTTATAGATTTGCAGATGAATGAGATAACCAAAATGCACTTCTCGCGTATGTGAAGGAGCAATTCCATTTTCAGACTTGGAAAGTTCTCCATAATTAAGTATCACCCAACCCTGAAAGCACACTGCATCCCAAGGTTAAGATCAGCTTCCTGAAAACAGGGCAGAAGACTGCTGCTTCAGTGGTAGCTCAAAAATTCTATTTTGAAGGACAGGTTAGTACCACACTACATTTAACTGGATTCAGTTCATGTGATTATACAGTGCCTTGCTTTCTAGAATGTGTAATCATCTCTTTCTGATGACATTTTAAATATCCAACTAGACAAATAATTGCAGCAATAATTGATAGCAGAGTCAAGCTGGAAGATCATTGATTGGCAGAGTCCCCACTGAAACAAATCTTTCTTTCAAACATTACAGAAATGATGATGTTTAAGTCTAACTTTTGCTGATAAATGCTCAAAATCTGATTTACTGATAAAGGCACTGCAAGAAAACCTGCACTTCAGCCCATGATTACTTTGCGAGATGTTTGAGAAGAATCAGGCAGTGTGATTTATATTATTTCCCATGAATAACTGCAAGGATAGTGTGGGTAGTTGGAGGAGAATCAACACAGGCGAGAGAAGTGTTGCTCCTTAATGCTACACTTCCTGAACAATGCTAGCCAACAATCAGGGTTTACAGCCGTTTTCCCCTCTAATATATATCCCGTGGTAGAGAAATGGTCTTGACAAGGGGAAGACCAGGAAAAGAAGACACACAAATAATCAGCTCCATTCAGGCCTTTGAAAAGTGGTTTAAATCGATGCCTCAAATTGGGACTCAAATTCCCCTGCCCAGTGCAAAGATCCCTGGCCAAGGTCAGAAGACTTGAGACCAGGCAAGTCCCAGATGATCTCAGGCAAGTCCCCAGGTATAGCTGCAGTCCCTTTAGCCCCAGTCTGTTTCTCTGTCCAAGGCAGAACCCAAATCAACTGCTGTCTATGTCATGTGTTTTGATTGTAATATTTAAGTTAGGGCACTGTGTTCAACAACTCAGACCCTGTGGAATGCTGCAGTTGTCAGAAATAACTCAAGAGAGGATGCTCGTCCCCAGGAAACATCAAATGAATGAGCTGGCATATTAGCAGACGTGGATTACAGTAAGGAAAATCTAAAACAGAAGATGTATCTGGATGCTTCAGCAGACAACAAAGGAAGAATTTGGGGACTGGGTCTAAGCACTCGCCCAAAGCACTAGAAGGAGGATTTCTTTTTATTTTTCTTTCCTATTTTTGTTCTTCTGGTTGTTCTTTCTTTCTTCCTTTTCTCCCTTTTTTTCTTTCCTTCTTTTTCTTTCTTGGTTGCTTTTTTTTCCCCCTTTGAAACTGAACCATTATAAATGAGTTGGTCTCATAGCTTCTGTTAAAAATCAGAAGCTTGTTAGATGTAATGATTATCTGCATTGTGACACTTACCGCGTATGAGGGGTCTTGTCGAACAGCTTTACTCTAATTTAGAGCTCCTCTGTTAATTAGAAAGCCCTCAGATTTTCTGCAAATGCAGGTCACTATCGACAGCTCATGCTTTTGATGCTTCGTCTGTGACAGTTGTTGGGTTGCCCTTCTAGGAGCTGGCAGGGTTGTCCAGACTCTGACAGTGTCAGAAAATGCAGTCACCACGGCTGCTTCACAGGAAGTTACACGCAAGGTCCGCACACAGTCAGTTTCCCTGTAGCCCAGAAGCCTGATGAAATCTGCACTCACATTCAGCTGAAAATAGCTCGAATTCCAACCCTCTCTCCCCCTGCCTCCTCTCTTCCCCTTTTCCTCCTTTCTACTTCCTTGCCTCTCTTTCTCCAACCTCTGTTTCCAGCATCTTCTTTCTCATCTTCTCTCTCTTTAGTCCTCAACAACTGGGGTCCTCTGCTGTCAAAAACAGCCACATTCACCAGAAAGGGAAGTAGGTTTTACAGATAAACCGGGTTGCTTTTCACTGAAACAGCAGTGATTGTGGAACAGAAACTCTCCCCTCCCTGCCTTTTAAATAATATTTCCTATTTTTTTGCACCGGTCAGCAGCCGCACCTGGTGAGGCTGAGGTCAAGGCTGTACTTCCAACATGGCTCACGTGTTTTTTCTTAAGAGAAGGGGGAATTTGGAGGGGGGCAAAAAAAGAAGGAGAAAGAGAGGAAAGGTTAACCACTCGAGAAAAAATGCACATGGGCTGAGGTTTCCTGCCCTTATCACCATTCCAGTATAAAACCTCAAATTATGGGAATTCTCACTTAGGAACACCTCATTATGGAACATATGTGCTGGGGGTCTGGGGAGATGGGAGAAGGGGTGTGTGTTCATGACCATGTGTGTAAACTTGTGTGCTCCAAATTTTATCAAGTTCAAGCCAAAAAGAAATCCTCTGTGGCACTTGTTTAGGACTTAAAAAAAAAAAAAAAAAACCAACCAACCAAACAAAAAACAGTATTTAAATCAAAATAGGAAATACAAAAAACAATTTGTACACCCTCACCACCACCACCAAGGCATAGCCTTGGAAGAAAAAGGCATCCCTTGCAGCCACAATTTCGCAAGTTGACCTTTTCACCAGGCCAGTGCCTAATTTCCTAAACAGGCCCCTTCTTCCTTGAAGTCACTGCAAATAAATGCAGTCATCCAGAGTGTAATGGAAGTCTGGCCTTGGAGTTACTGGCTTATGAAATGCAATGGGATGAGGTGGGGTGAGAGGCCATAGCCCAGACTGAACGGCACAGTGACCAGGTAGGGTGGAGCAAGGCCACTCCAGCAAGAATGCCAAGGATAGCCTGCAGTGGGTTATTAGCCCCAGCAGGGCCCATGCCTCTACGGCCATGTTGCTGTCATCTTCGTTCTTGGCTAGCAGATGCTAGTCCCAGGAATGTCCTCCATGCCTTTAAGCTAACTGCAAAAACAGAACGGTGTGAGCCAGGGCAGACCCCATACTCTTTTATATTCTACCTATAAGGGAAAAATAAACCTAGACCTGGAAAACAATGTGTAAAGTGGCAAAAGCCAATCAACTCATTTAAAAAGAAAAACCCTCCATCCAACGTCACGAAGCTGCTGAATATTAGGTTCCTGGGAAGCTGTCCCAGCAACCTAGATATGAGAAACAACGCTTGCTATTCTGGGGTGAGAAGTGAAGTTGCCTTTCACTCGGGACTGTCAAACACAGTCTATAAATACCAGCAATGCCCCTTGTGAACTACGGGCTGAGCTCAACCCAGAGAAGGCAAGTGTTTCCCAAAGGTCACACAGCAATTCCAGGTCCCCCAGAAGTAGCCCTTCACCAGATGGATCCCATCACCAGATAGCTCTTGGAAATAATACATTGCTGCATCTGATTCTCATTTTCAACAAGAAGGCTGAGGAATGAGATTGCACATTTTAGTTTCCTTCCCCAACTTTCTTTCTCCAACCTTCTGCTCTGGTTCTCCTCTCCCCCACCACACGTACAAAAAAAATCTTTTTAGTATGTTTAGGGATCTATTTCCATATCTACCCAAAATCTCCAAGCCCCTTGTTCTATCAGCAGGTCAAGAGTAGAGAACTGTGACAAGCTGTTCTCCATTCTGAAATGGATTTGACTGAACAGCTGCTGAAAGGCAAGACATCCTAGGGAGACTGGTACTGGGGATTTCAGGGTCCTTGTTCTGTGGGTGGACCATGGCTCCTTTCCAGAGAATGACTTGTGATTTGTTCTCTCTCCTACACATCAAAGTGAGACACCAATCACAGCTCTACTGGCCCACCTTGCCCCACCTCCAATTTGGCAACTTTGCCTCCTTCTCACACAATGAGAAAGAACGGATAGCCAAATTCTAAGAGTTCACTTTCTGCACATATGTGTAGTTAAGTACTGAAGTGAGAAATTCAAGAAAACTATACTTAGGCACACACACACACATTTTGAGAGATAATTTCTAAAGACCTACCAATCTAAGATACTGAAAGAAAATGGCTACATCAGGCCCAGAAAAGCCTTGAAATTTTCCCTATCCACAGACCACAGCCCTGTGATGGACATGAGATCCTCTGGCTTTGAGATGAATAATGCACAGAAATGAGCAGCATGATGGATTAGCTGGCAGATTATTACCAGACATGTGAACATGCCAACTCAACATCAGGATTGGGCCTGAAACTTCTCTCAGGAAGGCCTTGATAGCATTAGATGGTTGACAGAGGTATTACAGTGTGACAGAGTCTGAGCCCACAGTCTGAGAATGACCACATCCCTTCCCAGGGAGACGTTCCCACTCAACACCCTGGGAAGACTACTGCGAATCACTCTGTCTCTCAAACCTGGCCATGGCTCAGCCCACGCCCTTTCATGTATTTGCCCTTTTCCCTGCTAACAGAAATGGAATCAGAACAAATTAATATTTAATTTTAAGATTACTATTCTATCAGAATAAAAAAGACTCGGGAGATTCAAAGCGAAGGCAAATGCCCCTCCTTTAAGTCTAACGTTGCTATTCAGGCATTTAGGAGCGCTAGACACAGTGAGTTTCCCTGCCTCCAACCTGTGATTTGCCACAAGGCAGGAAGGGGAAGGATAGTGCAACACCCCTAAGTGTGTGAAGTTCTAACCTTTTACCCATGTAATGATCTAGTTAATGTAATATTTTGCCTTTAATCAATGAAAGAGTAAGATAATTTGATATCCTATAAAACTCCCTAACCTATATTTTGCAAGTCGATTAGCTAAGCTCTTCATGCTAATGTCAGCAGAGCCCATGTTACATCTCCAGTCAGGCTTTCAGGTGTCTGCACCCCACAATGCCACACACCGAGAGTGGAAAAAGAAAATTCAGCAGGGGGAGCAGTGTAGTGGGCAGTTACGTTTTCGTCATCTGTATGGAAATTGGGAAATCGTCTTCTCAAATGTAGATTATCTTCCCTTGGGATCCTTCTGGAGGGCTATAAATAATAGAACATACTAATCAACATTAGATATTTAAAAATGAATACAGATTCAGATTAAGGGAAAACTAAATGATGCCTTTATAAAATCCAGAACAAAACAAAACAAAAAAAGGCATGAAAAAGAAGGCTTAGCGGATCCCCCTTAAGTTAGCCCTATTCTCTGGCAACCACACCAGCCTTTAACGAGGGTGTTCAAAGTAACCATTTCCCACTCCCTTATTTATGAGCAGCAGAATGTAAAAAGCAAGAGGCTTAATTTTAATGCGGTAATTTTCTCATCAACCATTCTATCTAAGGAAGCTGCAGAAAGGTGAAAACTGGAAATTTATGAACCTTTAATGGGAAATCTGGATAAGAATTTGGTCTAAATATATGAAGAGGAACATGGACAGCTGGCACAAACACAAAATGCAAGTACTCCAACTCCAGCTCCCTGATAACATCTGCCACTAAAGGTTTACTGACTTGGTTTTCCCAACTCTAGAATGGAGCCCTCATCTAAACCTGGGGAAGCAATATATGAACAATTAGATATTAAATGCTTATAGATCCCTCTCTGTGCTATTACTTTTGACCTGGGTTTTAAAAACACAGTAACACTTACAATTTATTCTCATTATGTAGAAACATTTAAATTATCCTGGAAGAGTTTGTCTCACGGGCTGTTCAAAGAGTGTTTCTTCCTTTCCTTCTAGGAACATGAGGAGTGAATCTGACTATTTCATCAAAGCCTGTAAAAGATACCTGAGTCATGATTTTAACTGAACAATGTCTCCAAGAATTCAGACTGTGAGAGGGGGAAGAAGACCGTCTCTTTGGTGCAGTGGGAATTGCCATTGTGTCCTCCCTGGTTCCTCTCCTCTGTCCTTGGCAATCCAGTTACAATTTGACAGCATTTAAAGATGACAGTACTTGAGATAATAGGACAATGCCATAACAGGATTACAGCAAATGTGAAAGAAAGGACACACGTAGGTACTGTCATTTAGGTAATGTCATCTATGATCAGTTTTTGTTTCATTTTTTGCTGACACAGAACTCAGTGCTACTTATACAATTCACTGGAAACCCTGTTATGGCTGTAAATAGTTTGCTTCCCCCAATGAAAGAAAATACTTACTGTACTGCAGGGGAATTCGGTAAAACTTTCTAGTTTTGCTTAACATGAAAATAATAACAAAAAATTTCAAATCAGTATCAATAGCCAAAGATCCAAAAACAGCCTAAAGCCACTGCTACCCAAAACGATTTTGTTTGTTTGTTTGTTTGTTTGTTTGTTTTTTGTTTCTGAGGTGGAGTTTCGCTCTTGTTGCCCGGGCTGGAGTGCAATGGCGCAATCTCGGCTCACCGCAATCTCCGCCTCCCGGGTTCAAGCGATTCTCCTGCCTCAGCCTCCCAAGTAGCTGGGATTATAGGCATGCGCCACCACACGCGGCTAATTTCTGTATTTTTGGTAGAGACGGGGTTTCTCCATGTTGGTCAGGCTGGTCTCAAACTCCCGACCTTAGGTGATCCACCCACCTCAGCCTCCCAAAGTGCTGGGATTATAGGCATAAGCTACCACACCCAGCCATACCCAAAACAAATTTATCTTCAAAGAAAAAAAATGCTGTGTGTCCTAAATAATAGGTGGTCAAAATGTTTCTAAAGGGTACCTTAGACCCCAATTAAACTGTTGCTTTAGAGTTTGGGGAAAATAAAGTGGAAACACCTAACTAAATTCACACTGTGAGAGCCAGTCAACACTAGCCCACATGCCAATGGGGTCCTTGTCAGTCACTTACACTATTTCTCATTCCATTTCTTTTATGTCATTTTGCCCACAACATATCCAAATTCATACAATAGAGGCATTTGGAACCCAGTGCTACTCTGCTTCCTAACTAATTTCTGCCGCTGGAAGTTTGTTCCTAAAGCCACCAAGTCTCCTAGAAGCCCTTATTTCTTGGCAGTAAACACACGGCGGCCCTGCGTGCCATTAAAATAGCTGCCTCATCATCCAGGATGACAAACAGCCACACTGTGTGCCAAGTGACCAGCCACAAACAAAAGCTTGTTTGACCAGCACCTATCTCAAAAGAAAATTCTGAGTAGAAGAGGAAGCACCTGAAGGAAGCTGAAAAGAAAGTCTGACATTTGAAATTCTAACAGAGGTTCTTTCCCCTCTAGGACACTCTGGGTCACTAGCATCTCTGCTTTCCTTGTTCCCTGGCTCATCTCCTGAGCCCCCGGGCCGTTCTCCTTTCCAACTGTCTATTTACTAACCACTTTTATCAGCCCCCCTCTCACCCCATCCAAAAATGTTTACTCAAGTTCAGGCTAGCTTAATAACCCCCAAAGCAGGAGGACACTATTAAAGAGAGATCACAGGGATATGAATTTTGATGCCTGCCTTATTTTGTCACATATCATCAAAATGATAAATGCTATCATGAAACACCATCCATGCCCTGAGTATCCCAACATGGATGGACTGGAGGAGAGGGACAAGGGACCAATACAGACCCTGATGGGCCCTTGATTCTGAACGTCATTCCTGCCCACTCCCCATCTGCAATGGGGGCAAAGGCAAAAGGAAAGCTTTCCAAGATTTAAACAGTCCTCTATATTAGTAACAGACCCATGTGCTAGGCTCCTACAATATCTGGTTCCATTCTGCTAGTGAAAGGAAACCCTACGGTCAACCAACTCCATCCTCTAGAACATATAAGTCAACAGGGGAGAACTCGGCATGAAGGGTATAACAGAGAATTTCAACAACTCATCCACCCCCTTTGCAGAGTCCTCACTTAACATCCCCTAGCATGCTGCCTTTGTCTTCTGATCAGAGTATTTCAGCAGCCCTCTGTGATCTATAGGATATGGTCCAACTCCTTAAGCCATCATTCCAGAGCTCCACAATCCAACTCCAATTTTCTATTCCAGTCTTAGTTCCCCGTACCCATCAAGGAAAATATTCTGCCCAAGTAAAAATCCCTTCCGTTCTCATTTCCTTCCTGGCTTTTCTTCTTCTTCTCTTACCTCCTGGAATCCTGCTCATACTTCAAGGCCTCAATGAAGGTCTACCTAGTCACCTTAGCAAGAAGAATCAATCTCATCCTTCTCCAACCTCATAGAACACTCATCCCATGCACCACTCCCTGACTCATATCTAGGCCTTACATTGCTGGTTAACCCTCTATGCCTCTAATTAATTTCATGTGTTCCCAATGAGTTTCTTCAATACAGGGACTCTTTCTCCTACTTGCTTCTATTATATTTGAAAGTACCAGCACAGCATGTGACATGATATTCATATATTCTAGGAATTCAACAAATAGCATATAAATGACTGATTTACCTTCCTAAAAGGGAAGTTATTTTTCCAAATATCATTTCTGTTCAAAATGGTAATTTTAACCTTCTTAGCACCCACAAACATTTCCCTTCTGATATCTACTTGAACTTTCAGATAAAAAAAAAAAAGCAAGTTGCAGTAACATGTTATGCTACACAAAGATTAGCATGAATATCCACCCTCTTTAAACAGCCACCCCACACCCTGGAGAAGAGCAAATGTGAAGTTTATGTGCCAACCAGACTGTGCGCCAGGTTGGTAAAGTCTGACAGAGTTACCAAAAAATGACAACATCTTCTATATGTGAAGCCCAACTACGTGGTTGTGCAACTCTATAGCTGACTTTCAACCATGGTCATCTGCAAAGAAGTTAGTCTCAGCCACCTGCGCATCCTCAATGCAAAAAGCTAAGTTCTAAAAACGTATTCTTAATGCTGTTTTAAATGCAGCACTACTAAAAAGGACCTCATTTTGATGCCAGAGGGCAGCAAACATGGACACTTTTGGCCCCCTTCAGCTATTAAGTACAGTAAAAGGAAGTCCTAACTATCATTTGAAATGCTCCCGGCCAGGCGCTGTGGCTCACACCTGTAATCCCAGCACTTTGGGAGGCCGGGGCAGGAGGATCACCTGAGGTCAGGAGTTCAAGATCAGTTTGGACAACACAGTGAAACCCCGTCTCTACTAAAAATACAAAATTAGCCGGGCATGGTAATACATGCCTGTAATCTCAGCTACTCGGGAGGCTGAGGCAGGAGATCGCTTGAACCTGGGAGGCAGAAGATGCAGTGAGCCGAGATCGCGCCATTGCATTCCAGCCCGGGCAACAAGAGTAAATCTCCGTCTCACCAAAAAAAGAAAAAAGAAAAAAAAAAAAAAGAAAGAAATGCTCCCCTCAGTTCTCCAGGCTGGGCTGACTGCCCACGTCAAAACACCCTAGGCATCATCACTCCGTGTTGAGAGCCAAGTGGCCAGGTAGGACCCAACACTACGCAGGCACAGACGTTTTCCATGTTAAGAACCCAAATCCATACAGTCCTTAGCACCCAAATAGGTTCAGAAAAGGCAGTCCACACAAATCTGCCAAATAAATGAAGTTCAGATATTGCATTTACGCTAAATACCTTGGAAATTGAGAGGGAATCTGGAGAGGAAGATGGATGTAGGAAAAACAAAAACCCTCACTTTACAGGAATTCAGCACAGGAGATGCTACATTGTTAGCATCTCCGCTTAAGGAGAAGACATACTGATGAATAAGACTGAGTTGGTGACAGGCACAGTGGCTCTCGCCTGTAATCCCAGCACTTTGGGAGGTCAAGGCAGGAGGATCACTGGAGCCCAGGAGTTCAAGACCAGCCTGGGCAACAGGGAGAAACTCCATCTCTACAAAATTAGCCAGGCATGGTGGCATGCACCTGTCGTCCCAGCTACTCAGGAGGCTGAGGTGACAGGATGGCTTGAGCCTAGGAGATCAAGGCTGCAGTGAGCTATGAACATGCCACTACACTCTAGCCTAGGCAACACAGCGAGACCCTGTCTCAAAAACAAACAAACAAACAAACAAAAGACAACTAATTGGGCTAATGTTTAGAATAAATGTATTTCTAGGGAAGAAAAAAACTTAGTTGGGTACTCCCTCCCCTTTTTACTTTTTGAAGCCTGCTGGAATTCTAGGAAAACAGATTTCCTCCCCTTGCTCTCTCCTTCCTCACATACTCACCAGTACTCATGCGCTTCTCAGACCCAAATGCTCTGCTTATGGTGGATAACCCCATCTCAGTGGGCCTCCCTCTCTCTCTCTCTCTCTCTCTCTCTCTGTCATTACCAACTTCTATAAAATCTCAGAATACAAAGGGCATTCTCATTTCCCTGAAATGTACTTTGGTGCTACCCTGAAAGACGGCTAGAGTCTTGAGGAGACCCAAACAGTTAAAGGTTACAGACAGACTTGGTTCCACTCCAGTGGTGGGTGTTTTGTTTTGTTTCGCTTTAGCTTTATTAAGGTATACTTTACATACAACAAAAGTCATTCATTTTAAGTGTACAGTTGGATTCAATTTGCCAGTTGTATACAGCTGTGTGGCCTCCACCAAAATCAAGATACAGAACACGTCCACCAGTCTAGAAAGCCCCCTCATGCCCCTTTGCTGTCAATCCCCTTCCCTAACCCTCTGACCCCTTCCTTCTAACCACTGAACCCCCACCTACCACCACAGTGTTGAGAATTCTAGAATTTGTTACAAATGGACTCATACAGGATATCGTCTTTTGTGTTTAATTTCTTCCACAGAGCAGAATGATTCTGGGATTCATCCATGGTGTGGAGTGTGTTACTCTTTCATTCTTCTACTGTTGAGTTGTATTCCACCATAGGGCGTTTATCCATTCAACCTATTGGTTGCCATGTGGGTTGTGACCACTTTTTGACCACTATGAACAGTGCTACAATGGACACTGTGTAGATGTGTTTATAGGAATGTATGTCTACATTTCTCTTAGGTAAACATCTAAGGCATTTCGAGAACACAGAAAAGGTTTTGAGTTTGAGTCCAGGGA